>NC_000016.10:31638558-31953765 GCF_000001405.40 Homo sapiens
TTGAGTTTGGTTTGCTCTTGTTTTTCTAGTTCTTCTAGTTGTGATGTGAAGTTGTTAATTCGAGATATTTCTAACTGACGTGTGCATTTAGTGCTTTAACCTTTCCTCTTAACATTGCTTTAGCTGTGTCCCTGAGTTTCTGGTATGTTGTATCTTTGTTGTCATTGTTTCAAAGAAATTCTTGATTCTTGCCTTAATTTCATTGTTTACCCAGAAATCTTTCAGGAGCATGTTGTTAATTTCCATGTAATTGTATAATTCTGAGCATCTTCTTAGTGCTGATTTCTATTTTTACTGTGCTGTGGTCCAGGAGTGTGGTTGGTATAATTTCATTTTTTGAATTTGCTGAGAATTGTCTTATGGCCGATTGAAAGGTTGATTCTAGATTATGTGCCATGTGAAGAATGTATATTCTGTTGTTTTGGGGTGGAGAGTTCTGTGGATGTCTGTTAGGTCCAATTGGTCAAGTGTCGAGTTCAGGTTCCAAACATCTTTGCTACTTTTTTGCCACTGTGATTTCTCTAATACTGTCAGTGGGGGTGTCGAAGTCTCCCACTCTTATTGTCTGCTTATCTAAGTCTCTTCATAGGTCCCTAAGAGCTTGTTTTATGAATCTGAGTGCTCCTGTGTTGGATGCGAGAACTTATTATTTTCAGTGAGAGTGTTTGTTCAAAAAGCGACTCCGCCCTTACCTGAGCCAGAAACTCTGCTTTGTCTGCTATTTTGTTAAAGAAATGAAATGAGATAGCATGTATACTTTTGCATCTGGCTTCTTAGTGTAACATTATGTTTGTGATATTTATCCACTGTATTCATTTTTTAAAAGGTACAGGCATACCACAAATTATTGCACGTTCAGTTTCAGCCCAGCACAACAAAGTGAATATTGCAATAAAGCAAGTCACATGCATTTTTTGTTTTCCAGTGCATATAAATTATGTTTACAAGATACTATAGTCTGTTAAGTGTACAATAGCATTATGTCCAAAAAAGTACACTCCTTAGTTTAAAATACTTCATTGCTAAAAAGTGCTAATGAACATCTGAGCCTTTGGCAAGTCACAATATTTTTCCTGGCTGAGGGTCTCTCCTTGATGTTGATGGCTGTGAATCAGGGTGGTTGTTGCTGAAGGTTGGGTTCTGTGGCAATTTCTTAAAATAAGACAGCAATAAAATTTGCCATACCAATTGACTCTTTCTTTCACCCAAGAGTTCTTTGTAACATGCAATGCTGTTTGATAGCCTTTACACAGAGTAGAACTTCTTTCAAAATTGGAGCTAGTCCAGGAGCAGTGGCTCACATCTATAATCCCGGAACTTTGGAAGGCTGAGGCAGGAAGATTGTTTGAGCCCAAGAGTTCAAGACCAGCCTGGGAAGCATTGGGAGACCCTGTCTCTACAAAAACAATTAAAATTAGACGTGTGGTGCCCACACTCACACTGGTTGTGGCAGTAGCAGTGGCAGAGCACTGGTGAGGGTGGGCTTGTGAGTGTTTGTGTGTGCGTTCATGCCTGCAATGGCAGTGGTGTAGTAGGGGTGGATTGCTGGTGTTTGTGCATGCATTTGTGCCGGCAGCAGCAGTGGCACAGTTGTGGGCATTTGTGTGTGTTTTCATGCCAGTGGTGGTGGCAGAGCAGGGTGCCTGCCCATCAGCAGGGGAAAGGTGTTGGGGTGCACTCACAATGGTGGTGGTCAGGTGCTGTGGGGTGCATGTGTTCACGTGCCCCAGTGGGGAAGGCAAGGTCCACCCACATGCACTGCACATCAGCAAGGCAGTCGGGGGGAGAGGGTGTTCTTGGGTGAGTTTGTACCAGCAAAGCAGCAGGCGGAGGCTGTAGTGGGGGTAATCTGTGAGTGGGCTGGTGCATGTTGGCAGTGGTCAGTCTGCTGGAGCTGTCCAACAGTCAGGTTCATTCTTCCGGCAAAGGAGCTATGATGAGGGCCCCAGGGAAGCACCCTGGTTAGGCATCTGAGGCTGTGCTGCAAATGGGTGCAGCCATGCTGGGTCCTCAGGAGAGGATAGCAGACAGGAAGGTGCTCAAGCCAGACTGGCCCATTCCACTGCAAGACTGTCTTGCCCTGTCCAGGTATGACAGTAACTCTAAGGCTAAAGTCTCCTAGAAGAACATTACAAACCTTGGGGGATGGGCATCCTTGGTTGTGGCCCACTGCGGCTATTTCCATGCCAACCCTTCTGGGTTCTGCACGGGCTAGAGTCCAGCCCTTTCCTCCTATCTAAGCAGTTCTCTCTGCCAGCTCAAGTGTTTGTGGGGGTTGTAGTACCTCCTACTTCTAGAATTCCAGAGGTCTGCGGTGAGAGTGGGTCACTCTTCACTTGCTCAACCCACCTGTTTTCAAGAGTCACCGGGGGCCAGGAATGAGTTCCAATGCTCAGCAGCCCTGTGCAGCATTCCCAGAATCCTCCCGCTTCAGCCCAGCATCTGTGTTCTCCCTCCAACAACTCTCAATGCCTTCCCTCCAAAGATCGGCTCAAAGTGTGCCCGTCTTCCTGATGTCCTGGTCTCTCGGTGGGAGATGTTCCTCCTTGCACCCAGTCAGCATTTTGGCTCTGTCAGCAGGTCTTTTTCTCTTAAAGAAAATTTTAGTCAATTAGCATTCACTCCCTATTACTGTCCCAACCTTAGACAATCATCAATCTATTTTCTGTTTCTAAAGGTGAGTCTTTTATAAAAATTTCTTATAAGTGAAATGATCAATTAAGTAGTCTTTTGGGTCTGATTTCTTTCACTTGGCTTAATGTTTTAGAGGCCCATTCCTGTTGTAGTATGCGTCACTGCTTCATTCCTTTTGATTAGTGAGTAATATTCTGTTGTATGGCTATGGCACATACTATTTTTTCTTCCACTAGTTAATGGATATTTGGATTCTATTCATTTTGGCTACATGAAGAGTGCTGATGTAAGCATTCACATATGAATCTTTGAGTGCTGCAGATTTTCATTCTTTTGGGTATTTACCTGAGGATGGGATTTCTGAGTCATATGTAAAACCATATATAACTTTATGAAGAATTGCCTTTTTCTCACGCAATGGCTGCACTATTTTAATTCTCATCAACAACGTGTGAGGATTCCGTATTCTTCACACTTTAGTTAACATTTGTTACCATCTTTTTGATATAATAATCTATTGAGCAATAACTATTATCTCATTCTGGTTTTTGTTTGCTTGTTTGTTTGTTTAGACAGGGTCTTGCTGTCTCACCCAGGCTGATGTGCAGTGGCACTATCTTGGCTCACTGCAAGCCTCAATCTCCAGGACTCAGGTGATCCTCTCACCTCAGCATCCTGAGTAGCTGGAACTACAGGCGTGTGCCACCACACTTGGCTAATTTTTGTATTTTTGGTAGAGACGGGTTTTCTCCACGTTGTCCAGGCTGGTCTCGAGCTCCTGTCTTCAAGTGAGCCACCTGTCTTGGCCTCCCAAAGTGCTGGGATTACAGGCATGAGCCACCACGCTCAGCAAATTTATTTCTAAGTGTTTCTTTCTTTGATGCTGTTATTAAAAGAATTGTTTACTTTCAGATTTTTCATTGCTCTCATATAAAAGTACAATTCAGTCTTATAGGTTGTTTTTGTATCTTGTGACCTTGGTGAGCTTGTTTATTAGGTCTAGTGGGTTTTTGGGGAATACCTTGCTAATACACATGTTTATGTAAGTCTGTAACAGAAGATGGTTCTACTTATTTTCTAAACTAGAAAATTGTTTGATTTTTAGATTTTAAGCCAACATCGCATTTGCAAAATAATCCCATTTGACAATGGTGTTAAAGAGTTTTATATTTTGCTAGATTCAGATTCAGTTTGCTAGTTTTTTTTTTGTTTTGGAATCTTAGTGTCTGTATGCATGAAGGATAATGATAAGTCACTTTTTATCTAGTAATGTTTCTGTTTGATTTTGGAATCATAGTAATGCTGATCTGATAGAATGACTGGGGAAATGTTTTCACTGATTCAATTTTTTGGAGTATTTGTGAAAAGTTAGTATTAATTATTATTATTATTTGAGATGGAGTTTCACTCTTGTTGCCCAGGCTGGAGTGCAATGGTGTGATCTTGGCTCACTGCAACCTCTCCCTCCCGGGTTCAAGCAATTCTTCTGCCTCAGCTTCCCAAATAGCTGGGATTACAGACATGCACTATCACACCAGGCTAATTTTGTATTTTTAGTAGAGACGGGTTTCTCCATGTTGGTCAGGCTGGTCTTGAACTCCTGACCTCAGGTGATCTGTCCACCTCAGCCTCCCAAAGTGCTGGGATTACAGGCGTGAGCCACTGCGTCTGGCCCAGTATTAATTCTTTATTGAATGCTTAATAGAATTTACCAGTTAAGCCATTTGTCCTGGGGCTTTTCTTTGTGTAAAGGTTCTAATTAATTTGATCTCTTTCTTTGTTATAGATCTATTAATATGTTACATTTATTTCTATGTAGAGCTATTTATATATTTATTTCTTCTTAACTTTATTTTGAGAATTTGTGTTTTTCAATGTATTTATTTTTAATTTTTAGTATCTCACATTTCTATAGTTTCTCTGCAGTTAACAAGAAATAATCAGAAAGAATATTGTGTGAGAATAAGCCCTGGGAACAATTAAAAAATTACTCAAAGTTTCTTCTGTTATAAAAGATTATGACTCTAATTGCTATAATTAATGTTGATATTTAAAAAAATTATTTTCAGTTTGGGGGTACATGTGAAGGTTTGTTATATGGGTAAACTCATGTCATGAGGGTTTGTTGTACAGATTATTTCATCACCCAGGTATTAAGCCCAGTACTCAATAGTTATCTTTTCTGCTTCTCTCCCTCCTCCCACCTTCCACATTCAAGTATATAAATCCCAGTGTCTTCATTAGTTCATGAGTTCTTGTAATTTACCTCCCACTTTTTTTTTTTGAGATGGAGTCTCACTCTGTTGCCCAGGTTGGAGAGCAGTGGCGTGATCTCAACTCACTGCAACCTCTGCCTCCCGGGTTCAAGCGAAATCTCCTGTCTCAGCCTCCAGAGTAGCTGGGATTACAGGTGTTCACCACCATGCCCAGCTAATTTTGTATTTTTAATAGAGATGGGGTTTTGCCATGTTGGCCAGGCTGGTCTCAAACCCCTGACCTCAGGTGATCCTCCTGCCTTGGCCTCTCAAAGTGCTGGGATTACAAGGGTGAGTCACAGTGCCCGGCCTACCTCCCACTTTTAAGTGAGACCATGCGGTCCTGGGTTTTCTGTTCCTATGTTAGTGTGCTAAAGAGAATGGCCTCCAGCTCCATCCATGTCTCTGCAAATGACGTGATCTCATTCTTTTTTATGGCTTAATAATATTCCATGGTGGGCATGTACCACATTTTTAGTATCCAGTCTGTCACTGATGGACATTTAGGTTGATTCCACATCTTTGCCATTGTGAATAGTGCTGCAATGAACATTTTCATGCACGTGTCTTTATGGTAGAATAATGTATATTCCTCTGGGTATATACCCAGTAACGGGATTGCTGTGTCAAATGGTAGTTCTGCTTTTAGCTCTTTAAGGAATTGTGATACTGCTTTCCACAATGATTGAACTAATGTACACTTTCATTAACAGTGTATAAGTGTTTCCCTTTTCTCCACAACTTCACCAGCAACTGTTATTTTTTTTTTTTACTTTTTAATAGTAACTAGCCATTCTGAATGGTGTGAGCTGGCGTCTCATTGTGGTTTTGATTTGCATTTCTCTAATGATCAGTGATATTGAGCTTTTTTTCATATGCTTTTTGGCCGCATGTATGTCTTTTTTGTTGTTGTTTTTTGAAACGGAGTCTCATTCTGTCACCCAGGCTGGAGTGCAGTAGCGCGATCTCGGCTCACCGCAACCTCCGCCTCCCAGGTTCAAGTGATTCTCCTGCCTCAGCTTCCCGAGTAGCTGGGACTACAGGTGCGTGCCACCAAGCCTGGCTAATTTTTTGTATTTTTAGTAAAGACGAGGTTTCACTCTGTTAGCCAGGCTGGTCTTGATCTCCTGATCTTGTGATCTGCCCCCCTTGGCCTCCCAAAGTGCTGGGATTACAGGCGTGAGGTGGCGCCCAGCCCGTATGTCTTCTTTTCAAACATATCTGTTCATATCCTTTGCCACTTTTTAATGGCGTTGTTTTTCTCTTGTAAATTTGTTTGAGTTCCTTACAGATGCTTGTAGACCTTAGTCAGATGCTTATTTTGTCTTTATTGTTGTTCTATAGCTTTCTTGGACATATAATTTTTGATTGACAGTTTTTTCTTTGGGGAGTGGGAAAAAATTTTCAAATGCAGTTGAAAGACTTGCAAGAAGGCAAACAAAGCAAGATCCAACAAAGCCAATTGGATTGAGAAATGAAGTCATATTGATTGCAACAAATGATATGTTGGACTGGGTTAGAGAGAGCAGGAAAAAGTAAATTTGTGGACAATAGAATTCTGTGGGCTGGGTGGTCCTGACTGAGGTCAAATGAAGAAATTTCATCAGAGTAGGAAAGATAGCTCATTATCCTGAACCTAAACAGGCTGAGCTGCTGCCCTATGCTAAGATTCTTAGATATTTATAAGAAGAAATGTCATGATCTTATCATCTAACAATTTAATAGGTATTATTTGCTAAGGAAGAAGATCATATATGTGCACTCGTAATTATGATTAAGTTAATGTTATGTTTAGTTATGATTAAAGTTGTGCTTGATGGATATCACAGGGGCCAAAAATAAGTGTCTACTGCTAACAAGTGGGTGCGTGACTGATAAATGTGTGAAATAAAACACTCCTGTGAGTAGAAGCAGCAGAGGAGACTGAAGAATGAGGGGTGGAACACAACAGCAGGATAGCTTGATACTTTACATCAAAGTAAGATCTCGGCCAGGTGCAGTGGCTTACACCTGTAATCCCAGTACTTTGGGAGGCTGAGGAGGGCAGATCACAAGGTCTGGAGTTCGAGACCAGCCTGACCAATGTGGTGAAACCCCATCTTTACCAAAAATACAAAAATTAGCTGGGCGTGGTGGCACATGCTTGTAATCCCAGCTACTCAGGAGGCTGAGGCAGGAGAATCGCTTGAACGAGGGAGGCGGAGGTTGCAGTGAGCCGAGATCACACCACTGCACTCCAGCCTGGGCGACAGAGTAAGTCTCCATCTCAAAAAGAAGTAAGATCTCCTGGGGAGGACAGTACATATTTAAACACTCATGCTGCTTGGAATGGAGGAACCTTTCTGCCCTCTACAAATGCACCTGGGCAAATTGATGGAAGGGGAATGTGAAAAGCAGCCTACCTTCCATGGGGAGTCATGTCTAGTTTCCTTGCTCACAGCTGTGTCCTCTGGAGAACAGAACACTTCGCCTATGTAGGTCTGACGGAGCTGGCATTTTCTTTTCTTTTCTTTTTTTTAAAATTATATATGTGTATGTATTTATAAAAGTACATATATATACTTATATGTGTGTGTATGTGTGTTTTGAGCAATTTTTACTTCAGCCATTAATTTCTAATTATAAGCCAGAAATACTAATTATTACCATTTATGCATTGCCTTATCTATTTACACTTATGGAACAGTATCCCAATAAGTGATTTTGAAAATATAATTGGACACCTTTTCACCTCAGAAAAATCTGAGTGAATGCAGTGGCTTTTTATCTTAACATGTCATGAAATTGAATTGTTCTAAGCTGTGGATTAAATTAAACTGATGATATATGATGCCTGAATCCAAGCTAAATAACATAGGATAGTGCCTGAAAAATCATTCTATAAAATTTTACAAGATATTAGATATGGTATTAGAGATATCCTGAGAAAACTTGAGGGAAGATATTTTTATTATTGGAAACCAAGTATTTTTCTAGGCATTGGAAAGTATCCCTGTATTAAGGGAAGTCTCAGGAAACAGATCAACATGTGATTAAAAAATTTTTGCCTTTTTTTTTTTTTTGAGACAGTCTTGCTTTGTTGCTCAGGGTAGAGTGCAGTGGCACAATCTCAGCTACTGCAGCCTCAACCTCCAGGGCTCAGGTGATTCTCCCACTTCAGCCTCCCAGGTAGCTGGGATTACAGGCGTGCACAACCACGCCTGGCTAATTTTTGTATTTTCAGTAAAGACGGTGTTTCACCATGTTGGCCAGGCTGGTCTCAAACTCCCAGCCTCAGGTGATCTGCCCGCCTCGGCCTCCCAAAGTGCTGGGATTACAGGTGGGAGACACCACGCCCGGCCAACATCTGATTCTTTTGATGCAACCTCATGGTTGTCGTGAAGTGAATAAAATAGTGATTTTTTTTGTTGATAATTGAGAGGTGGACATTAGCAATGTTATACCGAGATAAAAAAGAGTTTACATAAGAAATTACTGGAATGGAAGGACTGGGCGCGGTGGCTCACGCCTGTAATCCCAGCACTTTGGGAGGTCGAGGCGCGTGGATCACGAGGTCAGGAGATCGACAACATCTTGACTAACAGGGTGAAACCCCGTCTCTACTAAAAATATAAAAGATTGTCTGGGCGGGGTGGCGAGTGCCTGTAGTCCCAGCTACTTGGGAGGCTGAGGCAGGAGAATGGCGTGAAATCAGGAGGTAGAGCTTGCAGTGAGCTGAGATTGCACCACTGCACTCCAGCCTGGGCGACAGAGGGAGACTCCATCTCAAAAAAAAAAAAAAAAAAAAAAAAATTACTGGAATGGAAACTAAACTGGGAGAGAGCTGGGACCATTTTTAAGTGATACATTAAGAAGGATTCAGAAAAGCAAAACAAAACCTTCCAAATATGTTCACATACTAATTCCCCAGATACTGGGAATACATTAGATTCCATGGCAAAGAAAATATAAGATTGCAGATGTGATCAAGATTGCTAGTCTGCTGTTGAAATATAGTGAGATTTTCACAAATTATCACCATGGGTCCAGTATAATCACAAGGGTCCAGAAATGTGGAAGAGTGATGGAGAACAGAGTGTATCAAAGTGACGAGATGTGAGAGTGACTCAGCTGAATATTTTTTCAATTGCTTGCTTTAGTGATTCTTTTCATATTAGAATAAATTTCCATTTAATTTAAATGTATAAATACCTTTGAGTAATTTTATTTGTTTTTGTATTTGTTATGAGATAGGGTCTCACTCTGTTGCCCAGGTTGGAATGCAGTGGCGCAATCATGGCTCACTACAGCCTTGACCTCCTGGATTCAAGCAATCCTCCCACCTCAGCCTCCTGGGTAGCTTGGACTATAGGTGCATGCTACAATGTCTCACTAACTGTTTAATTTTTTTGTAGAGATGGCACCTCACTATGTTGCCCAGTCTGGTCTTGAACTTCTGGCCTCAAGCAATCTTCCCACCTCAGCCTCCAAAAGTGCTGGGATTACAAGCATGAGCCACTGTGCCTGGCCCTTTTTTTTGAGTAATTTTGTTTGTCCATCACTGTTCTGGGTGCTAAATATAATAGGAGAGAATGCAGAACAATAAGGATATGATTTCTAAAAAGTGAGGCTCAGGTATAGTGGGATACAGGCACTGTGCACTGTATGATTGTAGAAGTCTTACTGTTTTACAAATATAAATGATTTGGTATGGAAAAGAATGCAGAAGCTGGATTTCCAAGAATTCATATACAAGCTTAACAAAGAATAAGTGGGGAAAAAGATGATGATGGTAACAATTTTGAACACTGAACAACCAACATTGATAACATGGGATCTATTGTTTCTTTTATTCCAGATATAGAAAGTATGTTTCCTCTATGCCATTAAGATGAAACTATTTTCTACTTATGCTATCGTTAAAAATGCCTTTGTTTTTCAAGCTGGCATTGGATTCTCAGCCAACACCTTTCTCCTTTTCTTCCACATCTTTACGCTTCTTCTGAATCGCAGGCCTAAACCCCGTGACTTACTCACCTGTCACCTGGCCCTCATTCACATTCAGATGCTCCTCACTGCAGTGGATTTTTTGCCTCTAGACATATTTGAATCACTGCATTTTGGGAATGACTTTAAGTGTAAGGCACTTTTTTACACAAACAGGGCAATGAAGGGCCTCTCCATCTGCACCACCTGCCTTCTGAACATGCTCCAGGCCATCAGCATCAGCCCCAGCACCTCCTGGTTGGCAAGGTTTAAACATAAATCCACAAATTACATTTTGCATGTTTTCTTCTTTTGGGTGTGCTTCAATTTGTCCTTCAGTAGTTGGCCAATCTTTTTCTCTGTGCATTCTTCCAACACGACCCATATCAAGCTACAGAATGTCAGTAAATACTGCCACTTTCCCCCATGAACTCCACAATCAGGGGAGTGTTTTTCACTGTGACATTATCCAAGTATGTCTCCTGTGTAGTACTTATGCTGCTCTCAAGGGCATACATGGTGATTCTCCTGCCCAGGCATTGGAGGCAATCCCAGCACCTCCATAGCACCCACCTCTCCCCAAGACCCTCCCCAGAGAAAAGGGCCACCCAGACCATCCTGCTGCTGGTGAGTTTCTTTGTGGTCATGTACTGGGTGGACTTTATCTTCTCAACCTCTTTAACCCTGCTATGGCCGTATGACCCACACGTTGTCCTGAGTGTGCAGAGAGCTGTGCTCAATGCCTATGCCACTGTTAGTCCTTTGGTGCAAATCAGTTCTGATAAAACAATAATCAGTATTATGCAAAATTGCAATTGAAGTACCAACAGTTTTTAATAAGTCAGTGATGAAAAATGTTTTTTGAGAAAAGAGTCTTCAGCCGTCAGTCAAACTGTTCAAGTAGCACTGAAATTCTTTAATTTGATTTAAGTAAAATATAAAGAATTATTACTTTTGGGTACATAGTATATGTATATATTTAAAGCACATATGGCATATTTTGATACATGCATACAATATATAATAATCACCTCATGGTAAATGAGGTATCTATCACCTTTAGCATTCATCCTTTGTATTACAGAAAATTCAATTTTACACTTTTTGTTTAAAATGTACAATTAAACTGTTACCGACGGCCAGGAACCATGGCTCATGCCTGTAATCCTAGCACTTTGGGAGGATGGGGCAGGTGGATAACCTGAGGTCAGGAGTTTGAGACCAGTGTTGCCAACATGTTGAAACACTGTCTGTACTTATAAATACAAAGGTTGGCCAGGCATGGTGGTGAGTGCCTGCGATCCCAGTTACTCGCGAGTCAGAGGCAGGAGAATCACTTGAACTTGAGAGGTGGAGGTTGCAGTGAGCTGAGATCGTGCCACTGCACTCCAGCCTGGGTGGCAGAGTGAGACTCTGTCTCAAAAAGAATAAATAAATAGATATTGACTATAGGGTAATTTCTATGATTATATTATTTAGAAGCATGAACAAAATCCATACATTTGTGAGTCTTGAATACATATTTTTATAAACTTCTTAGATATTTTTATTTGAACATGTGGCCTCTCTGCCTGCAAACACATAAAGACTTTTAATTTTGATTTACATAAAGTTAAAAATACACATATATTACTCTAAAGATAAACCTTAGGAAAGAAAATTATGGAGTGAGTGTGTTTGTATGAGTATGAGTTCGTACCTATTTTCAGAAGAATATAGCAATATCAGAACAAAACAAATCATTTTAATAAGGTTATTAATTTACTAGATCATAAAAACCTCAAAAATGCTGAAAGCAAATTTATGCTCTCAGCTTTGTATTAAATTCATTACTGTAAAACCTTATGGCTTATGGTTCAGAATCTCTCCACACAAACTCTTTGCCCGGTACTCATGCCAGACCTATAATTTTGTTTGTTATAATTTTTTGTTTTATAGTTTATGAAGTATCCATTACCCGAGCTGGTCAGTGATTATAAGAGTGCTTTTTATAAAATTTAGTAGTGCACACAATTTTTAGATGTAATTCCATAATTAATGTAGTGTTATATTTTATTTAGAACATTCTGTTTTGTTCTTTTAGATGCAGATGCCTATATAAGCCTACTTTTCTTTAGTTATTGTCCTTTCACTTTTTATAGATGACGTAAGTGAATTTACTTATTTATTGAGTCATTCTCTTTTTAGGTAAGTACTAGGGAACTTTCATAAGTCATGAAAATGTTTTTATATATAAATGTATCAAAGAAACATGACAGTGAGGCCGGGTGTGGTGGCTCATGCTTGTGGTCCTGGCACTTTGGGAGGCTGGGGTGGGCGGGTAACCTGAGGCCAGGAGTTCAGGACCAGCCTGGCAAACATGGCGGAACCCCATCTCTACTAGAAGTGCAGAGATTGGCTGGGCGTGGTGACACGTGCCTGGGGTCTCAGCTACTCAGGAGGCTGAGGCAGGAGAATCACTTCGTTCCAGGAGGTGGAGGTTACAGTGGGATGAGATCGCGCCGCCGCATTCCAGCCTGGGTGACAAAGCGAGACTCTGTCTCAAAAAAAAAAAAAAAAAAAAAAAGAAAGAAACATGACAGTGCTTGCTGTGTAACTGATGCTCCATAATAAGCCATAAATATTTCTGCTGGAGTTAGTTTGTAACTTCAAGTCAGCTGTTTCTGGTCTTTTTTTGTTTGTCCCGCTCCATTGGAGTATGTGTCTGTTTTTCTTCAATTACCATACTGTTTTAGCTAATATAGCTTTTTAGTATATTTCAAAGTCAGGTAGGGTGATATATTCACCCTTCTTTTTTTCTTTATTGCTTTGCTACTTTGGGTCTTCTGTGGTACAATATAAATTTTAGATGTATGTTTTAAAATTTATATTAAGTGTGTCACTGGTATTTTCATAGAGGTTGCATTATATCTGTGGATTATTTTGTGTAATATGGATATTTAACAATATTAATAATGCCAATTCATTTATAGGTAATATTTTTCCATTCGTGTATTTAATTTTGTACTTCAGTATTGTTTAGATTATAATGCACAGGTTTTTCCACTTTTGGTTAAATTTATTTCAAAGTATAATTACTACAGTTGTTGTAGATGAGTTGGTTTTTTTTTTGTTTTTTTTTTTTTTGTTTTTTGAGATGGAGTCTCTCTCTGTTGCTCAGGCTGGAGTGCACTGGTGTGGTCTCAGCTTGCTGCAACCTCTGCCTCCTGGGTTCAGGCAATTCTGCCTCAGCCTCCTGAGTGGCTGGGAATGCAGGCGTGTGCCACCACATCCAGCTAATTTTTGTATTTTTGGTGGAGACTGGGTTTCGCCATGTTGGTTAGGCTGGGCTTGAACTCCTGACCTTGTGATCTGCCTGTGAAATTATGCTGAATTTCTGAATTAGAAAAAGAAAACATTTTTTCTAATAAAATCATAAACGTCTTATGGCCATACCCTAAAAATGATGAAGCAGAGAGTGTAGGTTATTTAAGACCATGCTATGGGCCTGGCACAATGGCTCACGCCTGTAATCCCAGCACTTCAGGAGCCCAAGGCGGGTGGATCACGAGGTCAGGAGTTTGGGACCAGCCTGACCAGCATGGTGAAACCCCGTCTCTACTAGAAGTCCAGAGGTGGGCCGGGTGTGGTGGCATGTGCCTGTGGCCCGGCTACTTGGGAGGCTGAGGCAGGAGAATCACTTAAACCCAGGAGGTGGAGGTTGTGGTGGGCCGGGGTCACGCCATTGCACTCCAGCCTGGGCGACAGAGCAGGACTCTGTCTCAAAAAAAAGAAAAAAAAGAAAAAAAAAACAACAAAAAAACTGCTGCAAATGCTCATTCCGTCACAACCATGCTAGTGAAAATAGAAATAATGAGTTAGAAGGTAATTTTAGAGTATGTTTCTTACTCTATTGCCCTATAAAATTTTTGTCTTTATTACTTGCCATATAGAAGCCTGTACTTCAACAAAAGATGTCATGAATTTCAAGTAAATATGCTCCACATATATTCTCCCTAGAAGGGTACTGGTGTACTTCCAGTCAAGTTGTAGCATTTCTGGCCTTTTTTGTGCTGCTGTGTTTGTGTGAAATAAGGCAGGAAGTAAAGTGGAGTCAACCATGACATTTCTTGTTTCTAAAGCCATAGCCTCTAAAATTTAATGTTATGTCAACTAGAAATAATGACAGTATTTACGAACTAAAAAAAATTCTTTATATTTTTTATAGTTTATAAAAATTTATTTTTGAATTATAAGTTAAACAACTTGAACATGCAGATACCTAAAAGTGTCATCTAGGTGATAGTATTAATATTTTAATAGCTTATAGTTGTGAGTCACAATTGCCCCATTGGGTTTACTGAAAAGGAGTTATTTATCTTCCATGTGTGAATGGCAATAGGCTTTTTATAATCCTAAGCACACAGATCTTTTAAGATTATCACTATGTTTAGATCTGAATAAAATTTATAGGCTTGCAATAACAGAAATTTTAATACTTTTTTCTAATAGAAGTGAAAAACAGTAGAAGTAATTTGTTAAAATGAGTTTAAGAGAAACTTCACATGTATTCATTAAATAACATTTAAACCTCATTGTAAGTTACTGATCAGTAATTCCAATCTATTTTAGTCACTGAAAAAGCGTAACATTCTTTAATTATTCAATCAGAAACAGTATTCTTATTAGTGTTTCTGAAACTTCTAGCAAATGTAGACCCCCAGGATGACAAGATTCATGCAGACAACAAATTTTCTATGTAATAATAGGCTCATTTTAACTTTAAATATAAACACTCAATATATTTCAAAAGTAAAATTAATGGTTCTTTTAAGTCATAAGAAGAATATTGTGATAATTCATTTACTGAAGTGTTTGTCTCAGACTTTGTAATGAATACTTTAAACCAAAAATTAAGTTCTGCATACTATCTATGGATAAAAAGAAGTGGTTTGTAAATTTATCTTTATTTTTACTAAATTAAAAAATTTAAAGCCAAAATGTTATGTCGGGATTTAAAACAAGCATTGGATGACATGGTGTTGGGCATAATGGTTAAGATTGAAATTCGCTGTGAGTTGGTTCCTGATCACATCCGGAACTTTAGGGTTTTGGTAAAATTAAAGCAATTAATGCAAATGAAGGTGCCCGAAGAGCACCCAGCATATAGCTCTCATTTGTTGATTCTGTTAGATCATGATCAATGTTAAGCCTAAAAACAAGATGGCCACATCAGTGGTTTGTAATCCATGTTTATTCTAATCAGTCAGTCTGGGGCTATAGTAGTAGTTGAATGTTTATAATACTACCCTTGTAAAATTCCCATATATTCACACCCAGCATGGATATAAATATGGAAAGATTTCTCATTGAGTACTTCTCTTTAGCATTCCAGTAACACTAGACAAATAAGCACCTAAATGCTGAGTGTTTGTCAGTTTTAAAATTAGAAAAGAAGGCAAGTTTTCTTGTCTACTTGTTTAATACATTTTTTATTGCCAAGTACATATGTTCATTTGATTTAATACATTGAAATGTAGTTTAAAAACATATATTCAAATATCTTTTCTCTAACAAGTGAAGGAATAATTTATTTACAAATGTAGAAATAATTTTACTGTAAGCAGTTGCTTTAGGGGCTGTCTTTTATAGTATTGTATTATTTTGAACATTAAAAATATACATTTTATTCCTTAGTGTTGGGTTTAGACTATTCATTATATTAAAAGTTTACTTATGGCTGGGCGCGGTGGCTCAAGCCTGTAATCCCAACACTTTGGGAGGCCGAGGTGGGCAGATCACCTGAGGTCAGGAGCTCAAGAACAGCCTGGCCAACATGGTGAAACCTCGCCTCTACTAAAATTACAAAAATTAGCTGGGCACGATGTCTGGCGCCTGTAATCCCAGCTATTCGGGAGGCTGAGGCAGGAGAATTGCTTGAACCTGGGAGGCAGAGGTTGCAGTGAGAGATCATGCCACTGAACTCCAGCCTGGGTGACAGTGAGACTCCGTCTCAAAAAAAAAAGTTTACTTACATCACTAAGGGAGCAAGCCATTTGAAATGTATATATATATATATGAAAAATATATGTGTCTGTTTTCTAAGATTTTAAAATGAACAGTTTTTTCTCTCGTCAAATTTCTTAAAGTTTATTTCTTTCTCTTTAAAGTATGAATAGTAGTTTTGATTGGCAAATCAAAGTTGAATGAATTCATGGGGTAAAATGTGATGTTTTAATATATGTATGTAATATGGAATGATTGAGTTAAATAACATCTATCAACTCGCTTACCAGCATTATTTGTGGTAAGACATTTGAAATTTACTCTTAGTCATTTTAAAATATACAATTACATTATGGTTTACTATAGTCACGCTGCTGTGAAATAGATCTCAAAACCTACTTACCTTGTCTGTTAGAAACTTTGTACCCTTCAATCAAAAACTCTATAATTTCTTCCCACCACATCAAGCCTCTAGTAACCCTTATTTCACTTTCTATTTTTTTGAATTAGACTTTATTAGAGTCTACATATAAATGAGATTATGCAGAAAAAATATATAAAGAATTATACTTTTATTGTATCTAAATACTTTTGAAACCAAGGAATTTTTAGTTTCTTTAGTTCAGTGTCCACCATAGTTGATATTCCCATATTAAGTCTCTTACTCTTTTTCATTTTAATTTCATACCAGAAAATGTTTCTTTCTTCTTGAAGTGTACCCTAAAGAAGCTCCTATTGGTAATAAAATCTCTCAAAATTTTCACTTTTGAAAATATTTTAATTTACTCTTATTTATCAAAAGTATTTTAGGCCAGGCACAGTGGCTCACACCTGTAATCCCAGCAATTTGGGGGGCTGAGCTGGGAGGATTGCTTGAGGGCTAGAGTTTGAGACCAACCTGGGCACCATAGTAAGATCTCATTTCTACAAAAATAATTTTTTTAAAATTAGCCAAGCATGATGGTGAGGGCCTGTAATGCCAGCTACTCAGGAGGCTGAGGTGGGAGGATTCCTTGAACCCCAGAGGTTGAGGTTGCAGTGAGCTGTGATTGCACCACTGTGCTTCAGTCTGGGTGACAGAGCAAGACCCCATCTCTAAAAAGAATTTTAAAATGAACAACGAATAAAAATTAAACATTTTAGCTAAATATTCAGTTCTAGCTTTAAATAATGCCTCTTCGAAAAAACTTTTTTGTCCCTGTAAAAATTATGCCAATTTACAAAGACTTCATGACTAAAACACCAAAAGCAATTGCAACAAAAGCCAAAATTGACATGTGGAATTTAATTAAGTGAAAGAGTTTCTGCACAGCAAAAGAAACTATCATCAGAGTGAACAGGCAACCTACAGAATGGGAGAAAATTTTTGCAATCTATCCATCTAACAAAGGGCTAATATCCAGAATCTACAAGGAACTTAAACAAATTTACAAGAAAAAAAAACACAATCCCATCAAAAAATGGGCAAAGGGTATGAACAGACACTTCTCAAAAGATGACATTTATGTCGCCAACAAACATGAGAAAAAGCTCATCGTCACTGGTCATTAGAGAAATGCAATCAAAACCACAATGAGATACCATCTCACGCCTGTTAGAATGGCGATCATTAAAAAGCCAGGAAACAAGAGATCCTGGTGAGGATGTGGAGAAATATGAACACTTTTACACTGTTGGTGGGAGTATAAATTAGTTCAATCATTGTGGAAGACAGTGTGGTGATTCCTTAAGGATCTAGAACCAGAAATACCATTTGACCCAGCAATCCCATTGGATTGCGGTATGGGTGCAATACTAGGCAGCCATAAAAAGAATGAGTTCATGTCCTTTGCAGGGACATGGATAAAGCTGGAAACCATCATCCTCAGCAAACTAACAGAGGAACAGAAAACCAAGCACTGCATGATCTCACTCATAGGTAAGAGCTGAAAAATGAGAACACATGGACACAGGGAGGGGAACATCAAACACTGGGGCCTGTCGGGGGTTGGGGGGCAAGGGGAGGGAGAGCATTATGACAAATACCTAATGCATGCGGGGCTTAAAACCTAGATGATGGGTTGATAGGTGCAACAAACCATCATGGCACATGTGTATCTGTGTAACAAACCTGCACGTTGTGCACATGTATCCCAGAACTTAAAGTAAAATTTAAAATAATTATGCCAATTTAGATTTTAAATTTAATCTAAAATTTATTTCAAATGGTCTTAAATACAATTTACATGTGACTAGATATTAGTTTGGTTACACAATCTTTTCCCACCTTTTTTGGACTATGATTGACAAATAGAAACTGTATTTAAAGTGTAAAAACTAAAATATATGTTTTGATATATTTATATATTGTGAAATTATTACCACAATAAAGCTAATAAACATATCTGTCATGTCACATAGTTACTATTTTTTAGTGTGGTAAGTTCATTTGAGATCCATGTTTCTTAACAAAGTTCAAGTATACAAGATGTAATTATTAAGTATAGTCACAATGCTGTACATTGGGTCTCTAGTATTATTTATTTTGTGACAACAGGTTTGTACCCTTTGACCAATATCTCTCATTTTTTCCCAGTCCCTCAGCCCCAGGTCACCACCATTCTGCTCTCTGTAACTATGAGTTCTACTCTTTTTCAGATTCCTCATAAAATGAGTTCATACAACATTTGTATTTCTATGTCTGCCTTATTTCACTTAGCATAATGTCTTCAAAGTTCATCTATGTTGTTGCAAGTGGCAGGATTTTCTTTCTTAGGGTTGAATAGTATTTCATTTGATAGACAAATAGATATATTAATAGATATTTCATATATTCTTTATCCATTTTTCTGCTGATAGACATCTACATTGTTTTTATATCTTGTCTATTGTGCGTAATGCTGTGATGAGTATAGGAGTGCAGATATCTCTTCAAGATAGCAATTTTATTCCCTTTGGATATTGTTAATGGTTTGAATGTTTATCCCCTCCAAAACTCATGTTGAAATTTGGTTATGGCAAATGTGGTTGTGAGGTAATAGGGCCATGAAGGCTCTGTCCTCATAGTTGGGTTTAATGTCACGATCATAGGGTTAGTGGTACCTTGTGCCTTTGCTTTTCTGCCACATGATGGTGTAGCAAGAAGGCCCTCACCAGATGCTGCCACCTTGATTTTGCACTTCCCAGCCTCCAGAACTATGAGAAAATAAATATCTATTCATTATAAATTACCCAGCCAAAAGTGTTCTGTCATAGAAGCACAAAATGAACCAAGGCAGATAAATACCCAGAAGTGGGATTGCTGGATCATGTGGCATTTCTAGTTTTACTTTTTTGAGAAAACTCCATATTGTTTTCCATTATGGCTTTATCCATTTACATTCCCACTAAGAGTGTGCAACAGTTCTCCCTTCTCCACATCATCATTAGCACTCATTATCTTTTGACTTCTTAATAGATACTATTCTGACAAGTCTGTATGAGGTAATAGCTCATTGCAGTTCTGATGTGCATTTCTTCATGATTCGTGATGCTAAGCATCTTTTCAAATATTTGTTGGCCATTGTAGGACTTCTTTGGAAAAATATCTGTTCAGGTCCTGGGTTATTTACTTATTGATGTTCAGTTTTAAGAATTCCTTATATGTTTGATACATAATCTCATTCTCAGATATATTGTTACAGAATTTTTCTCCAATTGTACAGACTGACTTTTAATTGTGTTGATTGTTTTCTTTTGCTATGAGAAATGTTTTAGTGAATGTTGTCCCATTTGATTGTTTTTTCTTGTATTGTATGGGTTTTTGATGTCAAATCAAAAAATTCATTGTTGAGACCAATGTCAAAGCCATCATTCTCAGCAAACCAACACAGGAACAGAAAACCAAACACCGCATATTCTCACTCATAAGTGAGAGTTGAACAATGAGAACTCATGGACACAGGAAGGGGAACATCACACACCAGGGCCTGTTGGGGGGTGGGGGGCAAAGGGAAGGAGAGCATTAGGACAAATACCTAGGCTTAAAGCCTCGATGATAGGTTGATAGGTGCAGCAAACCACCATGGCACATGTATATCTATGTAACAAACCTGCACGTTCTGCACATGTATCCCAGAACTTAAAGTAAAATTTTTAAAAAAGAAAGTTTTCCCCAGTGTTTTCTTCTAGCAGTTTTATGATTTCAGATGCTATGTTTAAGTTTTCACCCAATAGATACAATTGTATTTTGCCAACTACAAAAGAGCTGGAAAAAATATTTTCTCAAAAGATATAGAATTGTAGAGACAAACTCCTGAAGTTGTTTACATCAGTGCTAGGAAATGCCAAGTGAAAAAGTTTATCATTTAACCAAATAGTATATTTAGTATCCAGACGTGAGGTTTTCCTTTGGGAACCTCTGGTTGTGCCACCCTGCCACTGGGACTACTAAAGAGAATGCTGACTATTAGAAGAAAAACTGCAGGCTGGGCATGGTGGATCACACTTGTAATCCCAATACTTTGGGAGGCGGAGGCAGGTGGAACCTGAGTTCAGGAGTTTGAGAGCAGCCTGACCAACGTGGTGAAACCCTATCTCTAATAAAAACGCAAAAATTAGCCAGGTGTAGTGGCGGGCACTTGTAATCCTAGCTACTCAGGAGGCTGAAGTGGGAGAATTGCTTGAACCCGGGAGGTGGAGGCTGCAGTGAGCTGAGATCACGCCACTGCATTCCAGCCTGGGCAACAGAGTGAGACCCTGTTTCAGAAAAAAAAAAAAAAAGAAAAAGAAAAGAAAAAGAAAAAGAAAACAAGCTACACAGAGGACAGAAAGTATGTAAGGCTCCAAAAAACCCATCCAGGATCAATCACCAAAATCTACGATCAGTCTGGGTTTCCTCCTCCTATCACAAGGGATTTAATCTTTCTCTTGTGGCTTATATGATTTTTTGTTGCATTATTAATTTCTTATTGGGTAACTAGGAAATAATTTCATCATGCATAAATGCCATTCATTTTGTACTACTCTACAAAACATATCATGCTTTAATTTTCAGTTGTCTTGGTCTGGGGTTGCAGACAGAGTGTGTGTCATGGCTACACAAACAGTTACAACATACACTGTGTGCACCTCAGCCTGCCTACTCCAAAATGGACAGAACAGGTGCTGATTTTCTTATACAAAACGTAATAGCCAATTCTTTCACCTATTCCTTCCAAAATGTCTATGATCATAGAACTCTTCTGATTCCCACTGCAATGCCAATTCATATGTTGTAATATTTGTTTTGAAATTATATATACTGGGCTGAGCGTGGAAGCTCACACCTGTAATCCCAGCACTTTGGGAGGCCGAGGCAGGCAGATCACTTGAGGTCAGGAGTTCGAGACCAGCCTGGACAACATGGTGAAACTCTATCTATGTAAAAATACAAAAATTAGCTGGGCATGGTGATGCGCACCTGTAATCCCAGTTACTCGGGAGGCTGAGGAAGGAAAATTGCTTGAGCCCAGGAGGTGGAGGTTGCAGTGAACCAAGATTTGTGCCACTGCACTCCAGCCTGAGTGACAGAGCAAGACTCCGTCTCAACATGTGTTAAATGCATAGTGTTGGTAGAAGAGCTAAGGCAGGGCTTGCTTGTCTGACATAATGTAAAAGAGTCTTGGAACATGTCCTGGGTCCAGGGTCTAAAACCCCTTGTGGCCTTGTTCCCCTTGTGGAACACCAAGCTCTGTGCCAAAGGATGGAAGGCTGCCCTGCTGCACTACAATCTAAGCCCAGGGCATAACACCCCTTGTGGCTTGGAGAGAACCCAGGTCTCAGGGAATAAAACCCCTTGTAGCCTCTGGAATGTGTCCAGACTCACTGATTGATGTATCTTGAATTAGAAGAACCTGTTCTCCCTTATCTCAAGTAGCAGAGCATATGCTAAATTGTCACAGCTATGCTTGATGCACTGCTACCTTTCTACCCCCACATCCTCACATCCTCACCTGTCTACCCCCACATCTACATGTCCTCACCACCAGCTTCTTTGTTTGATTACCAATAAATAGTGTGGGCTCCCAGAGCTCAGAGCCTTTGCAGCCTCCATACACTAGCGTTGGCCCCCTGGACCCACCCTATGTACTCTTAACTTGTCTTGTCTCATTCCTTTGACTCTGCGGGACTTCGTAGCCTCCATGACCTGGTGTTGGTGTCTGATCACCCCAACATTTCTGGCACCCAATGTTGGCTACGAAGACCCCGGTGAAGGAATGCCAGAGCATGTGGAAGTGGAGGACACATGGTCAAAGGACACCCAAGGATGACTGAAAGAAGCTCAGTGGGTAAGCTGGGTGCTTGGGAGAACCAGGGTAACAATGGGACAGAATGAAAGCAAACATTCTGCTTATTTAAATTTTCTAAGGTGTTGGTTATGGAGAGGGGGAGTGAAAGCTAGTACTCAGAAATTATTAACACTCTTTAGTAGAGTAGAGCAGTTTTGCCCATGGTTCTCAGAACAAGGGACTGTGGAGTTGGATGAATGGGAAAGAATTGGCAGAGATTTTAAAAAGGTGTATAAAGAAGGAGCCAAAATTCCAGTTTCTGTTTGGTCAGTGTGGGCATTGATAAAGGCAGCTCTTGGGCCATTTCAAACAGATGATGAGACAGATTCAGATGAGGAAGAGGAAAATGAGTGTAAAAAACTAACCTTAGATTCTAGATGCGAGGAGCAAAAACTGGAGGAAATTAAAGAAAAGAAAGGGAAACTAAAAAGGGTGTGTTTTACTAGCCCATCAGCTCCACCTGCTGAATTAAGTGAATGGCCATCTCCTCCCCCTCCCACTAATGGGCGAGAAAATGAATTAGCTGTAAAGCTTACTGCTCCTGTAGTTGCAACATCAAAACTTGGAGCAATTGGTGGTGCTATACAAAATTCATTCAAAAGGCTAGGGCTGAGGGAGACCTTGAAGCATGGCAATTTCCCATTACTATCACCCAGCAAGAAGGGCAAAATATAGCTAATTGGGCTACTTTTCCTTTTAAGTTATTTAAGGAATTTAAGCAAGCCATTAGTCAATATGGGCCAAATTCTCCTTTTGTACAAAGTTTACTAAAAAATGTGGCTCTTGAGAATAGATTAATATCATATGACTGGGATACTTTAACAAAATCTGCTCTCACTCCATCTCAGTACTTACAGTTTAAAACCTGGTGGGCTGATAAAGCACAAACCCAGGCAAGGGAAAACACACAAGCACAGCCACCTGTGCGTTTGTTTTGAACAGATAATGGGAGTTGGCCCTAATTGGGGTCGATTAGAAAATCAAGCAGTAATGGAGAACGTTGCCATTGTTCAGTTACGCATGGTGCACTTATGGGCATGGGAGAGAATAAATGTTACAGGAGAAAAATATCCTTCTTTCAGTTCTGTCCAACAAGGACCTAAAGAACCATATACTGATTTTATTGCTTGGCTCCAGGAGGCTGTGTATAAGGCCATAACTGACAAAACAGCTCAAGATGTTGTAATACAGCTTCTTGCATATGATAATGCTAATACAGAGTGTCAAAATGCTATTAGACCTACCAGAGGGAAGGCTCACTTGGCTGAATATATTAAGGCTGGTGATGGCATTGGGGGTAACTTACACAAGGCTACTCTTTTAGCTCAAGCTATGGCTGGACTAAAGGTGGGAAAAAATATGCCCCGATTCTCAGGCTCTTGCTTTAATTGTGGGCAATTTGGACACACACAAAAGGCATGTAGATAAGGAAATCAAAAGGCAAAAACTATTGCCATAAATCAACAGAAAAGTTCCGGTGTATGCCCCCAGTGTAAGAAGGCAATCACTGGGCAAATCAGTATCATTCTAAATTTAGTAAAGATGGGCAACCTCTTTCAGGAAATGGGAAGAGGAGCCTGCCTCAGGCCCCTCAACGAACCGAGGAATATCTGGCACAGTCAGTGCCTTACAAACGTACAACAATTGTCCCCTGCCACAGCAGGCAGTGCTGCCGTAGATCTCTGCAGCACAATGCCTGTCTCCTTACTTCCTGGGGAGCTGCCAAAGAAGGTCCCCATGGGAGTTGGGGGCCCTTTACCCTCATGAACAGTTGGTCTATTGCTTGGAAGGTCTAGCTTAAATTTAAAAGGTGTCACTGTGCATACAGGAATAATTGATTCTGATTATGCCAGAGAGATTCAACTAGTTATTAGTTCCTCAACTCCATGGTCTGCTTCTCCAGGAGGAAGAATTGCTCAGTTGTTGCTGTTACCTTATACAAAACTGGGAAGCAGCACTGTAAAAAGAACAGGAGGCTTTGGTAGTACTAACCCAGCAGGAAAAGCTGTATATTGGGTTAATCAAGTGTCTGATAAGAGACCTATTTGTACAGTAACCATTCAGGGAAAGGACTTTGAAGGGTTAGTAGATACTGGAGCCGATGTTCTTATTATTGCTTTAAATCAATGGCCCCGACACTGGCCCAAACAAAAGGCATCCATCAGTATTGTTGGAGTAGGAGCTGCTTCAGAAGGTTTTCAAAGTTTCTTGATTTTACCATGTCAGGGGCCGGATGGCCAGGAAGGGACAATTTGACCTATTATTACACCTATTCCTGTCAATCTATGGAGTAGAGACTTATTGCAACAATGGGGTGCTGAAATTTCTATTCCTATGGATCAGTATCGTAATAACAGTAAACAAATGATGAAAAATATGGGATATCTCCCTGCAAAAGGATTACGAAAGAATGAAAGTGGCCAACCAGAACCTTTAGAACTAAAAGGGCAAACAGATCAAACTGTATTAGGGTATCATTTTTAGATGTGGCCATTGCTGAGCCGCCCTCTCCCATTCCTCTTGTTTGGCTAACTGCCAAACCAGTTTGGGTGGAGCAATGGCTGCTGAAACAGAAAAAACTGGAGGCTTTTAAAAAATTAGCAGAGGAACAATTGCAAAAGGGACACATAGAGCCTGCTTTCTCCCTTGGAACTCTCTCTTGTGTTTGTTATTAAGAAAAAATCAAGGAAATGGAGAATGTTAACGGATTTGAGGGCAGTTAAAATTAAACCCATGGGTGCACTGCAACCAGGGCTGCCCTCTCCAACAATGATCCCAAAATACTGGCCTCTAATAGTGATAGATTTAAAAGACTGCTTCTTTACCATTCCTTTAGCTTCCAAGATTATGAAAAATTTGCTTTTACTGTTCCTGCTATAAATAACAAATAACCAGTGGACAGATACCATTGGAAAGTATTACCACAAGGCATGTTAAATAGCCTGACTATTTGTCAAACTTATGTCGGAAAAGCTATTAAGCCAGTTAGAGAACAATTTAAAAAATGTTATATTATCCATTACATGGATGATATTTTATGTGCAGCTGAAACTAGGTAGGAATTAATACTATGCTACAAAGAGTTAGAAAAGGCTGTAACTGCAGCAGGATTAATCATAGCCCCCGATAAAATTCAAACCTCTACTCCCTTTCAATATTTAGAAATGAAGGTAGAACAAAGTACTATTAAGCCTCAAAAGGTTCAAATTCGAAGAAATAATTTAAAAACTTTAAATGACTTTCAAAAATTATTGGGAGACATTAATTGGATTCATCCAACCTTAGGCATTCCTACCTATGCTATGTCTCACCTTTTTTCTACCTTATGAGGTGATTCTAACTTAAACAGTAAATGCTCCCTGTCCAAAAAGGCATTAGAGGAACTTCAATTAATTGAAGAAAAAATTCAACAAGCATAAGTAAAATGAATTGACCCTATGCAGCCATTACAGTTTTTAGTTTTTCCAACTAAACATTCACCTACAGGAGTTATTGTTCAACAGGATGATCTGGTTGAGTGGCTTTTTCTACCTCACAATACAACCAAAATGCTTACTCTGAACTTAGATCAAATTGCTGTACTAATAGGACAGGCAAGGCTGAGCACAACAAAGTTAATGGGATATGATCCAAATCACATTATAGTTCCATTAAACAAACAACAAATTCAGCAAGCTTATATTAATTCCCAGGAATGGCAAGTTAATTTGGCAGGTTTTGTTGGTATTCTTGATAATCATTATCCTAAATCTAAGATATTTCAATTTCTAATATTAACATCCTGGATATTGCCTTCTATTACTCAAAAAGCTCATATTGTAGGGTCCATTAGTGTTTTTACTGACGGGTCTAGTAATGAAAAAGCCTCATTTGTGGGACGTCAATAACAAGTTTTTCAAACTGACTTTGCTTCTGCTCAAAGGGCTGAACTTATGGCTGTAATT
This sequence comes from Homo sapiens, assembly GCF_000001405.40. Taxonomy (NCBI): domain Eukaryota; kingdom Metazoa; phylum Chordata; class Mammalia; order Primates; family Hominidae; genus Homo; species Homo sapiens. The sequence goes on from NC_000016.10 coordinate 31,664,629, forward strand.
ACAGTACTGAAAACTTTTAAACAGCCAGTTAATATTGTTTCTGATTCAGCTTATGTGGTGCAAGCCACACAAAATATTGAATGTGCTTTAATTCGCAATGTGACTGATGAACAACTTAATCTTTTATTTCGTTCTTTACAACAAAGACATTCCCCTTTCTATATTACTCATGTAAGAGCACACACTAACCCGTCTGGCCCTTTGACTAAACTTAATCAAAGGGCAGATGCACTGGTTTCTGTGGCTTTTGCTGATGCACAAACATTCCATTCCTTAACCCATCTTAAAGCTGTAGGCCTCAGAAAAAGATATGGCTCATCCTGGAAGCAGGCTAAGGAGACTGTAAAACACTGCTTTGCCTGTCAAGTCCTGCATCTGCCACATAAAGGAGCAGGAGTTAACCCTAAAGGTTTATCCCCAAATTCCATCTGGCAGATGGATGTAACACACATTCCTGCTTTTGGAAAATTGTCCTTTGTTCATGTTTCAGGAGATACTTATTCACATTTTATCTGGGCCACATGTCAAAAGAGGAAGCTACAGCTCATGTTAAAAAACATCTTTTCTCTTGCTTTGCAGTTATGGGAATCCCAGAAAAAATCAAAACTGATAATGGTGCAGGGTATTGCAGCAAAGCCATGGCTGCATTTTTTCAGCAGTGGAATATTACTCATACTACAGGTATTCCATAAAACTCACAAGGACAAGCAATAGTTGAATGAGCTAATCATACCTTAAAAACTCAGTTACAAAAACAGAGAGAGGGAGACCAGGACTATAAAACCCCACATATACAATTACACCTAGCTTTATTAACATTACATTTTTTAAATTTACAAAAAGATCAACCCATGACAGCAGCTGAACAACACTTAATAGGACAAAAGGAAAATAAAAAAGCTGGACAAGATATATGGTGGGGGGATGCACATACAAAAAGTTGGGAAAAAGGAAAAATAATTACATGGGGAGGAAGATTTGCTTGTGTCTCTCCAGGTGACAATCAGGTGCCTGTGTGTGTGCCCACCAAACATCTGATGATCTGTCATGAGCCACACCAGGAAGAGAAGACTCTGGGAAGAGCCAGAACTCCTGATACAAGTGATGGCACAAATGAACATCTCAGAGACAAAGGAAAAGACCTGGAATACTCACCAGACAGACCCTCCAAACATGGGGACAAATCAAGAAACTGGCACAGATGGCAGAGGACAATCTGAGAGCACAGAACAAACCAAAAACAACCAGTAACCTGATGGTGGCCATGCTGGCGGTACTCACTGTGGCAGTAAGCCTCCCTACTGTAGGAGCAACTCAAAATTTTACTTATTTGGCATATGTCCCATTTCCTCCTTTAATTAGGTCTGTGAGTTGTATGGACCCTGTTATTGAGGTGTACACCAATGACAGTACCTGGATGCTTGAGCCCATAGATAACTGAGGGCCAATGCATCTTAATGAGGAAGGGAAGAAAATGAATATATCAATAGGATATTAATATCCTCCAATATGCCTAGGACCTGCCACTGGATGCTTACAAATGGGCACACAAGTCTGGTTGGCAGTAATCCCTGGAAAAAATAAATCACAGGCAACTTTACATATGATTTCAGGATAAAGTTTAAAATATAACCATTCTAGCCCTAAAACTCAGCAGTTCCATCCAGACAAACATGAATGTAAACAAAATAGAGTTTGGTTTGAAGGTGTGGATGCTTGGAATTGGGAAAATTGTATAGCAAATAAGGCTGAGGTGTTACAAAATAATTCCTATGGAATTGTCATTGATTGGTCCCCTAAGGGGATTTTTAAGAAAAATTGCACCAGAAGGCCCTCTTGTAGAAAAAATGAAATAAGCCAATGGAATTGTTGGCAAGAGAACCATACATAGTATATTGAGACAGAAGCTGATGGCCCTATCATATGGAGCCCTGGTGGCACTGTCACTCCTAGTCCAAAAATGATATCTCCTGCCATAGGACAGGAGCATTCAGAATTATGAAAATTAGCTATGGCTCAAAGTTCAATCAAAATTTGAGAAGGTAAATATAATAAGTATAAAGGGGAAGGAGGTAAAGATAAATATGTCCTCTCTTTTCTTTCTAACAGGACCTTTTGGATTCAAAGTTGTGTCCTGCCACCTTTTATGTTAGCAATAGGAAATATTACTCTTGACATGAATACCTGTTTTATCACCTGCCACGAATGTCACTTGTTTACTTGCATTAACTCAACCTTTGATAAAAATCAAACTATCTTGTTAATTAGAGCCACAGAAGTTTGGATCCCTGTGTCTCTAAATAGACCATGGGAGGCATCACCATCCATTCATATTATAACTGAGATCCTTAAAAAACTCTTATCTCATTCAAAAAGATTTATAATTGCTCTTATATTTGCTGTAATTGGCCTCATTGCAGTTACCACTACTGCTGCAGTAGCTGGTGCGGCTTTACACTCATCTGCGCAAACTGTTTAATTTGTTGATAAATGGCAAAATAATTATATGAAATTATGGAACTCTCAGGTCCAAACAGATCAAAAGATAGTTAATCAAATTAATGATCTCTGTCAGACAGTAACTTGAATGGGGGATCGCATCATAAGTTTAGAAACTAGAATTCAAATGCAATGTGATTGGAATACATCTGACTTTTGCATTATTCCTCATAGTTACAATGAAACACAACGCCAATGGGAAAGAAATAAATGCCATCTAGAGGGTAGAGAGGAAAATCTCTCCCTTGATATTGTAAAACTGAAAGAGCAGGTTTTTGAAGCCTCTCAGGCTCACTTAACCCTGCTCTCTGGAACTGATATTTTAAGCAAGGCAGCTGATGGGTTGTCTGCAATCAATCCTCTTAAATGGATTAAGACCATTGGAAACGCTACACCTGTAAACCTTGTTCTAATAATTATGTGCTTGTGCTGTCTCGTTTCAGTCTACAGATGCAGAAGCCACCTCTGGAGAGAAAGCCACCGAGTGATCAAACCCAACACCAGGTCATGGGGGCTATGAAGTCCGGCGGAGTCAAAGGAATTAGACAAGACACATTAAGAGTACATAGGGTGAGTCCAGGGGGCCAAGAACAAGCCGAGAACAAGCAATGATAGCTGTGGCAGTTTTGCAGAACAAAAAAGAGAGACATGTTGGCAGAAGATCTGAGGCAGGGCTCGCTTGTCTGACATAATGTAAACGAGTCTTGGAACATGTCCTGGGTCCAGGGTCTAAAACCCCTTGTGGCCTATGGAACACCAAGCTCTGTGCCAAAGGGTGGAAGGCTGCCCTGCCACACTACAATCTAAGCCCAGGGCATAACACCCCTTGTGGCTTGGAGAGAACCCAGGGCTCAGGGCGTAAAACCCCTTGTAGCCTCTGGAATGTGTCCAGACTCGCTGACCCCTTGCTCCTTGATCTCCCAAGATCATAAATTGATTATATCTTGCATCAAAAGAACCTGTTCTCCCTTATTTCAAGTAGCAGAGCATATGCTAAAGCATCACAGTTACGCTTGATGCACTGTTACCTTTCTACCCCCACGTCCTCACGTCCTCACCTGTCTACATCTGCACATCCTCACCACCTGCTTCTTTGTTTGATTACCAATAAATAGTCCCAGAGCTCGGGGCCTTCACTGCCTCCATATGCTAGCATTGGCCCCCTGGACCCACCCTATGTACTCTTAATTTGTTTTGTCTCATTCCTTTGACTCCACCGGACTTCATAGCCCCCATGACCTGGTGTTGGGTTTGATCACCTCAACACCGAGTTTGCAAATATTTTTCCCCATTCCATAGATTGTGCATTAATGCTGTTTCTTGTGCGGTGCAGAAGCTTGTTAGTTTAATTAGGTCCCACTTGTCAATTAGGTCCCGCTTGTCAATTTTTGTTTTTGTTGCAATTGTTTTTGGGGTCTCTGTCATGAAAAGCCTATGTCCAGAATGGTATTTCCTAGGCTTTCTTTTAGGGTTTTTATAGCTTTTGGTTTTATGTTTAAGTCTTTAATCCACCCTGAGTTGATTTTTGTATATGGTGAAATGAAGGGGTTCCATTTCAATCTCATGCCTATAGCTAGCCAATTATCCCAGCACCACTTATTGAATAAGTACTTTTTTCCCCATTGCTTCTAATTGTCAACTCTGTTGAATATCAGATGGTTGTAGGTGTGTGGTTTTATTTTTGGGTTCTCTAACCTGTGTTATTGATCTATGTGTTTGTTTTTATACCAGTACCGTGCTGTTTTGGGTACTGTAGCCTTGTAGTATAGATTGAAGTCAGATAATGTGATGCCTCTCTGTTCTTTTTACTTAGGATTGCTTTGGGTATTTGGGCTTTTTTTTTGTTCCATATGAATTTTAGAATGCTTTTTTCCAATTCTGTAAAAACTGACAGCAGTAGTTTGACAGGAATAGCATTGAATCTGTAAATTCCTTTGGGCAGCATGGCCATTTTGACAATATTGATTCTTCCTATCCGTGAGCGTGGAATGTTTTTCCATTTGTTTGTGCCATCTCTGATTTTTTTCCAGCAGTTTTGTTATTCATGTTGCAGAGATATTTCACCTCCCTGTTTCACTGTATTCCTAGGTAATTTTTCTTTTTTGTGGCTATTGTGAATGGCATTGCATTCTTGATTGGGCTCTCTGCTTGGACGTTATTAGTGTATAGAAATTCTAGTAATTTTTGTACATTGATTTTGTATCCTGAAATTTTACTGAAGTTGTTTATCAATTCTATGAGCATTTGGGCAGAGAATATGAGGTTTTCTAGGTATAGAATCATATCATCAGCAGAAAGAGATACTTTGACTTTCTCTTCCCATTTGGATGCCTTTTATTTCCTTCTCATGCCTAATTGCTCTGGCTGGGACTTCAAGTACTTTTAAATAACAGTGGTGAATGGGCAGCCTGGCTCTGGTTCTCAAGGGGAGTTGGTCAAGCTTTTGCCCCTTCAGTATGATGTTGGCCGTGGGTTTGTCATAGATGACTCATTATTTTGAAATATGTTCCTTCAATGCCTAGTTTGTTGATGGTATTTAACATGAGGAGATATTAAAAGGCTTTTCTGTATCTATTGAGATGATCATGTGGTTTTGTTTTTAGTTCGGTTTATGTGAAGAATCATATTTGTTGATATGCATATGTTGAATCAACCTTGCATCTGAGGAATGAAACTTGCCCGATCATGGATAATTTACTTTTTGATCTGCTGCTGGATTTCATTTACTAGTATTTTATGAATATTTTACATCTATGTTCATCAGGGATATTGGCCTGAAGTTTTTTTGTAATTTTTGATTATGCCTCCACCGGGTTTTGGTGTCATGATGTTGCTGGCCTCATAGAATGAGTTAAGGATGAATCGTTCCTCCTCAAATTTTTGGAATTGTTTTAGTAGGATTGGTACCAGCTCTTCTTTATATGCTTGGTAGAATTTGGCTGTGAATTTGTCTGGTCCAGGGCTTTTCCTGGTTGGTAGGTTTTCTATTACTGATTCCCTTTTGGAAGTTATTATTGGTCTGTTCAGGTATTCAACATTTTCCTGGTTCAATCTCAGGAGGTTGTATGTTTCCAGGAATTTATCCATTTCTTCTGTTTTCTGGTTTGTGTGCATTCATAGTAGTCTCTGAGGGTTTTTTAAAAATATTTTTGTGAAGTTAATGGCAATGTTACCATTGTTATACTAATTGTGTTTGTTTGGATTTTTTCTTTTTGTTTATTAGTCTAGCTAGTGCTCCCTCAATATTATTTATTCTTTTAATGAACCAATTTTTTGTTTCATTGATTTTTTGTATGGATTTTCACATCTCAATTTCATTCAGTTTATCTCTGATTTTGGTTATTTCTTTTCTTTTGCTAGCTCTGGGGTTGGGTTACTCTTGTTTTTTAGTTCTTCCAGATGTGATGTTAGGTTGTGAATTTGAGAGCTTTCTGACTTTTTGATGTAAGGATTTAGTGTTATAAACTTTCCTCTTAACAGCACTTTACGTGTGTCCCAGTTTTCATTTGTTTCAAATAATTTCTTGATTTCTGCTTTAATTTCATTTTTTACTGAAAAGTCATTCAGGAGCAGGTAATTTTCATGTAATTGTATGGTTTTGAGAGATCTTCTTGGTATTGATTTCTATTTTATTGCACTGTGGTTGGTATGATTTGGGGTTTTTTGAACTCATTGAGAATTGTTTTATGGGTAAGGGTGTGATCAATCTTTGAGTATGTGCTATGTGCTGATGAGAATAATGTATATTCTGTTGTTGTTGCTGGGTGGAGTGTTCTATAGAGGTCTATTAGGTCCATTTGGTCATGTTTCAAGTCTAGATCCTGAATATCTTTGTTAGTTTTCTGCCTTGATGATCTTTCTAACATTGTCTGCAGGGTGTTGAAGTCTTACAATTATTGTGTGGTTATTTAAGTCTCTTCATACATCTATAAGAACTTGTTTTATGAATCTAGGTTTTCCAGTGTTGGATGTGTGTATATTTAGGATAGTTAAGTCTTCTTGTTTAACTTAATGCTTTATCATTATGTAATGTCCCTGTCTTTTTATTGTTGTTGGTTTAAAGTCTGTTTTGTTTGAAATAAGGACAGCAGCCCTTGCTCTTTTGTTTTCTGTTTGCTTGATAGATCTCTCTCCATCCCTTTACTTTGAGCCTATGGGTATCATTGCATGTGAGGTGGGTCTCTTGAAGACAGCATACAGTTGAGCCTTGCTTTTTTATTCAACTTGCCACTCTGTGCCTTTTGAGTGAGGCATTTAGTCCATCTATGTTCAGGCTTGATATTGATATGTGAGAATTTGAAACTGTCATCATATTGTTAGATGGTTGTTTTATAGACTTGATTGTATAGTTGCTTTATAGTGTCAGTGGACTATGTACTTAAGTGTGCTTTTGTAGTGGCAGGTAAGAGTCTCTAAGTTTCATATTTAGCATTCCTTTAAGAATCTGTTTTTAGGCTGGGTATGGTGGCTCATGCCTGTAATCCCAGCACTTTGGGAGGCCAAGGCGGGCAGATCATGAGGTCAGGAGAATGAGACCATCCTGGCTAACACGGTGAATGCCTACTAAAAATACAAAAAAAATTAGCCAGGTTTGGTGGCAGGTGGCTGTAGTCCCAGCTACTTGGAAGGCTGAGGCAGGAAAATGGTGTGAACCCAGGAAGCAGAGCTTGCAGTGAGCTAAGACTGTGCCACTGCACTCCAGCCTGGGTGACAGAGCGAGACTCTGTCTCAAAAAAAAAAAAAAAAAAAAAAAAAAAAAAAAAAAAAAAAAAAAAAAAAAGAATCCGTTTTCAAAACATTTTTTTTCTGTAGCTTTTGGAGTACAAGTGGTTTCTGGTTACATGAATGAACTATACAATGGTGAATTCTGAGATTTTTAGTGCACCTATCACCCAAGTAGTATACCTTATACCCAATGTATAGGTTTTTATTCCACACTCCTTTGCCACCCTCCCCCTTCTAAGTCTCTAAAGTCTATTATATCACTCTGTATGCCTTTGAGTACACATAGCTTAGCTCCCACTTATAAGTAAAAATATATGGTATTTGGTTTTCTACTCCTGAGTTCCTTCACTTAGAAGGATGGCCTCTAACTCCATCCAAGTTGCTGCAAAAGACATTATTTTGTTCCTTTTCAATGATGGGTAGTATCCTATGGTGTATATACACAACATTTTCTTGATCCAGTCATTGGTCAATGGACACTTAGGTTGGTTCCATATCTTTGTGATTGTGAATTATGCAATAAACATACATGCGCAAGTGTCTTTTTGATATGACTTCACTTCCTATGGGTAGAACCCATCATGGGATTGCTGGATCAAATAGTAGATCTGCGTTTAGTTCTTTAAGGAATTCCCATACTGTTTTCCATAGAAGTTGTACTAATTTACATTCTTATCAGCAGCATCTAAGTGTATAAGCATTTCCTTTTCACCATATCCATGCCAATATCTATTTTTTTTGTTTTACTTTTTAATAGTGGCTATTCTTGTGGGAGTAAAGTGGTATCTTTTTGTGGTTTTAATTTGTATTTCTATGGTGATTAGTGATGTTGAGCATTTTTTAATATGATTTTTGGCCATTTATATATCTTCTTTTGAGAAATGTCTATTCACGTCATTTGCCTACTTTTTGATGGGATTATTTGGTTTGTTTCCTTGCTGATCTGTTTGAATTCCTTGTAAATCCTGGATACTAGTCCTTCGCTGGATGCATGGTTTGCAAATATTTTCTGCCATTCTGTGGGTTGTTTGTTTACTCTGGTGATTATTTCTTTTGCTGTGCAGAAGCTTTTTAATTTAATCAGGTTCCATTTGTTTATTTTAATGTTTGTTGCATTTGTTTTTGGAGCTGCAGTAGACTAGCAACAACACTGTGATGGGGGTGCTGGTGAAAGCACTTTGGCAAGATGGCAGTGAGCATCTGGGTCCCCATGTTCATGTGCACCAGTAGCAGTGGGTAGTGGCAGGTCCTGCATGCACATGCATGGCAGCAAAACAGCAGGAGAGGCTGTGGGTGAGTGTGTGCCAGCTAAGCAATTGGAAGACAAGTGTGTGCCAGCTAAGCAATTGGAAGACAAGTGTGTGCCTATCAGGGAGGACTGAGGGTGAGTGTATGCTGTTGGACACCTGCCTGCAGAAGCTCTGTGACTGTTAGGCAGGGTCTGCTGGTGAAAGATCTGTGGTGGTGGCTGCTGGCAAGCACCTTGGCTAGGTAGCCAAGGCTGCACTACAAGCAAGTGTAGCCAGGCTGGGACCCTGGGATAGGCAGACAGGGTCATGCTCAGATCAGACTGGCCCCATCCTGTGGGCAAGATAGGCCTGCTGTGTACAGATCCAGCTGCCACCAGAGGCTAAAGTCACCTGGAAGAGCATGGTGAGCCTTGGGTGAAGGGCACCCCTGGCTTTGCTCCACTGCAGCCATTTATGCACCAAATCCTTCAGGCTCCATGCTGGCTGGAGTTCTGTATCTGCCAACTCACTGGGAAGTTCTCTCTACCAATTCAAATGTCCATGGGGTCGTGGGGTTTTCTGCAGCTAGGATTCTTGAGGTTCATGGTGAGAGTGGGCCACTCCATGTTTATTTCACTAACTCCTTCTCCAGGAGCTGCTCAGGGCCAGGAATGAGTCCAGGTGCTCGACAACCCTGTGCAGGGTTTCCAGCTTTCTCCTTTTTCAGCACAGGGTCTGCATCCTCCCTTCATCCCCATTCAATGCCTTATTTCCAAAGATCTGTTCAGAGTGTGCCAATTTACTTGATGGTCTGGTTTCTCTCAGTGGAGAAGCTCTTCCTGGCTGTGTCTAGCTGGCCATCTTGGCTCTCCCTGCAACCCTTTAATCCATTTTAAGTTGAATTTTGTGTATAGTGTAAAAGATGGTTCCAATTTATGGGTTTTTTTTTGTTTTTTTTTGTTTTTTTGCTGGTGGATTTTCCATTTTCCTGTCATATATTGATGAGTTTATTTCTTTCCCAGTGTGAAAATTAGTTGTCTGTATATGTATGCATATATTTTTGGACTCTTTCATGGTTCTCTCATCGAACTATGTGTTTATATGCCATTATCATGCTGTTTTGGTGATTAAGCTTAGTGATATAGTTTAAAACCAGAAAGTTTGATGCCTCTAGCTTTTTTCTTCTTGCTCAAGATTGTGTTGTCTATTTGGGGTCTTTTGTGGTTCCATACTAAATTTAGATTTTCTTCTATTTCTATGAAACATGCTATTGGTATCTTGATAGATATTGCTTTGAATCTGCAGATCACATTTGGCAGTATGAACATTTTAACAATATTGATTCTTCTGATCCATAAACCTGGGGCATTTTTTCATTTTAAAAATTTCTTCTATGACTGCTTTCATCAATATTTTATAGTTTTCAGTGTACAAATCGTTCACCTCCTTGGTTTGATTAATTTTTTCCTTTTTGATACTATGGTAAATAAAATTGTTTTCTTGATTTATTTTTCAGAGTTCATTATTAGCATATAGAAACACAACTGATTTTTTAGGTTGATTGTCTGTCCTCCAACTTCACTGCATTAGTTTATTAGTTCTAACAGTTTTTGGGGATAATAATGAGCACACTTGACTCTGGTTACACATTAATTCATCATTTCTGTTACCATGTCATAGTGCCTAAAAATGTAATCTGTTTTATTTCTGATCTCATAAAGTCAATGAAATTTTATAGGCCTGATATTTTTCCATGTAAAATATTTTTGTCTGATGTTTGATAATGTGTGTTTTTTGCTTACTGTTCAAAAATGCTACTCATTTATCTCTATGCCTAGTCAAACTTTCTGGTAAAGTTATTCAATATTTTTTATGTTTTTAGTTGTCTTAAATCAAAACAGTGAATTTTTATGATGGTTTTTATTTCACCTTATATGATAGAAAATGCCAATTTGTCATTGCCAATGAATCTTTGGGTTTCTCGTTTTTAACTCTCAAGTAATGTCTATAAATGTATAATTAGTTAGAATCTTGCCTAATGTATTGTATGTGCTAAGTAAGTACTAACCAATCTGATTCATCAAATTATCTTTTCAGGTGGTTCTTAAATACAAGATATTTTATATTTGTTCTTATTAAAAGTATTTTTCTGACTTATCTAAATATTGATTAAAATTAGTTATTCTCAGCTTGTTTTCTTAATAAAAGCCAAACTAAATGGAAGTTTCACTAATTTCCTTATATTCAGAGGCTTATTTACCTCACAATATAAAGATTATTATTAAGGATAACATTTATATTCATAGTCTCTATCCTACAACAGAAGAACATTTAGGTCATTCCTTAATTGGGTTAAGGCCTCATTCTATATTATCATCTCATATTAACTAACTATTAAATCCATTACATATGAAAAGGTATAAATGGAAAATTAATATTTTGGTAGGTACAAATTATAAAAGCAAACATAAGAAATACATAAGAATATAGTAATATATGAATATATATAATATGTGGGTGGTCATTTAACAAGTAAAAAATTGGTTAAAATACTTTTACAAAAAAAATTCCAGGATAAAAAAAAATGAAAAATTCTATCAGTGTTTAATGAATAATTAATACCAATCCTTCACAAAACCTTTCAACAATTGAAGAAGAAGGAACGTTTTTGTATTTATTTCATGAAGCCAGTATTACCATGATACCAGAGCCAGACAAAAGCATGACAGGGAAAGAAAACTATGGACCAACATGCCATATAAATATAGGCTCGTAAACCCTCAGAAAACACTAGAAAACTAAATCGAACAACATAATAAATGAATATACACCAAGACCAAGAATAATTGTTTGTTTACAAATGCAACCATGACTTAATATCCAGAAGTCAAACAAGCTAATGCCCAATATTACTAAAATAAGGACAAAAAGTGATAGTTTAAATGCACAAAGAAAATGTCAAAAATCAAACACCCATTTATGACAAAACCTCCAGCAAACTACTAATAGAAGGGAATTAGTAGTTATTAGTCAAACTACTAATAGAAGGGAATTGTGAGACTTGCTAAAAGACATCTATGAAAAACTTGCTGCTAATATCACACTTAATAGTGAAAAGCTGGATGCTTTACCTTTAAGATTGGGAACAAGACAAGAATTCCAATTTTACCACTCTATTCAGCATTGTACTAGAGGTATTAGCCAGAGAAATAATACAATAGAAATAAATAACACCTTCCAGATTGGAAAACGAAAAGTAGAAGTGTCTTTATTACAGATGACAGAATCTTCTCTATAAAAATGTGGAGATATTCACTAAAATACCACTAGAATTAATAAACAAATTGATCAATGTCACAGGATACAAGATCCACATACAAAATTCAATTGTACTTTGAATGAATGCAACCAACAATGAAAATATAATAAAACGAAGAATACAATTTCATTTATAATAGCATCAAAAAAATAAATATCTAGAAAAAAGTTAACAATAGAAGTGCAAAGTTTTTACACTCACTTTTTAAAATGCTGAAATAAGTCACAGAAGATCTGAAATAATTAAAAGATGTCCAATTTTCAAGGATAAAAATACTTAATACTAAGATAACAATACTTTACAGATTAATCTACAGATTCAATGTAATATCTTCCAATTCCCAGTTATGTTTTTTTTTTGTAAAAATTGACAAGTCCCCTCTCCAAAAACAAAATAAAACAAAACAATATGGATATGCACAGGAAACCAAATTCACAAAACAATCTTAAAAAAGAAAAGTGAAACTGAATGACTCACACTTCTCAAGATTAATTCTTACTACCAAGGATAACATTGATTCCCCCATTTTCTCTCATTTTTTCTCTGTCCTGATTGAGAACTACAGAGTAACTTGACCACTCTTTGAGGTGGCCAGCTGCATGTTTTCCCCTGATGATTTAAACCCAAGCTGGGGCCTTGAACATTCTCAGGACTGACAAAGGTGTTTAGGTGGTTGCTCAAAACCCTGAAAGATACCAGCCCTGGTCCTAAGCCAAATTTCTTAAGCCCTCATACAAACTCCATAACCAGACTCCTCATTGTGGACATACCCAGGAAGAATATCTCTAGCTCATTGTCCCTCAGGAGGATATGCCATAGCCCCCCTGTGTGTATGTTCTAATACATACTTTGAACTTATCACCCTGAGGTTTAGTGCTTCTTTCTTTGGAATACCAACTGGCCCCATTTCAGAATGGTTTGGGGCAGTCCCTGTGGAAACTCTGCTGCTACCACTTTGGAGGAAATTTGAGCCTTGGTGTGATCAATAGGATTCCAAGACATGAACTGGGGAAAACAGAATCCTACCAGAAAGATCTCAGAGTGCCTACAAGGGACTATGTGGGGCTCTGTCACCCATCTTTCTGATGCCTGTGGGCTGCCCCGGGAAGGCCAAGATGCCGCAAAGCTCTACAGGCTTGAGGGAGCCTCATGGAGGGTTTGCGATGGGTCAGCAGTAAGGAAGCCCAGTAACAGTTGGTGGGGAGGAAAGGGATAGGCTGTTCTGTGCCATGGGCAGCCTGCTCAGCTGGTGGCTGAGAGCAAGGTCATGAGTTACAGAAGGAATTGCAACTCCAGAAAGACCTGTACTCTTCCACCATGGGCCACTCTGTTAGCTGCCCACATGGAGGGTAAGGTGAAAAAAGAGGGGCTCTGTGGAGAGGCATGTGGGGAGCCCATGGCCTCCAGTCCTGGCACTAGGGAAGCTTTGGGCAGTAGGAGCTCTGGGTTCCAACTGTTGGAAGCAAAGAGACAGAGAGTTAAAAGAGAACCACAGCCCCAGATGTGACATAAAGTCCAAGGTTCCCTTCAGTGTAAGGCCACTGAGGGAGACTAGAGGCTCATGTGGGAAGAACGATTCATTTGTCTGCTTTGGAACTGCTTGGAATTTGGCTCTAGTGAGCCCCAATCCCACAGCACATGTTGGGTATTGAAACTCTCCTGGGAGTTGTCCTTGAAGCAGGCTTAGGCAAGTTCTGTCTCCAGGTGAGGATGCTCTGAGGGGAAGCCAAAGGGAAGCTGGTGATGTTATTCCACCCAAGAGGGTTGGTGTGTATCAAACAATATTGCCTCTCAGGAGGGCACACAAGATAATAGCTACTATTCAGAAACTGGAGAGGGTGGGATTTGTGTGTCTGCACATAGCCCACAAAATAGCCTGGTGTGGTTGGTGCCAAAACATGAAGGGAACTGGAGAATGAAAGTTGATTATCAGGAACTGAATAGGGTGACTTTGGCCGTGTGTGCTGCCCTTACAAGTATGGCTCAAATATTTGAAAAACTGACTACTTGTTCAGGGCCATGTCATACTGTCCTGAATTTAGTAAACATTCTGCAGCATATCCTTAGACCCAAAGCCATAGGACCTCTTTTTCTTCACCTGGCAGGGCCAATAATGTACCTTTTAGAGCTTTCTCCATTTTGTTTTATGTATAATGTCCAGGGATTTTAGTTGTACTTATTGGGAAGAATAGAGACATATATGTCTAGTCTTGTCTTCCCCAGAACTGAAATGCTTGGTTGTGAATAGATTAAACTGAGCTATCTCTAGTTTGTCCATTATCCAAGCAGAAATATCAAGTTACTGATATTAGTTCCCATCTGAGGCTCTTCTCCAGGTGGTGGCATCCCTTCCTGGGCCCTGGGGCCTTGGCTGCATCAGCAAGGAGAGATGCTGCCACTCAGGTCTTGAGCTCCGCTCTAGCATAGTGATGTCACTGTCTGTGGTGAAGAATATGATTAACAACAAAGTCTCCTGCAAACCCAGGAAATCTCTCCAGAAAGACAGAGGAGAAAGAAAACAGTTTCATTGAAGAATCATTAAACCACATTGTGATGCACAAAACAGACAATAACTTAGCGCATGGCAAGAAAGAAGGAAATCTCACCTTTGTGTATAGGCAGGCAGTTACAACCAGTGCTTGCGTGTTCCTGAGATAAACAGCAACCAGTCCTCAAGGAAGTGACTTGACAGCACTATTTTTATATGTCCCTCGAGGGTAGCCACAGTGCTCGCTAATCGGATTTATGACAAGAAAAGACCAGTGTCTCACAATTTATGGCAAGAGTAGGTTAGTAAGTTAGAGCCAGGCACTGGCGGAAGTTGGGCTCCTACCCTCTCACAGGAACTCTCTCCCTTAATGATTCCATTTCAGAGATGGCTCCCAGGCCCTTGAGAAAGATAGTCCTGGTTGGAAGCTGGCAAGAGGTTACTTAACTTTTGAAGAGACTTCCATATATCACAAAGGGACAGAGAAGAAACTCATAAGGATATTTTTTCTTTAAAAAAATGCTCAGAAAGAAAAAATCAGGGTTCCTATTCCCTTTTTCACTGGGACAAATTTGTTTCATTGGTAATTACCCTTGTATCCGCCAATGGTTCAATGACCTCCACCTTCTACTCTTCAGTCTTACCTCTAGTTCAGCCACTGCCTCCTACTCTCTGGTACTCAGCCCTGTGTCTTGCAGAGCTGCCTTTCTCCTTATATTCTCAACCCTGTTTCCTAAACTCAGGGATCTCCATGCTCTGCCTGGATCCTGCCTGCCTGCACTCCCTCCTGGATGCTCTTTGCAGGCTCTGAGCTGGGGTAGCCAGGGGGTCCCCTCCCTTGGATTCAGCCTCCAGACCACTATCCTGTGCTCCTGTCAGACACTTTCCAGGGTCTGGACATATTTGGGTCACATAGTGGATCTGACTTTCTATTTGTTTGATGCTGGAGGGAGTCTGGACCTTGTTCTTTCACATACACAGAAAACAAAGCTCTAAATTGATTTTGAAATTCTTTGTTATTAATTTTGGACTGAGATAAATTCTCTATTACTTTACAGTGACACAAATATTGTAGCTCAGTTCCTGGTAGTTAGAATTTTAGATAATTATTTTCAGTACTATGATTTCCCATATTTAATCAACTCGTAGGCAAGGCATGAATAGAGATTGTCTTATGTTAGAATACCTTTTTCTTTAATTTTTTGAATCAGCTCTCTTCCCACACCAACCCACAATCTCTCTGTTCTAGCCTCAGTCACTTTTGGTAGCCCTGAGTTTTTATTCTGGGCAACAAAGGCAGCTCAATAGATGATGGGTCTATGGCTCATTATATATGGGGCTCTTGCCAAGCAACACCTGGTGACCAGAAGGTGACCCAAGCTCTCTTCTCAGGGCAGATCACTATGCCTGAAACAAAAGAAGAACCCTTCCAGGGCAGAAATACTTAGCCTGAAAATCCTTTCATTCATTCACTGTTCAGGTGTCTTTATCCATTATTGAGCATGATAAATATCCAGACAGGTGCTTCCTGACATGTCCATGAGTTTAAGGATTAGACGTTACTTCTCCCAGGGATCCTGGTTCTTGCTCTTCTCATTTAAGGTTTTATTATCTCCCAACAACAGATACGAGAGCATGCTTAGGGCTTGGCAGCATAGAGGGGGTCTTTGGAAACCACTCAACTATACGCTGTGAGTAGTTTCAAAGGGCATTCGCATTTCTCTGTCCCTTCCAGGCCAGTCCTTGGAGAGATCAGGAAATCCAGAGCTTCCTACAAGAATGGGGATTCCTTGGAAGAGTTTCACCTTGGGACAAAAAAGAGGAATCATGGTGTCAAAGGCAATTGCCCAGGGTCTCAAGAATAGGGGCATGAAGAAGAGTTGGGCTGATGGGTGTGTGGCGGTCCTGGCTACCACCTCGAATGCTACCACTGCCTCTAGACCCTCTCAAGACGGTGACATTTCTTGGTTCCAATACCTAAAATAAGCAAAACTGGGAAGACGTAAACTTCTCCATTCTGTGCCAGACATGTCTTGGAGAAAACCTGTATATCTGAATGACCAAAGAAAAGTATGAGACAAAATGGAAAATCTATTCCAGGCCATACACAGTGTTTTGTTGGTACCCTGGGATCCACATGCATTTCAAGAAGACTGAAGTGTGCCAAGCCTGCAGGACATTGAGGAACATCTGCCAGGCCTGCCTCTTAGTCCTTGAGTATGGCCTGTCCATTCAGGTTCATGATACAGAATTGTCTTTAAAAGATGACTTGGCAAAGTCAGACATCAATGAAGAGTACTATATGCAGAATATAACAGACAGAACACAGCTAGTTGGCCAGCTGGGAGAGTCACATACACCAGTGACGTGCTGTACAAACTGGCACAGACCACACCCTACTACCAAAGGAATAAGCACATTTGCTCCTTCTGGGTGAAAGGAGAGTGTGAGGGAGAAGAAGAGGGCCCACACAGACATGGGAAGCCTACAGATCCAGATGACCCCCTTGCTGATAAGAATATTAAAGACTGATATGGAATCAATGACTCTGGAGCAGATAAGCTTCTAAAGCAGGCTTCACCATGTCTTGTCCAGATCCACCAGAGGACAAGGTTATCACCAGACTCTGTGTTGGTGATCTGGGTGATGCCATTACTGAGACAGATCTAAATAATCATTTCTAGTTATTTGAAGATCTGAGTGATCACTGTTGTGCAGACCAGAAAGTAGTGTGCTTTCGTCCAGGTTTCCACAGGGCAGGCTACAGAAGTGGCTGCAGAGAAATCCTTTAATAAGTTGATTGTCAAGGGCTGCAGACTCCGTAGAAAATGGAGAGGATCCCAAGCAGTCAGAGGAAAAGAAAAAGGACAGAACCGCAGGCTGGGATCCAGCTAACGCCTATTCCAGCACTGCCAGGAACAGGAACTCTTCCTCTTCCTGCAGTAGCAACAGATGTATCTGCCAACCACAGCAACATACACCCACATGCTCCTCCAGCTGTGGTGAGCATTGCCTGGCCACCAGCCCCTGGTGTGTCCTGCTGCTCCCCCCAGGATTTCAGCCACCCATGTTCCATCCAATGGGACCATTGCCTTCCTTTTGAGAGGACTCTAGGATCAATCCATTGTGTTGGATCCTGTGTTGGACTCCAGGATCAATCCATCTCAGGACCCCCAGAGGATGGGAGCTCGTTCTGGAAACCACAGCAGCCCCTGTCACATTTTCACCACCCTCAGGCTCTATGGAAGGAACATCAACTTAAAATCCCAATTAATGAACATTGGAGTAAATATTTTTTTTCTTTATTTATGGTTCCCAGAGCATCTGAATGTGGTCAGATATGGGCAGGAAATGACAGCCATGCTTTTTCATATGGATTCAAAGGATCAATGGAAATCAAATAAGCTTTCATTAAAACATGTTTACTACTATAACATGACTAATAAAACATACTGCCTGTTCCTCTCACCTCTATGGGGGACGAGCAGCTGAGTGAGTTATAGAATGTCCAATGGAGTTAGCATCCAATCATATAATCATTTGTCTCTTTTTATGAGGGTGGAAATTGGCTTGAGAGGAAAAAAAAACCTTTTGAACATGTTTGTGTCCATTGGGTATTTTCCATTTTATTATCTTAAAAGAAAGGGATTGGTATTCCTAATTTTTGTAGTGGTGTGTGTGATTTAACTCTTTTGAAGCCACACCCTCAGAAAAACAGGTAGAGACCAGTCCCCATCACAGCCCAGATATTTTCCTTCCTCTCTTTTTGTCATTTATCACCAAAGAAATCTGTACCCACCAAAAAGAAGGCAAAAATAAAATGTTTTTGTATTTCTATGAGTCAGATGAAAACGTGAACTTCATGGAGCTTTGTATCATGGGATCAGAAATTATTTTCATTTACCCAAAAATTATGGAAACAATTTTCCTTAGGTTTGACGAGTTTCCCTAAGCTCAAAAGCTGAACACAAGCATTTCCTGACATATCCTCAAGAAGAGAAACAGCCTTAAACAGATTTGAAAAACACATTAGTATAGAACCCACACATCCCTCCAGAGTCTATCTCAAGAAGAGCTCCTCGGTCACACCCTAGTCCTCTGCCCCAGGCCCCAAGATGTCCAGGAAGCTCTCCTCATTACCTCAGGGGAAAAAGCTCCCTGGGCATTGGGGCCCTCTGGGGGTCAGTGGCCCAGCCCTGGCAGTGCATCAGGGCCTCCTGGGAGCTTCAGGCCTGCTGATGCCAGGGCCCTAAGCTGGATCATCCTATCAGAATCTCTGGGATGAGACCTCACAGGATGGTAAAACCCTCAGCAGAGAGTTCTAATCTGCACCTGGGTGTGACTCCCAGTTACTGAAGTCTTCGCGTCCCTGTGGCACATTAAGATGAGTAAGGACAGGCCGGGCGCGGTGGCTCATGCCTATAATCCCAGCACTTCGGGAGGCTGAGGCAGGTGGATCACAAGGTCAGGAGTTGGAGACCAGCCTGGCCAACATGGTGAAACCCCATCTCTGCTAAAAATACAAAACTTAGCGGGATGTGGTGGCATGTGCCTGTAGTCCCAGCGACTCAGGAGGCTGAGGCAGGAGAATCGCTTGAACCCAGAAGGCAGAGGTTGCAGTGAGCTGAGGTCGTGCCACTGCACTCCAGCCTGGGTGACAGAGCGAGACTCTGTCTCAAAAAAAACAAGATGAGGAAGCACTAAGGTCACCCCTCTCCTCAGAACAGTGCATGACAAAGATAACCCTCTTCTTCTAGGGATGCAGATCTCAACCCAGGCTGCGTGTGAGAACTGCCCAGGGAGATTTTCACAAACACGATGGTCTCCTCCAATAGAATGTGTTTCTTAGACCTGTTTCTCCACATTTCTTGGGATAAGTTTATCAAAACCATTTTACTTCGCCTTTGTAGATGCCAGTTTGATACATCTTTCTCTTGAACAACTTTTGTCATTAATATATACACATCCCCACCTTATTTTTCACTTTTCTAACTCAGAGAGATATAGAAAAAATAAATCAACCAAAGTGTTTTTCCTTTTTCCTCACTCGACAATCAATACAGAATACTTCTGTGTCTTCTGTCACCAAAATGTATGGAGATTTCTCTGAATCAATAGCCTGGGAGTTGTATAATTCAGTTCTTTTTTCTTTTCTTTTTTTTTTTTTTTTGAGATGGAGTCTCTCTCTGTTGCCCAGGCTGGAGTGCAATGGCACAGTCTCGGCTCACTGCAACCTCTGCCTCCCGGGTTCAAGTGATTCTCCTGTCTCAGTCTCCCGAATAGCTGGGATTACAGGTGCCCGCCACCACGCCTGGCTAATTTTTGTATTTTTAGTAGAGACGGGGTTTCGTGTTGGCCAGGCTGGCCTCGAATTCCTGACCTCAGGTGATCCGCCCACCTCGGCCTCCCAAAGTGCTGAGATTACAGGCGTGAGCCACCACGCCCGACCAAGGTTGCATTGTTTTGTTTCTAATTAGCCTTTCCAAAGGAGGCAACAAGATACACATTTTTCTCAGTGAGCAGAGGGATGACTTTGAATAGAATGGAAGGCAGGTTTGCCCTAAGCAGTTCCCAACTTGACTTTTCCCTTTAGATGAGTGATTTTGGGGTTCCAATATTTATTTACCTTTCACTGATTTAACAGACAGAGAGGAACTGGAAAGAATTCAAAAATGAAGCCAGCAGAATTCTTGCACCACAGAATCAGTGTTGCAGCCTGGGAACAGGCATCCTCTCTCCACATGTAGAAGCAATGCCACTTCTTCACCTGGATGATACAGTCTCTTGACTGTAGATACAATTTCACTGTAACAGACCATTTCTTAGCCCCACCCCAACCTCTGAGGAGGGAGAGAGGCTGAAAGTTATTTTCATATTTTCTACTAAAAATATGAAAATTAGCTGGGCGTGGTGGCAGGCATCTGTAATCCCAGTTACTTGGGTGGCTGAGGCAGGAGAATCGCTTGAACCCGGGAGGTGGAGGTTGCAATGAACTGAGATGGTGCCGTTGCACTCCAGCCTGGGTGACAAGAGCAAGACTTCATCTTAAAAAAAAAAAAAAAGAATGTAACCGTTTGTCATGCCTTTGCTTTGAGTTGTCCTGCCTTTCAGGACTGAACCAATGTTCATCTTACATAGATTGGTTAATATCCCATTTCTCCCTAAAAATGTATAAAACCAAGCTCTGCCCTGACCACCTTGAGCACATGTCATCAGGACCTCCTGAAGCTGTGTCACAGGCATGCATCCTTAACCTTGGCAAAATTAACTTTGTAAATTGACTGAGACCCATCTCAGGTACTTGGGGTTCACAAGTTTCACCACTAGCTCCACAGGCATCCCAGCCCTTCTCCTTTGTCTGTTCTGGCTGCAGCTTCCTCCCTGCCCTCCCCACTCCAGGTCATTTCACATGGGACTTCATCATTCTGATGAGTAGTCTGAAATTATGCTAATGCCATGAGAAATCATTTTCAGTGGGAGTTTGAGGCCATTTTTTTTTTTGAGACAGAATTTCGCTCTTGCTGCCCAGACTGGAGTGCAGTGGTGTGATCTTGGCTCACTGCAACCTCCACTTCCCAGGTTCAAGTAATTCTCCTGCCTCAGCCTCCCGAGTAGCTGGGATTACAGGTGAGCGCCATCACGCCCAACTAATTTTGTATTTTTAGTAGAGACTTGGTTTCACCATGTTGGTGAGGCTGGTCTCGAACTCCTGACCTCAGGTGATCCGCCTGCCTCAGCCTCCCAAAATGCTGGGATTATAGGTATGAGGCCATTTAAAGACATTAAATACAAAATTCTGACCACTTAATTGAGAAAAAAGGAAAGCAATGTTAATGTTATCACCTCAGGCCTGTTAGAACGGTTCTTATCAAAAAGACTAATGATTTCAAGTGTTGGCAAAGATGTGGAGAAAAGAAAACTCTTGTACCCTATTGGTGGGAATGTAAAGTAGTACAGCCATTCTGAAAACGGTATGGACGTTCTTCAAAAAACTAGAAATAAAAGTATCCTGGCCAGGCGCAGTGGCTCACGCGTGTAATCCCAGCACTTTGGGAGGCTGAGGCGGGCAGGTCACGAGGTCAGGAGATCGAGACCATCCTGGCCAACATAGTGAAACCCCATCTCTACTAAAACTACAAAAATTAGCCAGGCATGGTGGCGCATGCCTGTAATCCCAGCTACTTGGGAGACAGAGGCAGAAGAATCCCTTGAACCTGGGAGGCAGAGGTTGCACTGAGTCGAGAATGCGCCACAGCACTCTAGCCTGGTGACAGAGTGAGACTCCATCAAAAAAAAAAAGGTATCCTATGATCTAGCAATTCCACTTTTGTGGTATATATCAAAAAGAATTTAAATTAGTATATTGAAGAGAGATATTTACCCTCATGGTTATTTTGGCATTACTGACAATAATCAAGATATGGAAGCAACCCAAGTGTCCATCAATGGATGAATGAAGAAACTGTGGGCTGAGCATGGTGGCTTATGCCTGTAATCCCACACTTTGGGAAGACAAAGCGGGCAGATGGCTTGAAGTCAGGAGTTCAGGACCAGCCTGGCCAACATGCCCGTCTCTACTAAAAATACAAAAATTGGCTGGGCATGGTGGTGGGGACCTGTAATCCCAGCTACCCAGGAGGTTGAGTCAGAAGAATAGCCTGAACCCAGGAGGAGGAGGTTGCAGTGAGCTGAAATCATGCCATTGCACTCCAGCCTGGGCAACAGAGCAAGAACCTGTCTCAAAAAAAAAAAAAAAAAAAAAAAAAAAAAAAAAAAAAGAAAAAGAAAAAAGAAAGAAAGAATAGAAAAGAAAATGTGGTGTATATATATATTGGAGAACTATTTTTCCATAAAAAAGAGGGAAATTATGTCATCTGTGATATCTTGGATTTAACCAGAGGATATTCTGCTATGTGAAGTAAACCAGGCATAGAAAGACAAATACTATATGATCTCACCTATACGTGGAATCAAAAAGGTTGATCTCACAGAAACAGAGAAAAGAGACTAGAAAGGTGGCAACCAGAGGCTGGGTCAGGGGGACGGGAAGAATACGGAAAAAGAAGATGTTTATGGAAGGATACAAACTTTTATTTAGTCTGGAGGAATAAGTGTGTTCTATTGTACTGCATGGTGAACACAGTTAATAATGAATTGTACATTTAAATCACAATATTCAATTTTTAATATTCTCACAACAAAAAAGATGCTAAATTGGTGAGTGGATGGCTATGTTAATTGGCTCAATTGAATCTTTCCATACTGTATACATATATCAAACATCACATTGTATCTCATAAATATATAATAATTTTTTTTAATTGAAAAGAAAAGGGTGGAACCAAGATGGCCGAATAGGAACAGCTCCAGTCTACAGCTCCCAGCGTGAGTGACACAGAAGACGGGTGATTTCTGCATTTCCAACTGAGGTACTGGGTTCATCTCACTGGGGAGTGTCAGACAGTGGGTGCACTGCACTGAGTGTGCGCCGAAGCAGGGCGAGGCATCGCCTCACCCGGGAAGCGCAAGGGGTCAGGGAATTCCCTTTCCTAGTCAAAGAAAGGGGTGACAGATGGCACCTGGAAAATCGGGTCACTCCCACCCTGATACTGCACTTTTTCCAACAGTCTTAGCAAACGGCACACCAGGAGATTATATCTCCCGCCTGGCTTGGAGGGTCCTATGCCCACGGAGCCTCACTTATTGCTAGCACAGCAGTCTGAGATCAAACTGCAAGGCGGCAGTGAGGCTGGGGGAGGGGCATCCGCCATTGCCGAGGCTTGAGTAGGTAAAGAAAACAGCTGGGAAGCTCGATCTGGGTGGAGCCCACCACAGCTCAAGGAGGCCTTCTTGTCTCTGTAGACTCCACCTCTGGGGGCAGGGCATAGCCAAACAAAAGGCAGCAGAAACCTCTGCAGACTTAAATGCCCCTGTCTGACAGCTTTGAAGAGAGTAGTGGTTCTCCCAGCACGCAGCTTGGATCTGAGAACGGACAGACTGCCTCCTCAAGTGGGTCCCTGACCCCCTAGTAGCCTAACTGGGAGGCACCCCCCAGTAGGGGCAGACTGACACCTCACAAGGCCGGATAATCCTCTGAGACAAAACTTTCAGAGGAACGAATAGGCAGCAACATTTGCTGTTCACCAATATCCGCTGTTCTGCAGCCTCCGCTGCTGATACCCAGGCAAACAGGGTCTGGAGTGGACCTCCAGGAAACTCCAACAGACATGCAGCTGAGGGTCCTGACTGTTAGAAGGAAAACTAACAAACAGGACATCCACACCAAAAACCCATCTGTACATCACCATCGTCAAAGACCAAAGGTAGATAAAACCACAAAGATGGGGAAAAAACAGAGCAGAAAAACTGGAAACTCTAAAAATCAGGGGGCCTCTCCTCTTCCAAAGGAATGCAGCTCCCCACCAGCAATGGAACAAAGCTGGACGGAGAATGACTTTGATGAGAGAAGAAGGCTTCAGATGATCAAACCTGAGCTAAAGGAGGATGTTTGAACCTATGGCAAAGAAGTTAAAAACCTTGAAAAAAATTAGACGAATGGCTGACTAGAATAACCAATGCAGAGAAGTCCTCAAAGGACCTGATGGAGCTGAAAACCATGGCATGAGAACTACGTGATGAATGCACAAGCCTCAGTAGCCAATTCAATCAACTGGAAGAAAGGGTATCAGCGATGGAAGACCAAATGAATGAAATGAAGCGAGAAGAGAAGTTTAGAGAAAAAAGAATAAAAAGAAATGAACAAAGCCTCCAAGAAATATGGGACTATGTGAAAAGACCAAATCTACGTCTGATTGGTGTACCTGAAAGTGAAGGGGAGAACGGAACCAAGTTGGAAAACACTCTGCAGGATATTATCCAGGAGAACTTCCCCAATCTAGCAAGGCAGGCCAACATTCAAATTCAGGAAATATAGAGAATGCCACAAAGATACTCCTCAAGAAGAGCAACTCCAAGACACATAATAGTCAGATTCACCAAAGTTGAAATCAACGAAAAAATGTTAAAGGCAGCCAGAGAGAAAGGTCAGGTTACCCACAAAGGGAAGCCTATCAGACTAACAGCTGATCTCTCAGCAGAAACTCTACAAGCCAGAGGAGAGTGGGGGCCAATATTCAACATTCTTAAAGAAAAGAATTTTCAACCCAGAATTTCATATCCAGCCAAACTAAGCTTCATAAGTGAAGGAGAAATAAAATACTTTACAGACAAGCAAATGCTGAGAGATTTTGTCACCACCAGGCCTGCCCTAAAAGAGCTCCTGAAGGAAGCACTAAACATGGAAAGGAACAACCGGTAGTAGCCACTGCAAAAACATGCCAAATTGTAAAGACCATGGAGGCTAGGAAGAAACTGCATCAACTAACGAGCAATAACTAGCTAACATCATAATGACAGGATCAAATTCACACATAAGAATATTAACCTTCAATGTAAATGGGCTAAATGCTCCAATTAAAAGACACAGACTGGCAAATTGGATAAGGAGTCAAGACCCATCAGTGTGCTGTATTCAGGAAACCCATCTCACGTGCAGAGACACACATAGGCTCAAAATAAAGGGATGGAGGAAGATCTATCAAGCAAACGGAAAACAAAAAAAGGCAGGTGTTGCAATCCTAGTCTCTGATAAAACAGACTTTAAACCAACAAAGATCCAAAGAGACAAAGAAGGCCATTACATAATGGTAAAGGGATCAATTCAACAAAAAGAGCTTACTATCCTAAACATATATGCACCCAATACAGGAGCACCCAGATTCATAAAGCAAGTCCTTAGAGACCTACAAAGAGACTTAGACTCCCACACAATAATAATGGGAGACTTTAACACCCCACTGTCAACATTAGACAGATCAATGAGACAGAAAATTAACAAGGATATCCAGGAATGGAACTCAGCTCTGCACCAAGCAGACCTAATAGACATCTACAGAACTCTCCACCCCAAATCAACAGAATGTACATTCTTTTCAGCACCATACCACACCTATTCCAAAATTGACCACATAGTTGGAAGTAAAGCACTCCTCAGCAAACATAAAAGATCAGAAATGATAACAAACTGTCTCTCAGACCGCAGTGCAATTAAACTAGAACTCAGGATTAAGAAACTCACTCAAAACCGCTCAATTACATGGAAACTGAACAACATGCTCCTGAATGACTACTGGGTACATAACGAAATTAAGGCAGAAATAAAGATGTTCTTTGAAACCAACGAGAACAAAGACACAACATACCAGAATCTCTGGGACAGATTTAAAACAATGTGTAGAGGGAAATTTATAGCACTAAATGCCCACAAGAGAAAGCAGGAAAGATCTAAAATTGACACCCTAACATCACAATTAAAAGAACTAGGGAAGCAAGAGCAAACACATGCAAAAGCTAGCAGAAGGCAAGAAATAAGTAAAATCAGAGCAGAACTGAAGGAAATAGAGACACAAAAAACCCTTCAAAAAATTAATGAATCCAGGAGCTGATTTTTTGAAAGGATCGACAAAATTGAGAGACCGCTAGCAAGACTAATAAAGAAGAAAAGAGAGAAGAATCAAATAGACACAATAAAAAATGATAAAGGGGATATCACCACCGATCGCACAGAAATACAAACTACCATCAGAGAATACTATAAACACATCTACCCAAGTAAACTAGAAAATCTAGAAGAAATGGATAAATTCCTTGACACCTACACCATCCCAAGACTAAACCAGGAAGAAGTTGAATCTCTGAATAGACCAATAACAGGCTCTGAAATTGAGGCAATAATTAATAGCTTACCAACCAAAAAAGTCCAGGAACAGATGGATTCACAGCCGAATTCTACCAGAGGTACAAGGAGGAGCTGGTACCACTCTTTCTGAAACTATTCCAATCAATAGAAAAAGAGGGAATCCTCCCTAACTCATTTTATGAGGCCAGCATCATCCTGATACCAAAGCATGGCAGAGACACAACAAAAAAAGAGAATTTTAGACCAATATCCCTGATGAACATCGATGCAAAAATCCTCAATAAAATACTGGCAAACCGAATCCAGCAGCACATCAAGAAGCTTATCCACCATGATCAAGTGGGCTTTATCCCTGGGATGCAAGTCTGGTTCAACATATCCAAATCAATAAATGTAATCCAGCATATAAACAGAACCAAAGACAAAAACCACATGATTATCTCAACAGGTGCAGAAAAGGCCTTTGACAAAATTCCACAACGCTTCATGCTAAAAATTCTCAATAAATTAGGTACTGATGGGACATATCTCCAAATAATAGGAGCTGTCTGTGACAAACCCACAGCCAATATCATACTGAAGGGGCAAAAACTGGAAGCATTCCCTTTGAAAACTGGCACAAGACAGGGATGCCCTCTCTCACCACTCCTATTCAACATAGTGGCCAGGGCAATCAGGCAGGAGAAGGAAATAAAGGGTATTCAATTAGGAAAAGAGGAAGTCAAATTGTGCCTGTTTGCAGACGACATGATTGTATATCTAGAAAACCCCATCATCTCAGCCCAAAATCTCCTTAAGCTGATAGGCAACTTCAGCAAAGTCTCGGGATATGAAATCAATGAGCAAAAATCACAGGCATTCTTATACACCAATAACAGACAGAGAGCCAAATCATGAGTGAACTCCCATTCACAATTGCTTCAAAGGGAATGAAATACCTAGGAATCCAACTTACAACGGATGTGAAGGACCTCTTCGAGGAGAACTACAAACCACTGCTCAATGAAATAAAAAAGGATACAAACAAATGGAAGAACATTCCATGCTCATGGGTAGGAAGAATCAATGTCGTGAAAATGGCCATAGTGCCCAAGGTAATTTGTAGATTCAATGCCATCCCCATCAAGCTACCAATGACTTTCTTCACAGAATTGGAAAAAACTACTGTAAAGTTCACATGGAACCAAAAAAGAGCTCGCATTGCCAAGTCAATCCTAAACCAAAAGAACAAAGCTGGAGGCATCAAGCTACCTGACTTCAAACTATACTTACTACAAGCCTACAGTAACCAAAACAGCATGGTACTGGTACCAAAACAGAGATATAGACCAATGGAACAGAACAGAGCCCTCAGAAATAATGCCGCATATCTACAACTATCTGATCTTTGACAAACCTGAGAAAAAAAAGCAATGGGGAAAGGATTCCCTATTTAATAAATGGTGCTGGGAAAACTGGCTAACCGTATGTAGATAGTTGAAACTGGATCCCTTCCTTACACCTTATACAAAAATTAATTCAAGAAGGATTAAAAACTTAAATGTTAGACCTAAAACCATAAAAACCCTAGAAGAAAACCTAGGCAATACCATTCAGGACATAGGCATGGGCGAGGACTTCATGTCTAAAACACCAAAAGCAATGGCAACAAAAGCCAAAATTGATAAATGGGATCTAATTAAACTAAAGAGCTTCTGCACAGCAAAAGAAACTACCATCAGAGTGAGCAGGCAACCTACGGAATGGGAGAAAATTTTTGCAACCTACTCATCTGACCAAGGACTAATATCCAGAATCTACAATGAACTCAAACAAATTTACAAGAAAAAAAAAAACCCCATCGAAAAGTGGGCGAAGGACATGAACAGACACTTCTCAAAAGAAGACATTTATGCAGCCAAAAGACACATGAAAAGATGCTCATCATCACTGGCCATCAGAGAAATGCAAATCAAAACCACAATGAGATACCATCTCACACCAGTTAGAATGGCAATCATTAAAAAGTCAGGAAACAACAGGTGCTGGAGAGGATGTGGAGAAATAGGAACACTTTTACACTGTTGGTGGGACTGTAAACTAGTTCAACCATTGTGGAAGTCAGTGTGGCGATTCCTCAGGGATCTAGAACTAGAAATACCATTTGACCCAGCTATCCCATTACTGGGTATATACCCAAAGGATTATAAATCATGCTGCTATAAAGACACATGCACACGTATGTTTATTGGGGCACTATTCACAATAGCAAAGACTTGGAACCAACCCAAATGTCCAACAATGATAGACTGGATTAAGAAAATGTGGCACATATACACCATAAAATACTATGCAGCCATAAAAAAGGATGAGTTCATGTCCTTTGTAGGGACATGGATGAAGCTGGAAACCATCATTCTCAGCAAACTATCACAAGGATAAAAAACCAAACACCGCATATTCTCACTCATAGATGGGAATCGAACAATGAGAACACATGGACACAAGAAGGGGAACATCACACACCAGGGCCTGTTGTGGGGTGGGGGGAGGGGGACGGATAGCATTAGGAGATATACCTAAAGCTAAAAGACGAGTTAATGGGTGCAGCACACCAGCATGGCGCATGTATACATATGTAACAAACCTGTACGTTGTGCACATGTACCCTAAAACTTAAAGTATGATTAAAAAAAAAAGAAAAGACAGCCTGTTCTGTCTAGTGATATTTATCTTTGATCTTCAGCCGCCACCTGGTGATCACCTTCAGAGTGGGGGAGAAAACAGCGGGGTGAGAAGCTATCACTTTGCCTCTGGAGCCCAAATGAGGACTTAGCTCCTGGCTGTGGGTGGGAATGTATTCTTTCACAGAATTCTCCCAAATTAGGGCCTCGCCCTCTAGAAAATCCCTGGCTTCCCCACCATGTTCCCCACCCACTGCACTTGGTCTGCTGGGTGGCTGCTCTCAAAGGAGCTGACACTGAAACCTGAGGTTGAAGAGCCACCTACTAGGTGGGAGGATTCTGGGTTCCATAGAGTAGTACTTTTTAAAAAAACTCAGAGCATTTTCTTTAGTTCAAGCAGGAAGCGTTTCTGGTACTCAGGGGCAAACACACCACAGCACACACATGCACACACCTTACACATACACAAACACCATATACACACATTACACATACACAAACACCATACACACCACACACACACACACACCCCCACACACACCCCCCACACAAACCACACACCACACACACCCCACACACACACCACACACATATGCACACAAACGCACCACAGATCACACACATATGCACACATACACACACACCACATACACACACACCACACATGCATGCACAAACACACGTACGCCACACACACACACACACCCACACACACCACACACACATACACACACACCACACACGTATGTGCACACAGACGCACAGACACTACACACTGAAAAACACCACACACCTCACGCCTGTAATCCCAGCACTTTGGGAGGCCGAGGAGGGTGGATCACGAGGTCAGGAGTTCAAGACCAGACTGGCCAACATGGTAAAACCCCATCTCTATTAAAAATAAAAAATTAGCTGGGTGTGGTGGTGGATGCCTATAATCCCAGCTACTCGGGAGGCTGAGGCAGGAGAATCGTTTGAGCCCGGGAGTCAGAGGTTGCAGTGAGCCAGTATCGTGCCATTGCACTCTAACCTGGGTGACAGGGCTAGACTCTGTCACACACACAAAAAAAAAACACACACACGCCCCACATACACACACACCACACACACGTATACCACACACGACATACATATACTACACATATATTACATACTTATACTACACACACATGCACACAGCACACACATGCATGCACAAAACATGCATACCACATACACCACAGTACACATGCACACCACACACACTACACAGATACACAACAAACACACTACACACACCACATGCGCATGCATGCACACCACACACAGCACACGTACACACACAGCACACAACCCTACACTACACACACACCACACATGCAGACACACCACAAACAGCACACACACCAGAGTATACACATCACCTGCACCACACAAACAACACACACACTATATACACACTACACACACATGCATGCACACACTACACACACACACCACAAATACACACACACCAACATACACACAAGCATGCACACATACACACACACACACACTGCAAGCAACATTTTAATCTATTTGAGTGTATTTCATCCCAGTAGTGATCAGTTCCATCCCTGATTCAATCTGGTTAATTTGTTTTTTTCTCATGGTAATTCATGGAAATTGAGTTTCATATGTGTGGCAAGAGTACACACTATGTATTTTTTTATTAGTCCATTTCCACATGGCTATAAAGATACTACCTGAGACTGGATATTTATAAATAAAAGAAGTTTAATTGACTCACAGTTCAATTAACTGTTTCCTGGGGAGGCCTCAGGAAACTTACAATCATGGTGGAAGGTGAAGGAGAAGCAAGCACCTTTTTCACAAGGCAGCAGGAGAGAGAGAGACAGGAAGCACCACACTTTAAAACTATCAACTCTGGTGAGAACTCACTCACTATCGTGAGAACAGCATGGGGGAAAATGCCCCCATGATCCAATCACCTCCCACCAGGTCCTTCCCTTGACAAGTGGGGATTACAATTCGAGATGAGACTTGGGTAGGGACACAGAGCCAAACCATATCACTTATTTTTCTAGAACCCTGTAGTACAGGGATATCTAATGTTTTGGCTTCCCTGGGCCATGTTGGAAGAAGAATTGTCTTGGGCCACACATAAAATATACTAATACTGATAATACCTAGTGAGCTAAAAATAAAAGTTGCAAAAAAAAATCTCATAATGTTTTAAGGAAGTTTATGAATTTGTATTGGGCCACATTGAAAGCCATCCTGGGTCCCATGTGGTCCATGGGCTGTGGGTTGGACAAGCTTGCAGGTTTCATCCGATCATTGCATGAAAGCAGAGATATGCCATCCACAGCATAATTAAGGTTTGATTATAGATTTTTTTCTTCTTAAAATAAAGTGAGTTTTCAGGTTTCTTTTTTCATTCTGTTTTCTTTACTGAGTGGAACTTCCATTTTACTTTACACATTTTGTTTATAGTCTTCCCCTGTCACACCCACTCCAGCTTGTCATGTGGCACAGTCCTTTTCTGAGCTCATGCACTTCTCAACTCACCCTGACAATGGCAGTCATGAACACATGCACAAACCACTTCTAGCCTGTTCTCATTTCCTTTGAAGCATAAAGAGGACGTCCCATTTCCTGGCTCTCAGATTTTGTCAGCAGATAGAGCCTTAATGTAGTTTGGGCTGGGTGCGGTGGCTCAGGCCCGTAATCCCAGCACTTTGGGAGGCCGAGGTGGGTGGATCACCTGAGGTCAGGAGTTCAAGACCAGCCTGGCCAACATGGTGAAATCCCATCTCTACTAAAAATACAAAAATTAGCTGGACATCATGGTGGGTGCCTGTAATCCCAGCTACTCGGGAGGTTGAGGCAGGAAAATCGCTTAAACCTGGGAGGTGGAGGTTGCAGTGAGCTGAGGTCACACCACTGCACTCCAGCCTGGGCAGCAGAGTGAGACTCTGTCACACACACACACGCACGCACGCGCGCGCGCACACACACACACACACACACACACAAAGCTTTACTATAGTTTGCAGTTGCATTAGAGGTGTTGCCCTCTATCTAGGGTGCAAAGTGGCTTGGTATCACCCATGGACTGGGCCCCAAGCACAATTCACCTGTATAACTTTTCTGGAAGGGTGTCACCCTGGCAGCTTATGGGGACTCTGGTAATACCTTCCAGAGAGTCCTGGGCTAGGGATGTCTGCTGGGTGTGAGACCGACAACCTCCCACCCTCCATATACCTCCTGGGCCAGGACATGGGAATCTCACAGGGCACCCTGCCCCAGGCAGAAGAGGAGGGGACTAGCTTCAGAGGGTGTGGACAGTTCCCTGGTTCCTAGGAGGACTTCAAATGTACTGCAGATGGAAACTCCTTCTACCTCATTTTGAGTCCAACCAACCTACTTGGTGGCTAGAGGAACTTCATGTTTCTATTTATACACATTTTTAAATATATATATTTTACACGAGATGTATGTTTAAACAACCAGAGGCCAGATTTGAAGAGGAACATATCTGGGATTCATTCTGTTGTTGTAAGTGTCACTTAGTCCTGTGTGAGGACAGATTTGCCCTATGTGTAACAGCTACATTTAAGAAAGTTAAGAAATTGTCCTTAGTTTCACAATGGAATATTTCAAAAACAAAATTCTCCAATCGAACAATGTATGCAAAGATTATTATGGTTTTTTCTTCTCCCTGCAACAAGCGTTAAGGATCATTATGTTTGTTATGTTGTTAAAGTCCTGGAACATAGAGATAAGAGGTAAGTGAGCATCCCCTGGTGGAGAAAGGGAGTCTTTTCCCAGAATCAGTGTTTTCCCTCGCCTTGTGTCCATTGGCAATCACTCAACACAAACTGGTGGCCATTCGGTACAATCAAACAAGCAAGCAAACAAAATCATCAATATGCTTGTGCAGCTACACTTGATAATTTATGTACAGTAAAGGAATAAGGAAGGAGAAAGTGAAGAATAGAGAAGGGGATACTGGACCAATCAGACGTGGTGGAACCATATTGCAGTTTTCCACATGAGAATGTCTGTAGGAACAGAGTTCTGGGGTAAAGCCGTGAGTGTGTTCTCAGTAGACACTCCAGTCTGCTTCTGGAACACATCAACTGAATCTTTGTCCTCTGTTTCCAGTTCTGCAGATGTGTCTGTTTCACTGATTGGCCCCAGTCAAAGTGGAATCTGATCTGTGTCATGGACAAACTCTGCCTTTCACCAAAGGCTTCCACTCATTCACTAAGTGGTGTGTGCCTCTTCACCATCAACTGCACCCCGGGACCATCCTACCTGCCACTTTCAAATTCACAGGATTCTGCTCTCGGCCTTGACTCAGGCTCTTTCTCTGCCATAGCAGAGCCTGAAGGCTCTTCAGCTGCAGCTTCACCAAAGAGGTCCAGAGTGTGCACCAAACTAGTGAGCCAGCAGCTCCCGATGCCACAAGTGGAGGAGGCAGCAGAGCCTTACCCGGTGTTTTTATCACCATCCCTGCAGCAACAGCAGCAGCAGCAGCAACAACAATCACAACCACTATTTCTAATTGTGGTAATAATAATGATCACACTTAGAATAATGATGAATAACAATAATTGTAATTGCTGACATATTCAGTTTATATGTAGATTTATTATTTGTAATGTTTTAAAATTTACATTTAGTAATATAGACATTAATTGTGTCATAAATGTCAGGACCCCAAAACACCCCACCTAATGAATGACTCTCATCTATGGACCTATGGCTGCCCACCTGCTAGTGCGGGTGCTCTCACCACTCCACCCCCAGAGCTTCGATCTGTCTGGTCAACCTTCTAGGATGATGAAGTAGCTGAAGCACTCTTATGATCTGATTGAGGTCTTGGCAAACAGCTTGACTTGTTAGAAATCGAAGGCTGACTTTAAGACGTACTCAGCTGTTTGGCTAAATTGAGGCAGGAGGAAATGTCTTCTCGGCAGATCTACCTTTGTGTCTCTTGCTTTCAGAGTAAAACGTTGTTTCGGGAACAGTAGTTTAATTTAGTCTGTGTTAAAAATCATAATCAGACTACAAATAACGCACGGGGATGAAAATAATTTGCACACATGTTCGTGCATTATATGTGTTTTCAGATCTCTCCTATGGTAAGAAATGAAAAAGTTATGCCTTGATTTTTTAAACTCAGCCATCAGCCATTTTCCCAAGTTAATCTAAATGTTTGCAAGACATTTCAGAAGCATTCTCTGGTGGGGATTACTCCTAATTGTGAATAATCCTACTAGAAGGATGAGCATCTCAAAAGAACCTTTATTCTATTGCAGAAGAGTCAGTCTTCAGGATCTCAAAGGCCTAGGGAAGCTGCTTGAGTTGTGAGGTCTATGGAGGTACATGGGCTTTGGAGTCAGGCAAAGTTGATCCAGAGTCCCAGTCCAGCCACTTAGTAGCTGTAGTGCTTTGGACATGTTCCTTGACTTGGAACAGTTATATAAACCTTGCTGTAAGAAAAGGCAGAATGATACTGACTGCAAAATGGCTCTGGTGTCCATGCCCTTTGGAATATGCTTTTACAGCTGCTCCAACATAGAGGCAGAATCTGTTTCCTGACGCTTGGATCTGGGCTGGCCTTATTTGCTCTGGGCAATAGAAAGCTATCAATATGGCAATGTGACAGTTTGGGGTCTAGGGACATAAGGCCTTGAATGCTTCTGCTTTTTCTTTTAGAACCCTGCCATCTCCATGAGAACAAGCACATGTTAGCCTGCTGGAGGATGAGATCCCACTGGGGAGGAAAACCAAGGTGCCCCAGCTGACACCCAGAAGCAGAGCCACTTAGTCAACCAGCAGCTGACCACACACGCCTGAAGGAGCCCAGCTGAGACCAGAAGAATGGCCCAGTTGAGTCCAGCCTAAATGA
Source organism: Homo sapiens (assembly GCF_000001405.40). Lineage (NCBI taxonomy): Eukaryota > Metazoa > Chordata > Mammalia > Primates > Hominidae > Homo > Homo sapiens. The sequence goes on from NC_000016.10 coordinate 31,699,212, forward strand.
CTGACCATCCCAATCATGAGCTAATAAGGTTTAGGGTGGTTTTTAATGCAGCAATAGCTAACTGATACATACACCTGCAGTCAGGTTGCCAGGATTCAAATGACAGGTTGGTCACTACTTGTTGTTACCTGGCAAACAGAAGGCACTGTATAAGGTATTGATTTGCTTTTCCCTTTATTTAAAGTGGGGCCTCTTGTTGGATAGGGATAAATTATACAGAAATGCATGTTGACATGCTTGGTGCTTAAACTCACACAGTCCCCACACCATAGGAGGAAACAGCCCGCCATAGCCTAACCATCAGGGCCAAGGGCAAATTGCAAAATAAAAAAAATTTGCTTTTATTCCCTCCACATCCAAACTTTGGAGGTCAAGGCTGTAGACAGATCTGAAGTCAGGGGTTTCCTCCTGAAGCCTGACACTCTTCATTCACTGTCTGACCTTTGGAAGGCTGAGGGAGCCCTGCCCAGAAGCAGGTGGGCAGCAGTGGTCGACCTGTGGACACCTCCTGACTGCAGCCCTGGCTCTCTCACTGGGCACTGCCTCTCCCACCCTTGGGCATGAGGAAAGAGATGGGCAGGATGAGGGTGTTCGCTCTCGTCTGGCAGGAAAGGGGGTCCAGGCCCTCGATTTCCCTGAGGTTAGACGCGCAAGTGCCCTCAGATCTGCTCTTCAATGCGGAAGCCACTGCCCACGTGGGGCTGCTGAGCTCTTTGGATAGAGCTGGTTGGAACTGAGATGTGCTAGAAGTTTAAATACAGAGTGACTTTACAAGATTTAGTACCCCAAACTTAAGAAGCATTCTCTGGTGGTCTTCATTAATAATTTCATATTGCTCACATATTTGAGTGATAATATTTTGGATATATCGGGTTAAGGTATTACCATCAATTTTACCTGTTTTCCTTTCATGATGCCACTAGGCTACTGTAAATGACACATGCGGCTCAATTTTATTCCTATTGGACATTTCTGACTTAGAGGACTCCCTCCATTTTCAAATCTCATGCTGCCTCCACAAGGGACCAGAGGCCATGAAGGTTATGAAATCTGAAATTTTAAAAGAATCGTTATTATATAATTTTCAATTTTACATATTACCTATATTACTCATAAATTGATATAATCTTATGAGCAAAGTTAAATACCAATGTCCGGAGCAGCCCCAGGTCCCAGCACAGGGAGTCAGCCCTGCCTGAAAAGGGCTGCAGACAATCATTCATTCAGGCCTCATTCAGCCACACCTGTGATCGCATCTCCTGTCACTCGGGGGTAAGGGGGCGGGACCTGGAGCCCTATCCATTCAGCGGCGCCGTTGTCGAGCCTGTCCAATCAGGCGCGCAGCCGAAAAAGGGGGCGCACTTCCTGTGTTCTGGGCTGGCCTTTTCCTCTCCCAGGTGCGCTTCCCTGCTTGATCTGTGTACCCTGCTCTTTCTCCTTCATTCCGCAGCCTCCTTTGCCCTGTGACCTGCAGGTACTGGACGGTCCCTAGAGAGGATACCGGGACGCTCCTGAAGCCGCGAGATGGTGAGTCTGCGGGGCTGAGCTTCCCGAGACGCGGCAGGGGTCGGCTGGGAACCGGGCCTGCCCCTGGCGGCTCCGGGGTCGGGGCCCGGAGTCTCCTCGGTCACACGGTGCGGCTCGGCCGGCAGCTGGGACCCCGGGCGCCTCGTCCCGTCCCTGCGCGACGACCTTGGTCCTGCCTTGAGCCCTCTCTGGGCAGTTTCGCGCCCGCAGCCCCGTGTCTCCCCGCGTTGTGCGGTGATGACGGGAGGGGCCGTAGGGGAGAACCCCGGCTCGGGGTTCGGGCGTGGGAGGAGCTGTGGTCCGTGGGGTCCGTAGTCCTTTCTTTCTTTTGTTAAAAATTAAACTGAGGTTTGGTTAAAACGTTAAAGATTTTATCTGAGCAAATAACGACCCGTGAATCAGGAAGCCACAACCATGGATTGTGGTTTGGGGTCCACCGGAGGGGCTTGAAGGAAAGGGTTTAATAAGATGCATGAGGAAGCAAAGCCAATTCAGTAATTGATTGGCTACAATTACGTAGTCCCCTTATTTGAACTGTCCAGGCGGAAATTCCCTGATTATGTAATCAAAGGTTAATTGGTGGTTTGTGGTTGGTTAAGAGTGTTTTCTTTTCCTTTAAGTTATTTCTAAGAAATGCATGAGTTACGTTTTGGTTTTCTTAGGTAGAAACCCAGGGCACTACAGCCACTTCAGTCAAATTGCCTCCCATTTAATTATTTTAACACCCCACAGGGGGACTGATTTTCCCTGCATTTTCCAAATCTATGGCAAGGAGGGTCTCAAATCCACCACCCTGTTCCCCCAACCTAATTCTTCTAAGGCTTTCAGTAAAATTCTAAATTTTCACTTCCTTCTCCTGATTCTCAACTGCCAGCTTCCCCTCTGCAATTCACAACGTTATCAACTATTTGCTCTTTATTGTAGATTTCAAGCAGATGCAGCCTGACCATTAGGGCCAAGGCCAAATTGCAAAAAAAAAAAGAAGTTTGCCTTTATTCTACTCCATCCACATCTAAACTTTGGAGGTCAAGGCTGTGGACAGATCAGAAGACATAGTTCCCTCCTTCTGGGGCTCCACATCCTTCATTCACTGATCTCTGGGAAGGAGGATGGGTGGCAGGTAGGCAGCAATAGTCTACCTGTAGACACTTTCACCTAGGCCTTGAAGGATGAGTCAGTGTTTGCCCGACAGACTGAGATGTCAGGGGCAGCATGGAAAAGCAGAGAGGTGGGAGGGCAGGTTTCAGGTATTCTCAGTCCTCTGTGGTTTGGGGAATGTAGACCTAAGTGCAGGAGCCGGCAGGAGCTGGGGTTGCCTTTAGGCTGGTGCCTGAGAACACGGGCTTAAGAAGCTTGATTTTGGCTGGGTGTGGTGGCTCATGCCTGTGATCCCAGCACTTTGGGAGGCTGAGGCAGGCGGATCACCTGAGCTTAGGACCAGCCTGGCCAACATGGCCCCGTCTCTACTAAAAATACAAAAATTAGCTGGGCGTGGTGGCACATGCCTGTCCCACCTACTTGGGAGGCTGAGACAGGAGACTCTCTTGAACCCAGGAGGCGGAGGTTTCAGTGAGCCAAGATCACACCACTACACTCCGGCCTAGGCAACAGAGCAAGACTCCATCTCAAAAAAAAAAAGCAGCTTGGTTTTGTGAGCAGTGTGCTTCTTAGAAGGGTTCCAAGGGGCATTCTTGAAATAGGAGATGGGAAATTGAGGTTGGGTGACTAGATAAGTGGTGGGGGGCCTTCACACGCTGAGACCAGTTTGTGGAGGAAGATGAATTTCATCCCTGCAGGATGGGTCTTCCATGATACTGAAGGGAGAGCCACATGTTGATGCCCAGGACCAGCTGCCTCCTTGGTCTGAAAGGCCTGATCGAGGCCAGGATTGGCTATGAGAGCTGGGAAATGGGACCATCTTTGAAGCCATGGGAGAGGGTGAGGTGAGAATGAGGAGAGGCTGGGGGGCCCAACACTCCCAGCTCAGGACTGGAGGAAGAGGATGGAGCTGGAGAGGGAGGGACGAGGGTGTGGCATTGGTCAGGGAGGAGGAAAGGAAATGAGCAGTGGCCTGGGTGCTGGTGAGTGGACAGATGTACCTGGGCTGGAGAAGCCCCTGGGGCTTGGCCCTGAGGGTGGCCTTGGTGATGTGGGGAGAGTGGTTTGGACAGCGAGCTCAGGTGGAAGCCAGACTGTGGTGGGCTAAGGAGCAGTTGAGGAGGGAGGCACAGGATGTGAAAGGGAGAAGGTGCAGCTTGCAGGTGTGCCGAGGGTGAGCTGGGACTGTGGAGTCAAAGCTCTGGAGGGCACGCGGACACCGTTCCATATGACTTGTGTCCATCCAAGTGGGGTGAGGTGGACAGCCCTCCCTCACCAGCAAGGCCCAACCAACTCAGTGCCTTTCTTGTCACCCCCAGAGCCACCATCACTCATGTTCTTGAATGGGAACTGCCTGGAGACCCTGAAGAAGAAGGAGCCTGAAGGAGGAAGGAGGAGGCTGAGCCATCCCGGGAACATGGGCTGGATGAGGCCAAGCCAGGAGACGACACCACCAGATAGAAGTCACCATTCAGGATTTGGACTTTTCTGTGGAGATCCTGGCCCCGAGATCGAACCCTTCTCCCTGTGGGTATGATGGAGGAGGGGATCTGGGGACCAGGGCTTGAGCCTGCTGGGGAAGATGATGCTGGAAAACTCAGCCTTGCCCTGGCTCTTTCTGGCCCTGTGCTATAGGCAGGAAATGGAGGGCCCTGGGCCCTGCCCGGGGTCACTCTGCTAATGTGGTGGACCTGGGAATGGAGTCCGGGTTCAGTTACTGCCTTATTGCTAGAGGACAGCTACCAGCTGGGCCTACCAGCCCTGTTCAGGGAGAGGAGTGGGAATGGGTGGGTAGTGTCAGGTCCCAGGATGCCCCAGCCTCTTGGCTCTGTGCCCTCAGGCAAGTCACCTCTCTATGGGCCATGGCCTTACCATCTGTCACCGGGGCCTGGAGGGTGGTATTGGGTGTTCTCCAAGGACAGAGCAAACCCGGAGGACTTGCAAGCTGGTAACTTGGTGGGGAGCCTGGCAAGACCCTCTCATGTCCTCTCTACTCACAGGCTTGGGCCCTGGAGCACCCCTTCAGGAAGGAAAAGGCCATTTGCCCTGGGGCACTCAGCCCTTGGCACTAGGCAAGGGCAAGAGCAAGCCTGCCGTTCCCCCTCCCCACTTTCTTCCATCTCCCTCTCCTTGGCTCGGGGGTTGCTCTTAGGCTGCAGGAAGAGTCAGTGGGGCCAGGCTCTGTCCTGCACTTAGGCACACAGGTGCCAATGGGCATGCTGTATATGGACAGGGCCTGGAATGTAAAAGCCCAAAAGTGGGAAACTGAGTATTTGAGACACTTATTCTCAGGACCCAGGTGTTTTGGGCTGGGGAAGGGGTATGTCCTTGCTCCCTACCATGTGGCCTCTGACCGGGCTGGTCCGGGCCTTCTCCCTGGCAGGTGTTCCCGCAGGAGATGGTGCTGGAGATCCACCAGCTGTTCATGGACCATGAATACCCATGTCACCACATCACTTCTCACTGCACCTGGGTGGCAGCACACTGGACCACGTCTCAGAGCTGCGCAGCATGGCAGGGCTGCAGGCGGGCTTGCTGCTCCACGTGGTGGAAGGTTGGTCTGGAAGTTGGGCAGCCTGCCCAGGGAGGGCCCCTGTAAGCAGGGCCGGGCAACACTGCACTGCCCCAGCTGGTGTCTCTATTTCGCAGATGAGCATATGGAGGTGGGATTGGAGCACAAGTCTGCTTTTCAGGGCATCATACCTGCACTCTCTAACTTCATGGCCCAGGGGTGAAAAAACAGTTGAAATTCTGAAAAGAAAGTCAGGCAGTATGAAGCTAGGGCTTGGAATCCGCCCTATTAAATTATGAAAAGATGAGTGCTTAGTTTCCTAAAGAAACTAAAGTTTCACAGTCCTTGAGTGGGGAAGTCGGCTCCAAGCAGCACCATCAGCTGGTGTAGTGAGCCTGGCTTGGTTGTCAAATAAAAGCTTCCGTAGACTCAAGTTCTCTGGGTGAAGCACTCAGGTTCCCAGGGCCTGACTACTTGTGGAAAAGGTCTGTAGCTCAAGGGGGCCCACAGTTCATCACAATTTCTCCCTTCCTCCAAAACAATGACCATTAAAATCCCATGAAACTCAATGGGGGCGTTAAATTTGGCAGCCCTAGAAAGTTGTCAGGCCACCCCTGCATGAAGGCTGCCCCAGGAGAGCAGGGTGAGGCTGCAGAGGCCTAGCGCACAAAAAGCAGGAGGCCTTTTGTGGGCTCCCCAAGGCCTGTGTGTGCTTCAGAAGCAACTGGCAGGAGGTTCTTTGCAATCAAGGATTCTTGCCCTTAGCAAGCCAGGGTGTGTTGTGTGTGTGTTTGTGTGTGTGTGTAGGTGCGCACGTGCACACGTGTGTATTGAAACCAAACTCTAGCTTATGTGTCCATAGTGGAATTTGAAAATGGAAGCCTAAAGTTGAAAATTAAAATTATCCATGAAGTTTCCTTGCCAACTATTTACTAAGCTGGGTGGGTTGTTCCAGGGTGCAGGGCCCTGGTAACACCCTCCTCTCTCCTGTTCCTGACAGAGCCCTGCACAATGCACAAGGCCCACGGTGATGAGTGCCACATTTGAGACTGCTCAGGAGCCTGGACCCAGCTGATGCAGCTCCTTGTCCTTCCTGAGCGTCTTCACTGACAGTGGCCTGAGAGGTGTGGAGGCATTGGGGCCAGAGATTGGGCAGGGGGCAGAGGGGCAGGGAACAAGGAGGCCAGAGGCTGACGAAGGGGGCTTAAGGCCAGGCCTTTCTACCTGGAGGGGCCTGGGCCTGAGGAACCCAGACCAGGGCCACAGTTAGAGGCAGCTGGCCCTGGGTGCTTGTGTGCTGACCACCAGCCTTGGGTCTCACAGACGGCAGGAGCAGAAAGACTTGGAGATGGACCCCACCGACTGCACACCACCCAAGTACATCCTGCTAGGGACCCTGGAACAGCCACTGTGTCCCCTGCAACCCCAGAACGGTGACTAAAAGGTGGGACTCCAGGGAGGAGCAAGGAAGAGGGTCCCCGGGTGGGTGGAGGGCCACACACCAGGAGGCCTGGCCCATTCATGCTTGGCCATTCCTGCAGCCCCTGAAAGTGCTCACCGTGAGCGGCTGGTACCTGTCCCCTGGGAACTGCAAGATGCACAGGACCTTGTGTACCTGTTTGTGATCACAGCCGAGGACCAGCGAGGTAGCATTACCACATCCACACAGGGCTTTTACCATAACTGGTGAGTCCCTGCCAGCCTACCAGGGGCACCCACTCAGGGACCACCCTCTTCTTGTAGGTCTCCAGCCTGTCACTTCAACCCCAAGCCCACCAGCCCCCGCTTCCTAAGCAATTCGCAGGGGAGCTGCTCTGCCAGATCTGACTGCCTTTTACAGAACATTGTGCCCTGCGTCAGGGGAAGGGGAGTGCCTTTGCCCCGTCTGCTCCTGCCCCGCTTCATGTCACACAGGGGTCTGGGATGATTTGGCTAGCCCAAACTCAGTGCTTCTGCCCAAAGAAATTGTCCCCGGGCCCCCAGTGCCCAAGTCTCCCTCTAGGGAGCTGTGAACCAGCTCTGGCTAGAGCAGCCGTGAAGCAGCGCCCATGTGCTTCTGACTCGCCTTTCAGGGCAGCATCTCAGGGCCAGGAGAACCCAGAGCAGGTGAGGGCCTCGATGAAGAAGGAGCCTGTGGCAGCGTCCTGAGATTGGTGGGTGGCCCCATCTGCCTTTCCCCTGCCTGCCTTGAGGTCCAGTACCACCCATTCGAGAGGGGGCCACCTCATTCCAGGTGTGCAGCTGGATGGCCCCTGTGACGGAGTACACTGTGGACTGCAGTGTGGAGAGGCATCTGCACCTCAAGGCTGGGCTGTGAGGAGCACATTCCTGCATAGGGGCCTGTAGCCTGGCCCGGTCCTCAGTGGGAACCCCCTTCCTTCCTGGGTGCCAGGTGGGGTTCTGTGCACTTCCCTGAGGCTCCCCACAGGTCTGTTCATTGGGGAGTCTGGGGCTGTCTGTGGGGAGAGAGGAGAAGGGACTTCCCAGAGCAGGTTGCAGTGCACAGGCTGAGCCCATGTCTCCCTCCCTGGTCCCTCTGCAGCCCCAGTACTGGAACGAGGAGCTGCAGATGATGAGGGACCTACCCAACAAGAACCAACCTGAGCAGCTGCTTCAAGAAAAAGCCATGTTCAAGGTGCCTGAATCCCCTGGTAAGTGAGTGACAGCCTCACAGCCTCAGGCCCACCTGGCTCCTGCTGGAAGGTTTTCTTGTGCTCGGGAGAGAAGTGAGGGAAGCCGGCAGTCCCAGCCCTGTCAGGTGCCCTGAAGGCCCGTCAGGTTTGCCCTGCAAGGCCTTCTAGCATTCTGCTTCCTGGGAGACCATCCCCCACCTTTCTCCGGCCTCTGAGACTTTGAGTCCTTGGGAGGAGAAGGCCCTCCTTGCTATCTGGGCTGAGTGGCCAGGGCCATCCAGCTTCCCACCCTCCACTGACTGCCATGGGGCCCTCCCCTGAGCACATGGTGCCCAACTGTAGCCCTTCTAGGGCAGGGGCTCATTGGCAGCACTTGCAGCTTGCTGGCACTTAAAAGTCATTAGTGCGGTTACTGAGAGAAATGAGGAAAAAATAATTGTTAAAAAAAAAAAAAAATCTCTCCTAAACTTACTGTGTAACATGGAAGAAGTAACAGCCAAAATTTCTTGGGTACTAACTTTACCAGGATGATTCCAAGTGCTTTATAAGCATTATTTCCTATAATCTTTTGGACCCCTTGTAAATGTCAATACTTTCCATCATCATCGTTGCATAGACAAGAAACTGGGTCTGAAGTTACCTGCCCTGGTTTGCCTGGCACATAGCTGGTGGATCCCAAACCTGCCGCAGCCCTCATACTCCTTGGTAGCCACTAAACTCTGTGCCTCTTTAAGCATAAGTGTTTACTTTTTTGTAGAAATGATTTTCTTGCCCTTCTCTAAATATAAGGAAACTGAGGCAAGGGTCTCTGGCTCCCAAGGCAGGCCTGGTTGCCTCTCCCATCTTGGCGAGCTGGACCAGGTGGATGTAGCCTGAGGCTTTTGTGGGCATGGCCTCTCACCCTCCCAGCCTTGGTCCCTCCCAGGTACACAGCAACTTCAGAATGGCAGCCACATGGGGCGCCATGGTAGTCAGGGAGGCATCGTCATGGCCATCAGTCCCAGTGAGGAGACCAAGCTGCAGATGTTCATGTGGAGCCGCATCATCTTCAGCCTGGGCTTTGTCATTAGTGGCCACTACAAGGACTTTGCCAGGGATGTGGCAGCCTCCATAGCATTCACCAATGACCTGAACGGTGAGCACCCGCACAAGGCAGCGGACATGGAGGGTCTGTACACGCTGGACACAGCAGAGGTGGATGACCGCAGCTACTGGGTCAGGTTCCAGTCCTCATCCCTGGCATCCTGGAGTGGGACCAGGAGCAGAGTGTCATCTATGGCTCCACTGACTTTGTAAGATGGTGGTGTGGCCCCCATCGTGTTGCCTGGATCTGCTGGAGCATGAGTTAACTGCTCAAGACCCTGTGCCACTGCATGCTCAACCAGTGCAACGATGAGGCGGAGCTCTTCTCGGTTGAGGGCAAGGGTGTCACTGGCAATGACAGATACTACCTGCTGAGCCCCCTCCCCCTGACCTCAGCTTCCTGCCTGTGCCCCACAAGGAGCTGCCAGAGGAGTGCTCCCATGCCAGCTTCCCCTGCACCCACAGGCACAGGTTCTGTCGCTTGTGCCAGGAGCTGGTGGATGTCTTTGTGGAGCACAGTTGAGGAGCAGCCCTGTGAGGCTGAGGCTGCAGCCAGCTGCACTCTGCTGCGGGCACGGGCACCCTGGGTTGTTCTGGGGCTGGATCGTTGAAGAGAGAAGCTCTGGACAGTGAAGAAGAGCTCGTTTTGGCCACACTCACTAGAGCCCCTTTCCCATCCCCCACCCACCTGCCATCAGGCTCCCAGATGCAGAATCTGGAGCTTTGTGTTGGTTGCAAGCCAGCAAGCAGTCAAACCAGTGACCCAGCTGAGCTGTGCTGTTCTCCTAAGGAGCATTTGGAAGTCACTGGGTGGGTTGTGAAGGTCACAGTCCCTGAGTGTTGGTGCTGCTGGTTTTTAGTGCTTAGGAGTTGGCCATGTTAAATTTCCCACACCACAAGTAACTCTTTTCCAGAAGCCAGTGGCATTCCTGTCTCTGTTGGAAGTCCTGGTCTGAATGTGGACCCTCTCTCCCCGACCTCTATACTCTGGCTGTCTTCTTCCTGTCTGGGGAGATCTGGCAGCCACCACCTTGTTGCCTGGGTCTGTGAGAGCAAAGCTGAGTTCTGGTCCGGCTTGTAGCAGAAGAAGGAATTTGACAACATCTATAAGGCCCAGGTGGGCTGTGGCAGGGCCGGTGGGTTGAGCTGCGCCTGTAGGCTGTGGGCAGCTAATCCTTTCCTGCCTGTGCTCTCTCCCCTGTTTTTTGGTGAGAACCACGAGAAGGAAAGCTCCGAGATCCTCAAGTGCCTGGCCCAGCAGGCCATGGCCCAGCAGCACACTGTGAATGGGAGATACTGGTCGGCTGCAGTGCCAGCATCCTGCCCCTCCAGCTATATCCCTGGGTGGAGCTGGGCCCCCACCCGGCCTGGGTAGGATGAGCCTCACTCACAGCTCATCCCCCCACGGCCCCTCAGTTCACAGCCCCCAGTATGGCCAGCGTCTTGGAGCAGCTCCAGGTCATCGGTGATGTCCTCTTCATTCTTCTCAGCTGAGGCCCCTCCATGGCTCCCTACTTAGAAGTTGGCCTTTAGTTTTTTAAGATATGTAATAGGCTGACATGGCTCAAAATTGAAAAGTGTAGCCAGTGATGAGAACTTCCTTGTGAATCCTTCCAGAAATACTCCATGTGATCTTTATCCCCCTCTTTTTTTTTCTTTGGAATTGTGGCATGCCACGTATGAAGGTTATTATTGTTTACTTCATTTAACAACGTATCTTGGTGATCTTCCATTTCAGTTCCTAGGTAGTGGCTTTATTCCTTCCTAGGCTGCCTGTGGTTCCAGTGCAAAATGTGCCTTAGGAGCAGGCCCTGAGGACTCCCGCGGTGCTGTCACAAGCAGTGCTGCCTTTGGGAGCCCCTAACCTCCTGCTTTTTCTCTCCTCAGTGTGGGAAAGGGGTTTGGTCAGCCAGGGGTGTCAGCAGCCCTGTCCCACACCCATTGTCTACACCTAATCTGGTGGCAGGGAGGCCACAGAGTGCAGTGATTGGAACTGGGTGAGAGGGTTAGAGGCAACTGGGCCCTAGGCCGAGTCAAGTGCATGGAATCCTGACTGTCAGCAATTAGGGATCTTTCTGCTTTTGGGAGGGAAGTACTTGTTCCACGCGTCTCACTGAATATGGCACGGAACCTGATCTGTCCCAAGTGGGAGTTTAACCAAGCTAGCGGGGGCCCAGGGCCCTGGCCCAGTCTGACACCTACCTCCTCTCCCACCTTCTACTCACCCAGAAGACTAGGAGAATCTGAAAGCAGAGGTGGTGCAGCGTCACTAGCTCCAGGAATCCAGAAAAACAGGGATAGGGCATTCTGGGAGGTTGAAGTGGGTGGATCACTTGAGCTCAAGAGTTGGAGATCAGTCTAGGAAACACGATGAAACCCCATCTACACAAAGCAAAAATTAGCTTGGCGTGGTGGCGCGACCTGTAGTCCCAGCTACTCAGCAGGCTGAGGTGGAGGATCGCTTGAGCCTGAGAGGTCCAGGCTGCAGTGAGCCATGATTGTGCCACTGCACTCCAGCCTGGGTGATAGAGTGAGACCCTGTCTCAAAAAAACAAAACCAAAAAAACAGAGCTAGGGCTGGGGACCCCTATGGCCACTGAATCTGAGCCCCTGGGGGCAGAGGAACTGAGCTCCCAGCCCTGTGGCTGCCAAGGATCCTTTTTCCTTGAGCTTGCAGGGATTGAGAGAGAGAGAGTCAGCGGCCCTGATGTTAGCGATGCAGACTCCAGGAGAAGGGGGCATGCTCGCAGTTTAGAGGAAGTGAGCCCCTCTTCCACGTTCCACTCCCACCATCCTCCTGGGACCCCAGCCTGCATGCCCCCCAAAAGATGCTTTTGCACTGATTCAACAAAGCCTAAAGATGCAAAGGCCTAATTGAAGACCTGTGAATGGCATGTACGGTCCTCAGTTCCCAGCTGAGGGGCCACTCGGGCTCCCCATATTCCCCTCAGCCTCTCCATCTTCCAACAGGGGTGTGGAGTGCATCCATGGCCATGAGTATTGATCTGTCCCAGCCTGTGCATTGCTCCGAGGCAGTTCTGAGTGGATGATGTACAGATGGGATTCCTCAGCTCATTTGCGTGGTTGACGTTATGGCTGCTGGTTTTACTGCCACAACTCCCAGGCCCAACCTGGCTTAATGTCTAAGTTTTAAGCCAAAAAAGATGGGGAGCAGAGCTTTGTGGCAGGGCTGGGGGTTGGGGTCCACTTTAGTTTTGTGGCAGGATGAAGGCTGCAGTGGTTTTATTAATCATGATTGGCCTGGCCGTAGCTCCAGGCTGAGAGGGACAGGTTTGTCAGTGGTGGTCCCCCAGATGTCCCTGTGCCCAGCCCTGGCCTGTCTGCCCTCAGGCCCAGCAGGAGGCGCTACCACAGGCTCTGACTGGCGTCCCTACTCCCTGTACCCCAGATGGACAGAACCTTCGGGTCTACAGTCGGAATATATCATTCTCCCCATTTTAACCTGAGCTGCCTGACACACGGAGGGTGTGCTGGGTAAGGGGCCTAGGGAGCCAGGGTTGAATCATGGATCCTGGGGAAAGGTTGCAGACACAGGAAGGGTTGTCACCTCTCTGTGGAGCCCTGCTGCTTACCACACAGCACCTTCTGCAGAGACTAGCTCTGAGGGTGGCAGGGGACCCCACAGGCCATGGCCACTCCCTCTCTGCACCTGTCCGTGCCTGCTGTGGAAGCCTGGACTGGGGGAGGAGATTGCTACCCTGTGAGCCTGAGGGAGCCACGTCCAGCTGTGACCTCTACCTGGGGCTTTACAGAGAGTTGTTTATGGGTAACAGACACCTTGTTTCAGAGGGAATGGGCATGAGCTGGCAAGTGAAGCACCCCCACAGCTTATCAGGAACTTTTTCTCATTTTTAAACCATCATGTCTTCATTTCACATTGGAATAAAGTGAGGTTTTGGAACCTGCTGCCCCAGTCTCTGGATTGTGAGGGCTGTTGTCAAACAGGTTACTAGGAGAGGAATATGTATAAATTAGCTCAAATTCAAGGTTATGCTTGTAATGTCACCTGAGTGGGAAGTAAGAGGGTGGAGTCACAGGCACTCAGCTGGGATTTACCTGGCCTCGTCACTAGACTAATGGGATTGTGGCACAGGTGAACATCCCGTCATTGGAGAAGAAAGGCTGGATTGAAGGCCAGGTGGGGGAGGGGTGCTAGGCTGTGGGGTCAGGCCCTGGGCATGCTGGACCTGTTAGGTCACTGAACATCTGACTGGGCACCTGCCCAGATTTGTCCCTTCAGTTGAGGTGGGATTGGCAGCACTCCCCAGAAGGCGTGCAGTGCCGGGAGAGTGGAGGAGGGTCTGACGTTTGCTATCCTGTGGTAGGTTTTAGAGCTAACTAGATGCTTGTGGAGAGCTAATGACATGGGAAGAAGGCAGCCCACCTTGATGGACCGGAGGGTTAGAGCCTGCGATGTGAGAAGCGGGTGTGTGGAGGTGGCCTGTCTACAAGAGGGCAAGTTTAAGGCCCATTGCAGTGGCACTATCTCAGCTCACTGCAGCTGGTGGCTGCCAGGCCATCCCTCTCCAGAGCAGGGAGGCCCTCAGCCTTATGTATAATTGAATGCCTTTTGGGATGCTTGGATAGTCCTTTATGTCTTGGAAATTCAGAAAAGAAAAAAAAAATTACAATCCTCCTGTCTGTTAGTTTCCCTGAGCCAACTGGATAAAAGATGTCCCTGACCCCAAGATTTTAAGTGACACCCAAGGGAAGCCACCGTTACCTTGGCTGTTGAAGCCTCCTGCATGCTCCCCAAAAACCCCAGCAGTTTCCTCTGCAGTCCCACAGTTATGTCCTGAGCAGTGGGGTACCGTGTGATGAGAGGTGCTAAGGATGGGATGAGGGTCTTTCCTGTGTTATTAGAACGGTTAAAAAGTTGTTTTAAAGGTGCCCAAATGCCCTCCTTCTTAAACTTAATTAGCTAATAAGATGCCTTATACAAGCAAAACCAGGTACGGGAAAGCAAGTGCATTTCAAGTCCAAGCTCACCCCTTAAATTAGCTGTAATACCCTCAGCAGGTGGCCCCACCTCAATGAGCCTGTCTCCCATTCAAAAAGCAGAACGAGTGAGAGGGCGGGGCCTGGAGCTTTACCCAATCAGTGGCGTCGGAGTGGAAATCCTCCAATCGGGAGTAGCCGGAGAGCAGGGGCGGCTTCCGGGATTTGGCGGTGGCCTTTGTTGGCTGCAGTAAGAGCTCAGTCTCTTCACCAGGGGCTCCCAGTCCTTCCATCTGGGAGGCCAAGGCGGCTTCGCGTTCTGAGAATAGACAGAACCTCTGTTACTCTGTGACCGGCAGGCACCGGGAGATCCGTAGCTCAGACGCCAGGACATCCCGGAAGCTGGGAAATGGTGAATGTGCCAGGTCGGGGGTCCCCAGAAGAGGGAGAGGGGCGGTCGGAAGCGGCGGGAACCCTCTTTGAGGTTAGCTTCGGGGTCTGGGCCCTGAGTCCCCGCGGACGCAACTCGGCCCTTGGTCCCCTCCGCCGCAAGATGGCGGCCGGGCCGGCAGCCGGGACCCCGCGCGTCCGGTCCCCTCCCGACCCCGCAGAGCGACCTCTGCCATGGCCGGAGCCGTCTTTGGGTCGCCGCAGCCCGGCGTCTCCCGAGATTGTGCGGTGAGAACGTGAGGGTCTTAGGGGAAATCCCGGGTCGGCGTGTGATTCGTGTGTGGGAAGATACTGTGCCCCGTGGTGTCCCAGTCTCCTTTTTCCTCTTACAAATTAAGGGGAGTCACCCTTAAAGCGTTAAAGGGTTGATTTAGGTAAACAGCGATTGGTGAAATGGGAAGCCTGCCGCCGTGGTTTGTGGTTTAGGGTCCTCTGGAGCAGCGATTTCAAAATCCCAGGGCTCAGCTTAGGAATGCTGCTGGGGAAAAGAAATAGGGACAATCTCTCTTCCACTTTGGCTGTAGAAAACGAATACATTTCCACAGAAAGTGTGCTAGATTAATTGGTCAATTACAAACATTCATTAAAATATCAGGTCCTCTCTTTTGCAGTGGAGGATTTGTGACAGTGGATATCTGTGTTCCATATTCTACTGCTATCTGGATGTCCGACTTTAATGCCAAATGTTATGAGACAGGACTTGGCACCTCCTAGAAGTGTTCACATATACTAAATGATCTGCTATTATGGAAATAATTAAATGACATGTTTCTTGCTCGAAAGAGGTATTTTGGCCTTACCTGTTGAAGTATAAAGTGTAAGTGCCTTACAGTTTCCTTCCTTTCTATAAAAACTGTTTTGAGTGATTTTGCTATTTTCCTGAAACCTGTTAGGTCACTGAACATCTGACTGGCTGGGCACCTGCTCCTGTCCCTTCAGTTGAGGTAGGATTGGCAGCACTCCCCAGAAGGCGTGCAGTGCCAGGAGAGTGGAGGAAGGTCTGACGTTTGCTATCCTGGGGTAGGTTTTAGAGCTCGCTAGATGCTTGTGGAGAGCTGATGAGATGGGAAGAAGGCACCCCACCTCGATGGACCTGAAAGAGAGAGCCTGCGAATTGAGAAGCGGGTGTGTGGAATAACCCTGACTAGGCATAGAAGACCTCAGTCTTATTTGAGCCTGCAAAAGGAGGTCATTGAAGGCCCAGTTAGTTCTTCCTGGGGAGCGCCCCCTTCAGGTGTCCCTGAGGTTCACAGCAGCCATGGAGGGAGCCCTTTGTTACTGGGAGAAGCTGCAGAGTTCTGGAAAGCAGGGGATTCACAGGCGGATGTGGTCGAGGTTGGGCTGGAAGGGAGATTGGGAAGCTCTTTCTGAGGGTGGAATTGTTAGTGTCCTGGGGCTGTTTCTTGACTTGGTCAAATAAAACATCTGGATATAGGTAAGAAGTGCCTTAATTGTAAAGGAGTATTGCAAGAGGAGGAAAGCACCAACTGTAAGATATTTGTGGATCTCACAGTTGAAGCAGAAAAGGCCTTTCTTTCATAGGGAGGAGCAAACATGATTCAAGGTGGGAGGGGAAGGGCACGACTCCTGGACTAAATCAGATCCCTGATCAGAGAATGTTTCACCCTGAAGTCAGCCTGTTCTTAGGAGGGGCATAAAGAGGGGTTGAATGTTGACTCAGGCTGTGGGTGGGACAAACCTCAGGCACCTTGGAGAAGGGGAGAAATTTAAGCAACTTTGGTTAACACATATTTTGTTTTGACCATCGAAGATAAAACTCTTTATTTAATTGCTTATGAGGGGGAAAAAAAGGAAATAGGAGAGTTTGTGGCTTTGTGATACCTAAAACAGGGAGCATCATCTAAGTCATAACAGGAAGAAGATTCTTTGCAGTAAGCTGCTCTTGAAGAACAAAAAGGAAGGGGGATTTCTTTCATCACAGCTGCTTCCCAGGGTTAACTACCTACTCCATCTTTTCCCCACTCCTTTCTCTTGCCCTACACATCTCTTCCATTAGGCTGAGTTGTATCTTTTATAATAAACTGGTCAATGCAATTACAGTCTTTGCTGAGTTCTGTGAATCCTTGTATAAAATTAATGAACTTGAGTAGGGTATTATGGGAGGCCCTAACTTACAGGCAGTAGCTCAGAAGTATAGATGGCCCCTGGGGAATTGTGACTGGCATCTGTAGAGGGGCAGTGTTGTGGCACTGAACTCTGAACTTGTGGGGTCTGTGCTGCCTCTGGGTGCTGTCAGAATTGAGTTGTTGGACAACCAGTTGGTGTTGGAGAATTGGCTGGTGTTCAGCAAACTCCACACAGTGTCATAAAAAAGATAGCACAGGGACCTGGGCTGGAGAGAGACTCTGGGTGTCTCCAGGAAGGGAGGCTGTATTCCCCTGCACACAGACTGTCACCCTACACATTGTCCTGTGATTCCACGTCTCCTCCCAGGGTGAGAAGCGACTGAGGACAGAAAGGGAAGAAGTTCTGAGAACAGACCCCTGCCCCCACTGTGCTGCCACCACATAATTCCCACCCACTCTGAACACACCCACTAGGCACTGGCGTCGCCATGCCCCTTTCAGGACAAGACATGACCCTCAGGAATTGTGCCCATAGCACCTTTGCTCCTAGAGTTTCCTGCCAAAATTCCCATACAGGTGCCTAGAGGACTCCTGGCTTATCCTTGCCCCCAGACCCTGAAACTGCAGCAGCAACCCAGTCCCTCCATCAACCTAGGCTTGTGGACCACCCAGTCATAGTCTCATCTGCCTGCATGGACACAGGAGTAAGTCAGAGCATAGCCTTGCCTGGGCCAGTATCTGTAGCACAAACCAGTCCTTCCACCAGTTCTGCACTGCCCCCCATGTGAGAGTTCTTAGTAGCACCTTCCCTTCTGCCTTTTAACTTCCCCACAAACCCTGACAGGGTCTCTCACTGTGTCGCCCAGGCTGGAGTGCAGTGGCATGATCATGCAGTCTTGACGTCCCTGGGCTCAGGTGATCCTCCCACCTCAGCCTCCCCAATCACTGGGACTGGAGGCATGTGCCCCCCACACCTGGCTAATTTTTGCAATTTTTGTAGAGACAGGGAGGGTCTCAATATGTTGCCCAGGCTCATCACGAACTCCTGGGCTCAAGTGATCCACCTGCCTCTGCCTCCCAAAGTGCTGGGATTACAGGCGTGAGCCACCATGCCTGGCCCACAAACCCCTTTTTATGTGCATGCGGTGTGTCCAAGGCAAATCCTCAGGTGCCTGAATCTAGCGCCTGCTGGAATTCAGATGTCCATTAATTCAAGATTATGGCCCTAGATCTCCCAGTTGTGAGAACAAATACAAATTAAAAATATGAGACTTAACTCTTCTTGAAAATAAGGGAAGACATATTTCTCTCCTTCTTTTTCTTGAATCATTTACTTTAGAGAATTTTTGTATGTAAGTTTTTTTCTGCCTTTTGGAAATATGTCTAAATCATTGTAACAGCTAAACAGATCTTTTGTCTTTTGTCAGTCAGTCTTTGTTTTTTTTTTTTTTTTTTTTTTTGAGTCTTGCTGTGTTGCCCAGGCTGGAGTGCAGTGGTGCGTTCTTGGCTCACTGCAACCTCTGCCTCTTGGGTTCAAGCGATTCTCCTGCCTAGCCTCCCAAGTAGCTGGGATTATAGGTGCCTGCCACCACACAGGGCTAGTTTTTGTATTTTTAGTAGAGATGGGGTTTCACCATGTTGTCCAGGCTGGTCTCAAACTCCTGACTTCAGGTGATCTGCCTGCCTCGGCCTCCCAAAGTGCTGGGATTACAGGCGTGAGCCACTGTGCCTGGCTGTCAGTTTTTGATTCGGGACATTCTTTCTCTAGGACTGGGAATCATTGATTTGAACTATAGGTAGCAAAGAAGATAGAGCCGTATCTTACAGTTTCTTTAGGAGAGCAGGCATCTACCTTCAGGCCCCTGGCTCCAAGTTGCAAATGTACCTACCTGTCTTGAAGACATGAAGTTTATTTTTCCTTTAACTATATAGCCAAATAAAAACCACAGATGGCCTCCCAATTCCCAGGTGAATTTAGGATGAACTCTTATCTGACAAATGGTGCTGTCAGGTCTTCTATTGAGGACTAATTATGGTGACTTTTCATGAGTGAGTGTTTTTCCAATCTCTTAGCAGATTGCCTGTAATGTCCTTCACATTCTGGTCTCATTGTGTCATAGAACAGTTTTCTTTCGTTTCTACCATTGTGCATCATTTTTCTCATGATTCTGTTTTTAATTATATTTCCCAAACACTGAGAAATGTAAGGTGCCCACCAGGCCTCACTCTAGAGGGGATGTTCCCTCTAAGACTTCCTGTCACAACCCACATTTGTGCAGCAAAGTGCCTATTGCCCCGAAAATCTGCAGGCAGAATGGTCTTTCTGCTTGTTTGGAATCTTTAATCCCTTCTAGAAGAGTTTGGCCAGATTTCTACAAAAATAAGTTCACAGGGCATCAGTTAGCCATTCCAGCTCTGTCTTTCCATGCCCCTGGCATCTTCAGACCTGAAACCGATTCAGAGACCATGGGGGCTGGAAACCAACCAGGCACACACATGCATTGAGTAGGCCTGAGAATCTCAACATTCCCCTCATCCTCTTGCCCAAATGCCCATGAATGTGCAGAAGGTGCGTGCCACTTCTCTGCCCCTCCAGCACCTAAATCTGTAGCTCCAAATGTTGAACCCAGGTCCTGGGGTTCTCCAGGATGTGTGAGAGCAGAATTCCTGAGGGGCTGTCTCCTCTAGTTTTCTTCACAGCAACACCCAAGAATGCAGAGCCAGGTTGATTCCACCTGGAGTCTGCACATAAAGGCTGGTCTCCACCTGGGATCCACAAGACAGGGCCAGACTTTGGACTGAGGATGTATAGAAAATCCAGGGGACATTTTCTGCATTATGAGAGATTGACATAGACCTTGTAAAGCCCTACTTTTTGTGTGGGGTCTTTTAAGTTTTCCAGATCTTGTCCAGTGAGCTGCTGCAGTTCTGTGAGGGCCTTCTGGTCTAAGCAGAACATGGTGGCAGAATCTGTAAGTGTAAAGCAGCACCTTAGCAGAGGGAGGGCAGGGCCACAACTGTCCAGAGCCGTGAGTGAAGCTACACCTACCTGTGAGCTGTGTTACTGGAGTAGGGTAATCTTGTCCTTTCTTGTACCCAAGAGTTAGCTGATCAGGTATAGGTAATACTACACGTGGATCCAGAATCTGTGGCTCCACTGGGGCAGTTCCACTTTGTATCCTGGCCCCACAGAGTCAGCCTGAGTCTCTCCTGCCCAAATCACTACTGGGGCATCAGTACAGGATCACCAGGAACTCCCTCACCAGCACCTTGGAGTCCTTGGGACATTTGGTGATGTCCTGTGCAGACTGAGGTCAGGCTGACAACAGGGTCTAATTTCTTTCCATCTCAGAAGGAAAGGAATGCATCATCCAGGATTTGTTCCTCCACTCACAGAAGGAATCTCTTTATTTGGTATCCAAATGGGATTTGCTCCAGTTTTCTAATACGTGGACGAAGAACAAAGAGGAGTTCTGGAGACTCATACTGATAGGTAAACCAATTGCTTCCATTTCATATGGCCATTAGAAAAACATTTGTAGCAGCCATAGTCCCTACCATCTGGGAACTTTCAGTCTAGAGCAGATGGATAATGGCCAAATTCAGCATCATGTGATCCGGTGCAAGCACGGAGGTATACAGGGAACTTGGGCTTGATTTGGGACACTGTCCTTATTTGACCTTGTGAGTTCTGATGTCACAATCTGAAGGGCCACCCATGGACAGAAGAGTTGTTATTATTATTTCTATTGATTTTCTCTTGATTTGCTTTTTAATATAATTTTCCCAGAAGGCCCTACATGTTTTGATTAAATTGCTTGTTAATGGATTTACAAAATACTTAAGGATGAAACAAACAGTTAAAATCAGAAAAACTCTGGGAGTCAAGTTCTTGTGGTCAAAAATCAGAAAAACTCTGGGAGTCAAGTTCTTGTGGCCAGGCTTAGGAAAGACAGGACTTAAATCAGCAACATAGAGATGGGAAGCCTAGGGCCTGACCCGTGTCCCTAGCCTTGCTCTGCCCCAACCCTGCCCAAATGCACCCTCTTCTGAGCTTGGTTCAGGTCTGGCCCCACCTTGGAGCCTACCCTCACAGAACTGTTTGTTGGAGATCAGACTTCTGAGTGGTTGCTCTTGCTGGTTCTCCAGAGCTAGTGCTCACAATTTCCCCAAACCCAAAAGCAGTTAAATGGGAGCAAAGGACAATATGGGGGCCTGAATTTTTTTCTTCATTGAGAACAGTGTTTCTAGAGACATCCCACCTGGCAACCTTTTTCCATTCCTGCAGACCCAGTAGTTGCTTCACAAGTAGTAACAAAGTCAATGTAAAGACTACAGTGAGAAATCCTTAAGAACTAAACTTCACCCTTCTTTTCCGTATCTCTCCCATCTGTCTATAGTTAGCTTTTATAGTGACAGGGAAACAGAAGAAGAGAGAGAAAGGCTAGGCCATTATCTAAATCCTGCTGGGAATTATGGGATACTCAGGACCCACATCCCAGGGGTTTATATGGCTTAACTCACACCATGTGATGTTGCCAGCACAGTGCATACTGTGAGCACACAGTACAAGCTCAGTAAACACTGCTTTAATGCATGTATCCATGCTGTTTTCCAAATGCTGACTTAGATGTTACTGTCCTCTCCAGCCTCTGTAGACTTTAAATGGCTGGCAAAGGATGTGATTTTTCAGGACAGTGGTTGGTGGTCCTCGCTGTGAATGAAAAGTATTTGCGTTGTGATTAGAGTATTGGGTGTAAGGGACCCTGTGTTTTGTGCCCGCTTCCTCTAGCTGTGTGCTACTGATTATGGGTCTTAAGCCAATTCATGGAACTTTTCCAAACCTGCAGAATCACAGTACTTAGCACGGGCCCCAGAATACCAAATGATGTGTATGCATATTGAAGCTTGAGAGGGAATGCTTAGTTAAGTGATTCTCAGCTCAGGCTTCTAAGTAGAGTCACATGGCCAGTTTTAAGAAATATGGCCACCTGTATGTTCCTCCACATATTCTGTTTATTATTATACCCAGACTATGATTTACTTTTTTCCCCCACTAATATACAACGATTATGGGTCCATCAGTGCGTGAGCATTGATACCAATTCGTCTCATTACAGTCGATGCTAACTTCATTCACCTGGTTCAGGTGCTCTCTGCCAGATTCCTTCACTAGTTATTTTTCTCTTTGTTGTTAATGTGTTTCTAGGAGGGAGGATTTACTGAGTGATGCATGTAAACCATCATGTTTAATCCAGAGACTGCCATTTCTCTTTAGTTTCCCTTTGCTTGTGGGTTGCTTTGGAGAGTGAAGGCTCTCACATTTGTTGACCGTAAATACTGGTTTTTGAAACTGGAAATTCTGAAACAAGCCTCACTTCTGTAGGTTTCCATTTTAATTTGCTAATTTCACAAGCATACACTCCTTTATTCTCTGTATTTTCAGAGAAAGATAACAACAATTAACATATAATTAATATATCTACTGTCTTAAAATTCTAAAATATAACAGCACTTAGAATAAATAAAAACTTGGGGAAAAGAACTAGACTCAGAAACACAAGCTCTTATTTTAGTTTATGTCATTGAATGTGTTAGTCTTCATAGTTTGTTAAAAAACAGAAAAAGCCATCATCCATATAGTTTTAACACAATTTAAAATATTTCTTAATTAAGAAATGTTCTGTCACTTTTCATGTATGTATAGTTACCATTTCTATGTACGTATGTGCGTGTGACATAAGCATCATTTGATCAGTTTTGTGTTGCTGCCTTCCTGTTTTCATCTTCTTCTCAGTTGTGACACCTGCTCTGAACATTCTTTTTTACTTATCTCTGCATATTGGCCTGTATGTCCCTTTAAAATGAATTCTAAGTTAGATACTGGGGTAAAATAATAAATAAAAAAATAAATAAATATAAATAAATAATAAAATAAGCTCTACTATATACTAGATATTTGGCAAAAAATTTTTTTTCAGGCTTGAGACAGAGAGGGGAAGGGTCAGCAAAATATTTTTATTAAAGAGGAAGAATAGTATTATTTCTCATATAGATTTTTGTGGTTTTTATCAATACATGAAAAACTGCTAGGATGACATCTAGTAAATAGTAAGTGTTCAAAAAGGATTCTACTATTCTTGCTATTATGTTATAACCTGTAAATTTCATAAAACTCTCAATTCCACATCATCCCTGAATTCTTCGTTCAGTGTTCAACCTCTCTGCTATTCAAAAGTGTGGCCTCTGGACCTGAGGCATTGGTGTCACTGGTAAGCTTGTTAAAAATGCGGAAACGCAGCCCCAGCCCCAGCCCCAGATCTCCTGAATCAGAATCTGCATTTGAACCAGTTCTGCAGTTTATTGCTGAACACAATAAAATTTCAGAAGTATGCCTCTAAGTCACCATGACTTTTCCACCTGAGAATTATATACAACTGATTGTGGATGATGTAAATATAGACTAAAAAATGTATACTCCTATGTTGATGCGTTAGTTTTTTGTTTTTTGTTTTTTTGTTTTTGTTTTTTGAGACGGAATTTCGCTCTTGTTGCTCAGGCTGGAGTTCAGTGGTGCAATCTTGGCTCACTGCAACCTCCACTTCCTGGTTCAAGTGATTCTCCTGCCTCAGGTTCCTGAGTAGCTGGGATTACAGGCATGTGCCACCACGCCCAGCTAATTTTTTGTATTTTTAGTAGAGATGGGGTTTCATCATGTTGGCCAGGCTAGTCTCGAACTTAGGTGATCCACCCATCTCGGCATCCCAAAGTGCTGAGATTACAGGTATGAGCTACCGCGCCCGGCCTCGATGCCTTAGTTTTATACTTTATATTCCATATAGGCATAGTATCTACACTGGTTTTGTGGATTTTGTATCATTCTCTTTCCACAGAGTTAGAGAATACATAGAAAATATTATTGTGTTTAAAAGTATCTTATTGAATATTTCAGGTCACTCATATAAATCAGTCAGTTTTCTTAGCTCTCTTATTTCATCTTGGTTTGTCAAGTGATGAACTCTGCCCATGGCCACATGGTCAATGTGCTATTTATTTTTATTTCAGGGACTGTTGACATTCAGGGATGTGGCCATAGAATTCTCTCGGGAGGAGTGGGAACACCTGGACTCAGATCAGAAGCTTTTATATGGGGATGTGATGTTAGAGAACTACGGAAACCTGGTCTCTCTGGGTGAGGATAACTTGCCTTTGGAATATCTAATATCTAATAACTAAGGGTTTTATTTCTTTCCTTTGTAGAATGTCACTTGGGAGCTTATGCTTTATATGAATGAATTCAGATTCCTGTTTCCAGGAAAAAAAAATTGTGGGTTTGTTGTAGAAAAGACTTCCTAATGTTTGATCTTGACATTTGCCTTCTTTCTTGAGGTGATGTAGAAGCTTCACTCTAGTTTAGTAGTGATTCTAGAAAATTGAGTGACATAAACTATCATTGCCCACACTTTAAAATCTAATTCCTTCTCCTTATTTTTGATTTAGTCATACTTGGAAGTGAAGCTCAGGATTCCTGTGTTTAAAATGCTTCCTGAATATTCTAAAGAAGCTGACAGGAAACAGTATTTGGGGAAGTAATTTTCTAGGATCCTCTATAATGTTCCCTCTTTACTGAGTATCCTACTGAGCTGGCAATTAAAGAACTCCCAGCAAGAGTCATGTGACTTTTTCTAATAAAACAGGTCTCGCTGTCTCTAAGCCGGACCTGATCACCTTTTTGGAGCAAAGGAAAGAGCCCTGGAATGTGAAGAGTGCAGAGACAGTAGCCATCCAGCCAGGTAGGTGGGAGTGAATGAAGTAGATGACATGGGCGAGAGGTCCAGAGATTAAGAAAGAACCAGACCTTGAAGTGTGGATTGGGAAGTTCTCCAGTGGAAATGATTTTTGAGACACCTGGGTTTATTTCTTTCTCTTGCTGCTGTCACAGAGGGACATCTTCTGTCTCATATTCTTAAATTATCTGATTATTCTCCTTACCCTTCTGTGATCCACCATCAAATTCACAGTGACAGCCAAAGTGCTCCCCTTGGCCTGTGAGGGCCTGCGTGATCTGACTGTTCTTCCATTGATTTGGGGGCTCTGGGAAAGTCTGTGCATGTTTCTACCTCTATGTGAAACCACTTCTAAAGTTCTGGTTTTGCCTCATGTCAGAAGTGTGTGAGGCGAGTGATGGACAGTAGGATTTTTTTCAGAAGTCCCAGGAATTCTGTGGATAGATGTCACATATTTTCTGGTATATTAATTTCTAATCCTATGGTGGTTTCCCAGATGATCCTACAAAAATTGAGACTCAGTAATTCATCAGAGTGCAAAACATCTTCCTAAATATAAAAAAAAATCTGATTCTGTATTTCACTTCAACTTTTCATCTTTCCTAGCCTAAACTAAGATTAGAAATATAATCTCTGTATGCACAAATTCCACAGATTTAAAATCATTTAATATATTACTTACTATGTAGAATTCTTAACTAAATGAATGTCTATGGGAAGCTTACAACATTGTCCAGTATATAGTGAACTTTCAACTCTTACCTTATATATTCATAACATTTTATAATTTTGTCTGGTTAACTGTGAAGCTTAATGAGAATGTGTTCTTTATGTTCGTTTTCTTTCTTTTCCTTTTCTTTTTTCTTTTCCTTCCTTCTTTCATGTGGATTTTTTTCCCACACTTGTAAATTATATATATTTAAGAGGTGCATCCTGATCGTTTGATTTTATATATGTATACATTGTGTATTGATTAATACAAATAAATTAATTAACATATTAATCATCTCACATAGTTGCCAGGTTTTTTGTGGAGAGAACATTAAAGATCTACTGTGGGCCGGGCGCGGTGGCTCACGCCTGTAATCCCAGCACTTTGGGAGGCCGATGCAGGCGGATCATGAGGTCAGGAGATTGAGACCATCCTGGCTAACACGATGAAACCCCGTCTCTACTAAAAAATACAAAAAAAAAATTAGCCGGGCGTGGTGGCGGGTGCCTGTAGTCCCAGCTACTCTGGAGTCTGAGGCAGGAGAATGGTGTGAACCTGGGAGGCGGAGCTTGCAGTGAGCCGAGATCGCGCCACTGCACTCCAGCCTGGGTGACAGAGAGCAAGACTCCGTCTCAAAAAAAAAAGAAAAAAAAAAAAGATCTACTGTGTTAGCAAATCTCAAGTATATATGAGTATTGTAAACTATATTCATAATGCTTTACATTAGATCCCCAGAATTTATCTTTTAAATGAAAGTTTGTACTCTTTGACCAGTATCTCCCCAGTTTTACCACCTGTCAGCTGTTGGGACCCGTTCTACACTTTACTTCTATGAACTCACCTTTTTTTAGATTCCACAAATAACTGATATTATACAGTATTTGTATTTCTCTATCTTATTCAATTACCATAGTTCCACCTGGTTCATTCATCCATGTTGTCAGAAATGGTAGAACTACCTTCTTCATTATGCTGAATAATATTCCACTATATATTTTGAATAATCAGCTGTGAACATAGGGGTGCAGATATCTCTTTAACATACTGATTTTATTTATTTATTTATTTATTTTTGAGATGGAGTCTCACTTTGTTGCCCGGGCTGGAGTGCAGTGGCGCCATCTTGGCTCACTACAACCTCCGCTTCCTGGGTTGAAGCTATTCTGCCACCTCAGCCTCCCAAGTAGCTGGGATTACATGCTTGTGCCACCCCGCCTGGCTAATTTTTTCGTATTTTTAGTAGAGACGGGGTTTCGCCATGTTGGCCAGGCTGGTCTCGAATTCCTGGCCTCAAGTGATCCGCACACCTCGTCCTCCCAAAGTGCTGAGATTACAGGCGTGAGCCACTGCTCCTGCCAGATTGTATTTCTTTTAGGTATATACTTAGAAGTGGAATTGAGGTTCATATGGTACTTCTATTTTTAATATTTTGAGGAGCCTCTATGCTTTTTCCCATAATGGCTGGATCAATTTACATTTCCACCAATGGCATACAACGTTTCCTTTTCTCCACACTGTCACCAACATTTGTGATCGCTTGTCTCTTTGATAGTAGACATTCTAACGGTATGAGGTGATATCTCATGATCTGATATCTCATTGTGTTATCTCTCTGTAAATGTGAGGTGATGGCTCATTGAGGTTTGGTGTTCATTTCCCTGATGATTAATTATATTCAGCACCTTTTCTTAAACCTGTTTGCTACTTTTATGTAATCCCTGGAAGACTTTCTAGTCAGGTCCTTTGCATATTTTTAAGTCAGATTTACTGGCAACTGAGTTGTGTGAGATTCTTACATCTTTTGGATATGAAACTCGTATCAGATATATTTTCTCCCAGTCCTTAGGCCAGTCCTTAGGTTGCCTTTTCATGTTGTTCTTTGTTTCCTTTGCTGTGCAGGCAATTTTTAGTTTGATGTAGTCCCGCTTGTTTTTGTTTTTGTTTTTTGATTTTGTTGATTGTGCTTTTTTGGTGTGAAATCTAAAAAATTAGTACCAAGGCTGATGTTGAAGAGTTTGTTCCCTGTGTTTCTTCTAAAAGTTATCCAGTTTCTGGTTTTACATTTAAGTGTTAATTCTTTTTGAGTTCATTTTTGTATATGGTATAAATGTTCAATTTCATCCTTTTGCTCATAAATATCCACCTTTTCCAGCATCATTTATTGAAGAGACCATCCTTTTCCCTTTGTGTATCTTGGTGCCCTTGTCAAAGAGTGCTAACTCTATACACATGGGGTTATTTTTGGTTTCCTTGTTCTGTCCCATTGGTCTATATGTCTTTTTAGGTCAATATAATACTCACTATTAGTATAGCTTTGTAATAGTTTGGAATGAAGAAGTGTGATGCCTTCACCTTCATTCTTATTTCTTATGATTGTGTTGGCTATTTGTGGTCATTTGTGGTTTTATAGAAATTTGGAGGCCAGATGCAGTGGCTCACACCTGTAATCCCAGCACTTTGGGAGACCGAAGCAGGTGGATCACTTGAGGCCAGGAGTTCAAGACCAGCCTGGCCAACATGGCAAAACCCCGTCTCTACTAAAAATACAAAAATTAGCCAGGTGTGGTGGTGCATACCTGTAATGTCAGCTGTTGAGGAGGCTGAGGCAAGAGAATTGCTTGAACCCAGGAGCGGAGGTTGCAGTGAGCCAAGATCACGCCACTGCACTCCATCCTGAGCAACAGCGAGACTCTGCCTCAAAAAATATATATAAAATAAAATAAAATAAATTTTAGAATTTATTTCTATTTCTCTGAAAAGTGACATTGGAATTTTAATAGGGATTACACTGTATCTGTAGATCACTTTGTGTAGTGTGGACATTTTATCAGTATTAATTTTTCCAGTCCATGAACAAGGGATATCTTTCCATTTATTTGTGTCTTTTTCAATTGTATTCATCACTGTCTTACAGATTTTACTGAGCAGATCTTTCACCTCCTTTGTTAAATGGAATCATAAGAATTTTATACTTTTGATGCTATTATAAATTGGATTGTTTGCTTAACTTTTTTTCTCAGATCATTAATTGTTAGTATATAGAAATGCAACTAATTTTTGTATGGTAATTTTGTGACCTCAGCTTTACTGAATGAGTATTAGCTCTAACTCTTTTTGTATACTCTTTAGGGTTTTCTGTATATAAAATCACCTAATCTGCAAGCAGAGAAAATTACAATTCTTCGTTGCTGATATGAGTGCCTTTTATTTCTTTTTTTTACCTAATTGCTCTTGTTGCAGGGCAGGTGAGCCCCCAGATTGGGGCTTATCCTGGGAAGGTTCACGGCTTCACTCAGGAAGAATTCAAGTGCAAGATAGTGGTAGAAGAAAACAGCTTTATTGAGCTGGCAGTGTTGCAGCTCTATGACTGCTCCTGTGGAGCGAGGCTACCCTGTAGGCAGTGTGCTGAGAGGAGCAGTTCTGCAGTCATGTACTTATATACCCACTTTTCATTACATGCAAACTAAGGGGCAGTGTTTTTTCCCTTCAATTTTTTGGAAGAATTTGAGAAGGATGGACATTAATTCATCTTTAAATGTGTGATACAATTCACCCATGAATTCATTTGGTCATGGGCTTTTTCTCATTGGATTTTTTTATAACTGCTTCAATCTCCTTTCTTATTATTGGTCTGTTCAGTGTTTCTGTTTCTTTGTGATTTAATCTTGGTGAGTCATTCATTTCTAAGAATCTGTTTCTTCTAAGTTATCCAATTTGTTGTCATATAATTGTTCATAGTAGTCTCTTATTATTCTTTGTGTGTTGTCAGTTGTAATGACTCATCCTTCTTTCTTTTATGTATTTATTTATTTATTTATTTGAGACAGGGTCTCACTCTGATGTCCAAACCAAAGTGCAGTGGCATGATCATAACTCACTGCAGCCTCAACCTCCCAGGCTCATGTTATTCTCCCATCTCCCAAGTAGCTGGGACTACAGGGGTGTACCACCATGCTCAGCTAATTTTTGTATTTTTTAGAGAGAAGGGTTTCATTATGTTGCCCAGGCTGGTCTCCAAATCCTGGGCTCAAGTGATTTACCTGCCATGGCCTCCAAAAGCACTGGGATTACAAGCATGAGGAAGTGCACCCAGCCCACTTATAATTTTTTGAGTCCTCTCTCTTTTTGATCCTTTGCTTAATCTGGCCAAAAGTTTCTCAATTTTGTTTTCTTTGAAAAACTCAATTCAGTTTCTTTGATCTTTTCTATTGCCTTTCTAGTCTTTATTTAGTCTCTTTTTGTTCTAATTCTTACTATTTTCATAATTATGCTAACATTGGGATTATTTTGTTCATGTTCAAGTTTCTTGAGGAATTGAGTTAGATTGCTTATTCAACATCTTTTTTTTTCTTAATGTAGAACTTTATTATTATAAACTTCTGTACTAGAACTGTTTTGGTTGCATCACAGAAGTTTTGGTTTCTTGTGTTTCCAATTTCATTTGTCTCAGGATATGTTTAGATTTTTCTTTTGATTTCTTCTTCATCCTATTGATTTTTCAGGAGTGTGTTGTTTAATATTTACGTATTTGTGAATTTCCAGTTTTCTTTCTGCTATTGATTTTCAGTTTTATATCAGTGCAATCAGAAAAAAAAACTTGATATAATTTTAATCTTTATACATTTGAAAAGACTTACTGCTTTTTACTTTTGGTTTAACATGTGATCTGTCCTGGAGAATATTTCATGTATTCTTAGAAGACTGTATTCTCATATTGTTGGATGGGATGTTATATGTACATTTAGTCTATAGTGTTATAGTAGTGCACTGCTTTCTTAATTTTGTGCCTGAATGATCTATCCATTTTAAGTAGGGTACTAATGTTCTCTTTTGTTGTATTTCTGTATATTTCTCCTTCCAGTTCTGTTAATGTATGCTTTATATATTTAAGTATTCCAGTGTTGGGTGCATATATCTATTTAATTGCTCTATCCTCTAGACAAATTAACCTCTCTATTATTATATAGTTAACTCCTTTGTCTCTTGTGACAGATTTTGTCAGACAGCCTGTTTTGTCTAATGTAAGTATAGCTACCCCTGCCTGCACTCTTTTGTTTATCATTTGTATGGAATATCCTTTCCAGTTCTTTCACTGTTAGCTTATGTTTGTCCTTAAATCAAAAGTGAGTCTCTTGTAAGCAACCTGTCACTGGATTTTTAAAAATTCATTCAGCCACTGTCTGTTTTAAATCCATTTTGTGCTGCTATATCAGAATATTCACAGGGTATTTTATAATGAAATGGGTGATTTATAAGGAATACAAATTAATTTAGCCTGTGATTCTGGAGGCAGGGAAGGCAGAGAGCATGACACTGGCATCTGGTGAAGACCTTTTTGCTGCATAATAACATGGCCAAAGGCACGAGGGGGAGAGAGCTCCCTTTTATAACAAACGCACACTTGTGATAATTAACCCACTGCTGTGATAAGGACATTAATACATTCATGCAGGCAGAGCTCTCATGGCCTAATCACTTCTTAAAAGTCCCACTTCTTAATTCTATCACAGTGGCTATTAAATTTTAACCTAAATTTTGGAAGTGACATTCAGTCTTTATCAATGTCTGTTTATTGGATAATTTAATCTCTTTATATGTAATTATTGATAGGTAACTATTATAAGTTTGTTTTCTATTTTATACTTTGTTTCTTTTTTCCTCTTATGCTTTGGTCATGTTAATTTTTTGTCTTGTTTTTGTTGTTTTTATATACTTTGATTACTTTCTTTTTTTCTTGTATCTACTACAGTTTTTTTTTCTCTAGTGGTTATAAGACTTACATAAAACATCATATAACAGCCTAGTTTAAGATGATAATTATCCAACTTTTATGCATAGAAAAACTCTATGCTTTTCCTCCCCTTCACACATTTTATACTATATATGTCACATTTTAAAACTTTTTATATTTTGTATTCATTAACAAATTATCATAGCTATACTTTTAAAAAATAGTTTTGTTTTATAGTTCTTATACTAGAATTAAAAGTGACTTATGTACCACCATTACAATATTCGAGTATTCTGAATTTCACTATTTACCATTTCCAGTGATGTTTGTAGTTTTAATGTTTTCATATTTAGTTAGCATTTCATCACTTCAACTTGAGTAATTCCCTTTAGTCGTTTAGCATTTCTAGACAGGTCTAGTGGTGATGAATTCCTTTAATTTTTTTTTTGGTGGGGGGGTCTTGAAATGTCTTCATCTCTCTTTTATTTCTAAAAGATGCTTTGTTGTGTATAGCCTACTTAGTTGTCTTTTTTGTTTGTTTGTTTGTTTAATTTTCCTTCTTTCAGCACTTTTAATATATGGTATCACTCCCATTTGGCCTGTAAGGTTTCTGCTAAAAAATCTACTGATAACATTATAAAGTTTCCCTTGTATGTGAAGAATCTCTTATTTCATGCTGCTTTCATGATTCTTGCTTTGTCTTTGAATTTTGACAGTTTAATTATGATATGCCCCAGGGGAATCTTCATTAGGTTCTTCTTGCCATGGGTATTTTGAGCTTTATGAAACTTCTTGTTCATATCCTTTTCCAGATTTGGGGAGTTTTAAGACATTATATCTTTAATCTTTTTTCTTCTTTCTTTCTTCTTCTGAAAATCCTAAAATATGTATATTTGTTCACTTTATGATATACTATACAGGCTATATGCTTCCTTCATGCTTTCATATTTTTTTCTAATTGATTACTTTCAAATGACCTGTCTTTAAGTTTGCTGATTTTTTTCTTCTTTCATGATTGAGTCTCTTGTTAAAACTGTTAGATTTTTTCAGTTCTTTCATTGTTCGCTTTAGTTCCAAGATTTCTATCTGGTTCCTTTTAATGGTTTCTATTTCTCTGTTAAAACTCTCATTTTGTTCAAGTATTGTATTATAAAACTTTTTAGTTATCTATCTGTGTTCTTTTGCATCTCATTGAAATTCTTTAAGATGATTATTTTGAATTCTTTGTCAGCCAACTTTCAGATCTCCATTTCTTTGGAGATGATTACTATGGCTTTTTAATTTCCTTTGGTGGTGGTAGTTTGCCTGATTCTTTATAATCTGTGTAGGCTTATGTTTATGTCCCTGAATGTGAAGGAGCAAACCTCTCTTCCAGTCATTATAGACAGTTTTGGGAAATAAATACTTTCTTCTTTCAGATCCTGAGCTGATGAGATTTTGACTAAGATTGCACCTGAGTGTGTTGGAGCCATGTCACATGACTGCTACTGGGTCTGCAGTGGGTTTTATGGTTGACAGACCTACTAGCAGGGCATAGATAGTCATGGATCCCGTCTCTTCTCTGGGAAGACAACTTTCTTCAGGATCTTGAGCATTGGGGCTGGTTCTAAGATAAGGAATTGTAGTTGTTTCTGCAGAATGGGGGTGCTGATAGAATAGATGTGGACAGGTGTGGCTCCTGCGGAGTCTCTGGGAGTGGTTTCATCCAGTCATTGAACAAGTCACTGATGGACATGACTGACCCCTGGTCACAGCTGAGAGGGTCTGGAACTGATTCATAGGGGTGCTGCAGGATATGGGCCCTGGGCCCATGGCTTGTCTCCTTCCAGGTTTCTCATTGAGCAGAACTGCTCCCAGACCCTGGCTGACAGAAAGTAGAGCCAAACTTACAGGGCTACTTTAAGATTCACAGTGAGACTAATGTCAGCAAGTCTAGCTCCAGGGGCACAGATGTGTGTGCTTTCAGGCAGGTCCCAGGTTGAGCAAAACTCCTGACCTGTGGCTGCATGAAACTGAAGCAAAGTTTCAGTGCCACTTCAGGATTCCCATTTGGGTCAGTGTTGACAGTTCTACATCCAGGGGCACAGATGGATATTTTTTCCTGAGGGTCTCTGTGTGGACAGGATTTTTTCCAGACCATGACTGAGAGTTGACAGAGATAGATTTTGCCTTATTCAGGGAGCACAGACAAGACCAGGATCTTCAGGCCTGTCACCTGAATCTCAAGTGGGAATGAATCCTCCTGGATTCTTGGAAGATTTTTTGAGTGGCAGGACCAAGACCAAGTGAGCCATAGCTAAATCTACAGTCAGATATAGCAATTTTTTTGTTTTGTGTCCAGAACCATGATCAATAAGCCTACCCTTCGGTTAAGGACTTGTCCTCAAATTGTCCTCCTTGATCTTGGGCTCCAGCTGGGTGTCAGAAATTGTGACCTGGATTGCAAAGCTCCCATAAAGGCAGTTGTGTTTGGCATGGCTGCCACATTATGTTGTGAGAAATATGCATGGGGGCCTCCTATTCTGTCATCTTGCTTATGTTTCTAATCTTGTATGTTTCCCTTTCTGAAATATATATCAAATTTGTCTGATTTTTAGATTCAAAAGTTCTGAAATAAAATGCTGAAATGTACGCATTGTATAAGATGTAAATTAGATTACTAGTGGGTACCACATATTTATTAATATGTTTGATTATAAGTTTAAGTTTACTGCAAGCAAAAAAGAATTGTTAAGATTTATATATTTTTTTAGCCTGTATTTAAATGATGTATAATGTAATCCCAAATACTGACTTTACATTTCAGTAATTCTCACCATATTTTGCAACATTTATGTTGTTCCTGTATTTGGAAATAGAAAGCTTTTATTTTTAGCTTCTAAAGACTTTATTATAGCCATTATATTTTATGTAAGAATAGCACCAATATATTGATAACATGATAAAGAAGTCTTCCTAGTGTCTTTTGAATATTTACTCATTAAAATTTTCTCATTAGAGCTAATTATTAATGATTGTAATGCATTTCCTGTGACATTTTACTGCCATTCATTGAATGGCATTGATTCAAAATGCCTGTTCTTCATGGGTGTACACAGTTGATAGTTGTAAATATCTAAAGCATTATTTTTTAATAGAATATCTATGATGTATTTATTATTTTATGCACTAAAATTTCTCTTATTCTTGTTATTGATTCCATATGATTGTGTTTCTTTTTTTTCAGATAGGTTTCCTTAGATCAGTTAATTGTATTTTTGCTTTTCAACCTTGATATTATGAATTGGATGATAATTTTCAACTCTGTACACTTTAAGACAATATGATGTTTAGATATGAATTAGCTATATGCCTGTTGCTTATAAAATACTACGTGTTATTCATCTGTATAAATATTGCCTCTACTTTGTTCATGACTTATCTTGTATATTTTTTTTTCTTAGCTGTTAATGATTGCTTTATTCTGTCTAGATGAGTAGTTAAGGAAATAATCTTAAATTCACAATCTATTGTTTGGATCTATATAATTATGTGAGAGGAACACTTTTGTTCTTTGAAGGTGATTTTTGAAACATTTTATAACTATCTCTTTTAGGTAGTCACATTTTTAATGGTGAAAACATAATTGTCATCTCAAACATTTTTAAGTGTACAGTTTATTAGTGTTAAGTATAGTCATATTGTTTTACAAGAGGTTTGTAGATCATTTTTATTTTACAGAAGTCAAAGTGAATACCCATTAAACAACAAATTGTCCTTTCCACACTTCTCTCCAGCTCCTGAAGAGCACCATTCTGCCTAATGTTTCTATGAGTTTGGCTACTGTAGATACTTTATGTAAGTGTAATTAAACAGTGTCTCTTTCTTTTTGACTATCTTATTTCACCTGACATAATGTCCTCAAGGTTTGTCCTTATTAATACTTGTCAAAATGTCTCTGATTTTTAAGGCTCAGTAATGTTCTGTTGTGTATGTGTGCCACATTTGTTTAATCTGCTCATCCATAAAGGAACATTTTGATTGCTTCCAGGTATTGTCTTTTGGGAGTAATGCTGCAGGGTACATGGGTGTGCAAACATCTATTCCGCGTTCTGTTTTGAATATGCTTGGAATATTTTGGATACACGGATGTAGTACCATGTGTATGTTCTTGCTTTTTGTTGCCTCATCCTTTGATATTATATCCAAAAAATCATTGCCAAGACCAATTTTCATGACCAAGCTTTCCACTTCTGTATTTTTCTAGGAGTTTTATATTTATAGGTTTTATGTTTAAGTTTTAGTTTGCTTTTTAAATTGATACAATGTTAATTGTACATATTTACGGAGTACAATTATATATATGTGTGTGTGTTGTATAATGATCATATCAGGATGTTTAGTGCATTACCTCATGTATTTGGTAATTCTTAGTGGTGAGAACATTCAAAAGTCTCTCTTCTAACTTTTTTTTTTTTTTTTAGCTTTTATTGTTTGTAGAGACAGGATCTCACTGTGTTACCCAGGCTGAAGTGCAGTGGCACAATTGTAGTTCACCATAGCTTCAAACTCTTGGGCTCAAGTGATCCTCCTGCCTCAGCTCCCCAAGTCGTTAGGACTACAGGCATATGCCACCGTGCCTGGCTAATTTTAAAAAATTTTTGCAGAGATAGGGTCTCACTACATTGTCCAGGCTGGCCTTGAACTCCTGACCTTAAGTGGTGCTCCTGCTTCCGCCTCCCAAAGTACAGGGATTATAGGCATGTTACACTGTGACTGGCCTTTTATAGCTATTTTGTAATATGCAATACCCTTCTATTAACCATTGTTACTGTACTGTGTAATAGAACACCAGAACTTACTTCTCCTGTGTAATTGTAACTTTATACCTGTTAACCAACCTCTTTCTATTCCTCCCCCTTCAGTCTCTGGTAACCACTGTTATACTCTGCTTATATCAGCTTTTTTTTCCTTTTCTTTTTCTTTTTTTTTTTTAAGACAGAGTCTTGCTCTGTTGCCCAGGCTGGAGTGCAGTGGCGTGATCTCAGCTCACTGCAACCTCTGCCTCCTGGGTTCAAGGTATTCTCCTGCCTCAGCCTCCTGAGTAGCTGTGATTACAGGCATGCACCACCATGCCCAGCTAATTTTTTTGTATTTTTAGTAGAGACGGGGTTTCAACATATTGGCCAGACTGGTCTTGAACTCTTGAACTAAAATGATCCACCCCTCTTGGCCTCGCAAAGTGCTGGGATTAGAGGTGTGAGCCACTGTGCCCTGCCCGCCTGCCTGCCCTTTCTTTTCTCTTTTCTTTTCTCTTTTCTTTTCTTTCTCTCTCTTTCTTTCTTTTTTTCTTTCTTTCTTTTCAGGTTACTCATTTGAGTAAGATCATGAAGGGTTTATCTTTCTGTATATGGCTTATTCACTTAACATGATATCTCATGGTTCATCCATGTTATTGCAAAGGACAGGATTTTATTCTTTTTTAATGGCTGAATAGTAATTCATTGTGCATTTACACCACATTTTCTTTATCCATTTATCTCTTGGTGTACATTTGGATTGATTTCATATCTTGGCTGTTATAAAGAGTGCTGCAGTAAACATGGGAATGCAGCTATGTTTTTGACACGTTGATTTCCTTTCTTTTGGATATATACCCAATAGTGGAATTGCTGAATCATATGACAGCTGTATTTTTAATTTTTCAGGAACCTCCATACTCTTTTATAGTGGCCATACTACTTTACAATCCCATCAACAGTATATATGTGTTCCTTTTTCTTCACATCCTCACCAATACTTGTTTTAGTTATATTTTTTGTCTTTTTGATTATAGTCATTTTAACTGGAGTGTGGTGGTATCTCATTGTGGTTTGTATTTGCATTCCCTTGATGATTAGTGAAGTTGAGCATCTGTTTATGCACCTTTTGGCCATTTGTATGTCTTCTTTTCACTAATGTCTATGAAGGTCTGTGGCACATTTTTAAATTGGATTGTATGTTTGTTTTATTTTGAGATTTCAAATTTCTTATATACTCAATATTAACCTCTTGTCATATGTATAGTTTGCAAATGTTTTCTCCCATTGTCTAGGTTGTCTCTTCACTCTGTTATTTCATTTCATATGCAAAAGTCTTTTAGGTTGATGTAATCTCATTTGCCTATTTTTGCTTAGGTTGCCTTTGCTTTGAAGTCGGAATTTCCAAGTCCGATGTTGTAAAGTATTTGCCCTGTTTTCATCTAATAGTTTCATAGTTTAGGGCATTACATTTAAGTCTATAATCCATTTTGAGTTGGTTTTTGTATATGATGAGGGTTAGGGGTCTAGTCTTATTCTTCTGTATATGGATATTCAATTTTTCCTGCACCGTTTATTAAAGAGATTGTCTTTTCCCCAAAGTGTGTTCTTGGCATCTTTGTTGAAAATCAGTCAGCTTTAGGAGCATGAATTTATTTATGGACTCATTGGGCATATTGGTCTATGTGTTTGCTTTAATGCCAGTATAATGCTGTTTGGGATACTGTAGCTTTGTAGTAAATTTTGAAGTCAGGTAGTGTGATGCCTTGAGCCTGCTTTGTTCCTTTTGCTCAGGATTGCTTTGGCTATTCAGGGTATTTTGTGGTTCCATGTACATTTAGTTTTTTTTTTTTTTTTCTATTTTTGTGAAGAATGTCATTGGTATTCTGATAGAAATTGCGTTAAATCTATAGGTCACTTTGGGTAACATGCCCATTTTAATAATATTCTTTTTTTTTTTTTTTTTAAGATGGAGTCTTGCTCTTGTCACCCAGGTTGGAGTGCAATGGCGCGATTTTGGCTTACTGCAACCTCCGCTTCCTGGATTCAAATGATTGTCCTGCCTCAGCCTCCCAAGTAGCTGGGATTACAGGCACCCACCACCACGCCCAGCTAATTTTTATATTTTTTTGATAGAGACAGGGTTTCACCATGTTGACCAGGCTGGTCTTGAACACCTGACCTCAGGTGATCCACCCGTCTCAGCTTCCCAAAGTGCTGGGATTACAGGCGTGAGCCACTGCGCCTGGCCCATTTTAATAATATTCTTCCAATATATAAACACAATATATTTTCATCTATTCACATGTATTTCATTTTTTCATCCATGTTTTATGATTTTCAGTGTAGAGATCTTTCACTTTTTTATTTAAGTTTATTGCTGGGTATGTTAATTTTTTATAGTTATTTGTATACACAGAAAAAGTATTTGACAAAATTTAACTTTCTTTATAGTGAAAACTCTAAGCAAATTATGTATAGAAGGTATGTATCTCAACACAGTAAATATGACAAACCAGTGTTAATATATCAAACAGGGAAAAGATGAAAGCTTTTTCTCTGAGATCTGTAACATGATAAGGATACCAATTTTCACCACTCCTATTCAACATAGTACTAGAAGTTCTAGCCAGAGCAATTAGTCAAGAGAAAGAAATAAAAGGCATCCAAATTGGAATGGAAAAATGAAATCGTCCTTGTTTACAGACAATATGACCTTGTTTATAATAAAAACATAAACATGACACAAAAAACCTGTTAGAACTAATGAACAAGTTCTGTAAAGTCGCAGGATACAAAATCAACATAGAAATTTCAGTGGCATCTCTGTGTGCTGATAGAAAACCATCTGAAAAAGAAAATAAAAAATGTGAGTTACAGTAGCTACAAAAAATAAGTCAGTCCATTTTGAGTTCATGTTTGTAAATGTGCAAGGTAAGGTCCAACTTTATTTTTTCCCTTGTGGATTTCCAATATGCCCAATCCTATTTGTTGAAGAGACTGTCCCTTTTCTCATTGTGAATTCTTGGAACCCTTGTTGAATATAAGTTTACTATATACATGAGTGTTTATTTCTGGACTCTCCAATCTGTTTCATCTTTTATTTATCTTTATGTCAGTAGCAGACTGTTTTGAGTACAATAGCTATGTAGTATATTTTGAAATCAGAAAGTATGATGCCTCTTTGTTTTTCTTTCCCAAGATTGTTTATCCATCTGTGGAAGATTATTTATCCATCTGTGGTCTCTTGAGATTCCGTAGACATTTTAGACTATGTTAATACTTGTGCAAAAAGTTCCATTAATATTTTGATGGAGAGTACATTGAATCTGTAGATCACTTTAGGTAGTATTGACATCTTAACAGTATTGTCTTCAAAATCTTGAACAAAAGTGTGTTTGAGAGTTTATTTAATTTCCACATATTCATGGACATGCCATTTTTCTTTCTGTTTTTAATTTCTAGTTTTATTCTGTTGTAGTAAGAAGTGATGCTTTGTGTGATTGTCATCTGCTTAAATTTGGTAAAAGTTTTTTTGCAGCTTAACAGGTTGTCTATTGGTGATCATGTGCCATATATGGTTATGGATATTGTGTATTCTGCTGTTGAATGGTTAGTTCTGTATATGACTATTAGGTCTAATGGTCTATAGTGTTGTTCAGGTCCTCTGTTTCCTTATTGATCTTTTGTCTCTTATTCTTTCCATTACTGAAAGTGGAGTATGGAAGTCTCCTACTACTATTGTACTGCTGGCTACTTATTGCTTCAATTCTGTAAAAGTTTGCTAGTTGCTGCATATATTTGAGAGGTGTGATGTTAGGTGCATATATGTTAATATTTATTATAGCTTCCTAGACAGTGAACCCGTTTATAATTATATAATGCTCTTTCTTGTCTCTTGTAACATGTTTTGATGTAACATGTATTTTAACTAATATGACAGTATTTTACTTTGCACACTATTTTTTTTCCATTCTTTCATGTTCAGCTCATATGTGTTCTTAGATCTAAAGTTGGTTTTCCCTAGAAAGCATGGAGTTAGATCTTGTTTCTTGAATTTATTCAGCCAAATTATGTCTTTTGAATTTATTCATTTATGTATAAAGTAATTACTGAAAGGTATGACTCA
The DNA here is from genome assembly GCF_000001405.40 of Homo sapiens. Lineage (NCBI taxonomy): Eukaryota > Metazoa > Chordata > Mammalia > Primates > Hominidae > Homo > Homo sapiens. The sequence goes on from NC_000016.10 coordinate 31,738,698, forward strand.
CCATTGCATTTTGTTCAATTTTTTGTTTTGGGTTTTGTATCTATTTTGGTCCCGTTTTCTTCTCTTGCTATCTTCCTTAGTGTTCTGTTGATTTTTGTAATGACATGTTTTAATTCCTTTCCCACTTCTCTCTGTGTATCTATTATAGGTACTTGCTTTGTGGTTACCATAGATATTATGTAAAACATCTTAAAGTTACAACAATTTACCTCAAGCTGCTAACCTTAATTGCATACAAAAATCCTGCCTCTTTATGAACTCTCCATTGTATTTTATTGATATCACAAATTATATCACTTTATACTGTGAATCCATTAGCACAGATTTGTGGTTATTTTAAAGTATTTGACTTTTCAAATCTATAGCAGAATTAAAAGTATTCTATGCACCATCATTATAATACAGAATATTTTACTTGTGTATATAATTACTGTTACCAGAACACTTTATATTTTTATATAATTTTGTGTTACTACTCACCATCATTTTATTTTTCAATGTGAAGAACTGCCTCTATTTAGCAGTTCTTTTAGAACAGATCTAGTGGATATGAATTCATTCAGCTTTTGTGGATTTTGAATATTCCTTATTTCAAAATTGTTAAAGGATAGTTTTGGCAGAAAACATTTTCTTGATTGGTAGTTGTCATTATTCAGCACTTTGAATATATCATTCTTCAACTTTCTGACCTGTGAGATTTTTTGCTGAGACATCTGCTGGTCATCCTAGGAATGGGCCTTGCATATGCCAAGTCACATTTTTTTTTTTCTGGCTTCTAAATTCTCTTTGTTCGTAACTTTTGAATCTCTGATTATAATGTGTCTTGTTGTGGATCTCTTTATGTTGCTACTAATTAGAGTTGGTAGAGTTTCATTAAATTTTAGGCCATTTTCTCCCTCAAATTTGGAAAATTCTCAGCCATCATTTCTTAAAATAAAGTTTCTACTCTTTCCTCTGTCTTTGCATTTTAGAATTCCCATTATGAGTAAATTGGCCTATTGGGAACAGGCCCCCAAATCTGGCCATAAACTGGTCCCAAAACTGACCATAAACAAAATCTCGGCAGCACTGTGACATGTTCGTGATGGCCATAACGCCCATGCTGAAGGTTGTGGGTTTACCGGAATGAGGGCAAGGAACACCTGGCCCACCCAGGGTGGAAAGCCGCTTAAAGGCATTCTTAAACCACAAACAGTAGCATGAGCCATCTGTGCCTTCAGGACATGCTCCTGCTACAGATAACTAGCCAGAGCCCATCCCTTTATTTTGGCCCATCCCTTTATTTTGGCCCATCCCTTTGTTTCCTGTAAGGAATACTTTTAGTTAGTCTATAATCTATAGAAACAATGCTTATCACTGGCTTGCTGTCAATAAATATGTGGGTAAATCTCTGTTCGGGGGCTCTTAGCTCTGAAGGCTGTGAGACCCCTGATTTCCCACTCCACATGCTATATTTCTGTGTGTGTGTCTTTAATTCCTCTAGCGCTGCTGGGTTAGGTCTCCACGACCGAGCTGGTCTCAGCATTGGCCTACTTGATAGTACCCCATTAGTCCCTTAGACACTCTGTTTTTTTATTTTTGCTGTCCTGACCATATACTTTCAAATAACCTGTTATCAAGCTTGTTGGGTTATTTTTCTGCTAGATCAAGTCTGCTGTTGAACCCTCTAGTGAATCCTTAAATTTAGTTATTTTTCAGCTCCATACTTTGTGTTTTTATAGTTTTAATCTCTGTTCATAACCTCATTTTCTTCATGCATTTTTGTCTTCTTTTGTTAATTTGTCTGTGTTCTCCTTTAACTGGTTAAGCATCTTTAAAATAGATATTTTGCTAGGCAGAGTGGTGTGTGCATGTAATCCCAGCTACTTTGGAGGCTAAGGCAGGAGGATCACTTGAGGCCAGCCTGGGCAGTATTGCAAGACCCTGCGTCTAAGATTTTTTTTTTTTTTAATTAGTTGTTGTGGCATGTGCCTGTAGTCCCAGTGACTCAGGAGGCTGTGTCAGGAGGATTGCTTTACCCCAGGAATTTGAGGCTAGGCTACATTGAGCTATGATTGTACCAGTGTACTCCAGTCTGAGTGACAGAGTAAGACCCCATTTTTTTCTGTTTCTTTTTTCTCTTAATATACTTTTGACTTTTATTTTAGATTCAAGGTGTACATGTGTTGGTTCATTACATGGGTATATTGCATTACACTGGTTTGATGTCTGAATGATCCCATCATCCAGATAATGAGCATAGTGCCTAATAGATAGTTTTTCAGCCCTTGCTTCCTTCCTTTACTGCCCCCATGAGTCCCCATTGTCTCTTTTCCCCATCTTTATGTCCATATGTACCTAATGTTTAGTTCCCACTTATAAGAACATGGTCTTTGGTTTTCTGTTCCTGTGTGTTAATTTACTTAGGATAACAGCTGCATCCATGTTGTTGCAAAGGACATGATTTTATTTTTTTTATGGCTGCATAGTATTCCACGGTGTATATGTACCACATTTTCTTTAGCCAGTCCACCATTGATGGGCATCTAGGCTGATTCCATGTTTTTGCTATTGTGAATAGTGCTGTGATGAACATATGAGTGCATGTGACTTTTTGGTAGAACAATTCATTTTCCATTGGGTATATACTGAGTAATAGAATTGTTGGGTCAAATGGTAGTTCTGAGTTCTTTCAGAAATCTCCAAACTGTTTTTCACAGTGACTGAGCTAATTTAATTACATTCCCATCATCAGTGTATAAGTATTATCTTTACTGCTGGCACTTGCCAGCATCTGTTTTTTGACTTTTCAGTAATCACTATTCTGAGTGGTGTAAATAGTATCTCAGTGTGGTTTTGATTTGCATTTTTCTGATGGGTAGTGATGTGTAACATTTTTTCGTATGCTTGATGGCTGCTTGTATGTCTTCTTTTGAGAAGTGTCTGCTCTTGCCCTTTGCCCACTTTTTAATGGGGTTATTTTTTTTCTTGTTAATTTAAATTTCATATGGATTCTGGAATTAGGCCTTTGTCAGGTAGATAGTTTGTGAATATCTTCTCCTGTTCTGTAGGTTATTGATTCTTTTCACAGTTTCTTTTGCTGTGCAGAAACTCTTTAATTAGGTCCCATTTGTCAATTTTTGTTTTTGTTACAATTGCTTTTGAGAATTTAGCCACAAATTCTTTGCCAAAGTCAATGTCTAGAATGGTATTTGCCAGATTTTCTTCTAGTATTTTTATTAAGTTTCTGAATTTAAATCTTTAATCATCTTGAGTTAATTTTTATATATGGTGAAATGTAGGCGTCTATGTTCATTCGTTTGCATGTGGTTAGTCAGTCATCCTAGAACCATTTATTAAATAGGGAGTCCTTTCACTATTGCTTATTTTTGTTGACTTTGTGGAACATCAGATGATTGTAAGTGTGTGCCTCTATTTATTTCTGGGTGCTCTATTCTGTTCCATCGGTCTGTGTGTCCTTTTTTAAAAAAAATTTTTTGTTTTTCTTTATTTCCTCAAAAAAAAAAAAGATGGGGGATACATTTGCAGAACATGCAGGTTTGTTACATAGGTATATGTGTGCCATGGTGGTTTGCTGCACCTGTTGACCCATTGTCTATGTTCCTTCCCCTCACCCACCCAGCCCCCACCAGGCCCTGGTGTGTGTTGTTCTCCTCTCTGTGTCCATGTGTTCTCATTGTTCAACTCCCACTTATAAGCGAGAACATGCAGTGTTTTGGTTTTCTGTCCCTGTGTTAGTTTGCTGAGGATGATGACTTCCAGCTTCATTCACGTCCCTGCAAAGGACATGATCTCATTCCTTTTTATGGCTTCATAGTATTCCATGGTGTTTATGTACCACAGTTTCTTTATCCAGTCTATCATTGATGGGTATTTGGGTTGGTTCCCTGTCTTTGCTATTGTAAATAATTCTGCAGCAAACATACGTGTGCATGTGTCGTTATAGTAGAATGATTTATATTCCTTTGGGTATATACCCAGTAATGGGATTGCTGGGTCAAATAGTGTTTCTGATTCTCGATCCTTGAGGAATCACCACACTGTCTTCCACAGTGGCTGAACTAATTTACATTCCCACTAACATTGTAAAAACGTTTCCATTTCTCCACAGCCTGGCCAGCATCTGTTGTTTCTTGACTTTTTAATGATTGCCATTCTGACTGGCATGAGATGGTGTCTCATTATGGTTTTGATTTGCATTTATCTGATGATCAGTCATGTTGAGATGTTTTTCTTATGTTTGTTGGTTGCATAAATGTCTTCTTTTAAGAAGTGTCTGCTCATATCCTTTGCCCACTTTTTGATGAGGTTGTTTTTTTCTTGTAAATTTGTTTAAGTTTCTTATAAATTCTGGATATTAGACCTTTGTCAGATGGGTGGTTTGTAAACATTTTTCCCATTCTGTAGGTAACCAGGCTTTTAGTTTAATTAGATCCCATTTGTCAATTTTGGTTTTCGTTGCAATTGCTTTTGGTGTTTTAGTCGTGAAGTCTTTGCCCATGTCTATGTCCTCAATAGTATTGCCAAGATTTTCTTCTAGGGTTTTTATGGTTTTGGGTTTTACATTTAAGTCTTTAGTCCATCTTGAGTTAGTTTTTGTATAAGGTGCAAGAAAAGGGTCTAGTTTCTGTTTTCTGCATATGGCTAGTCAGTTTTCCCAGCACCATTTATTAAATAGGGAATCCTTTCCCCATTGCTTGTTTTTGTCAGGTTTGTTGAAAATCAGATGGTTGTAGATGTATGGTGTTATTTCTGAGGTCTCTATTCTGTTCCATTGGTCTATATATCTGTTTTGGTACCAGTACCGTGCTGTTTTGGTTACTGTGGCCTTTTAGTGTAATTTGAAGTCAGGTAGCGTGATGCCTCCAGCTTTGTTCTTTTTGCTTAGGACTGTCTTGGCTATATGGGGTCTTCTTTGATTCCATATGAAATAAAAGTAGTGTTTTTCTAATTCTGTGAAGAATGTCAATGGTAGTTTGATGGGAATAGTATTTAATCTATAAATTACTTTGGGCAGTATGACCATTTTCACAATGTTGATTCTTCCTATCCATGAGGATGGAATATTTTTCCATTTGCTTGTGTCCTCTCTTATTTTCTTGAGCAGTGGTTTGAAGTTCTTCTTGAAGAGTTCCTTCACATCCCTTATTAGCTGTATTCCTAGGTATTTTATTCTGTTTGTAGCAATTGTGAATGGGAGTTTATTCATGATTTAACTCTCTGCTTGTCTATTCTTGTTGTAAAGGAATGCTTGTGATTTTTGCACATTGATTTTGTATCCTGAGACTTTTCTGAAGTTGCTTATCAGTTTAAGGAGTTTTTTTTGGCTGAGATGACTGGTTTTCTAAATATAAAATTATGTCATCTGCAAACAGAGACAAATTGACTTCCTCTCTTCCTATTTGAATACCCTTTATTTCTTTCTCTTGCCTGATTGCCCTGGCCAGAACTTTCAATACTGTGTTGAATAGGAGTGGTGAGAAATGGCATTCTTGTCTTGTACTAATTTTCAAAGGGAATACTTCCAGCTTTTGCTCATTCAATATGATATTGGCTATGAGTTTGTCATAAATAGCTCTTATTATTTTCAGATATGTTCCATCAATACCTAGTTTATTGAGAGTTTTTAACATGAAGGAATGATAAATTTTATCAAAGGCCTTTTCTGTATCTATTGAGATAATCATGTGGTTTTTGTCTTTGGTTCTGTTTATATGACGGATTACGTTTATTGATTTGCATATATTGAACCAACCTCACATCCCAGGGATGAATCCAACTTGATCGTGGTGGATAAGTTTTTTGATGTGCTGCTGGATTCAGTTTGCTAGTATTTTATTGAGGGTTTTCACATCAATGTTCATTGGGGTATTAGCCTGAAGTTTTCTTTTTTTGTTGTCTCTCTTCCCAGTTTTGGTACCAGGATGATGCTGGCTTCATAAACTGAGTTATTGAGGAGTCCCTCCTTTTCAATTGTTTGGAATAGTTTCAGAAGGAATGTTACCAGCTCCTCATTGTACTTCTGGTAGAATTCGGCTGTGAATCCATCTGGTCCTGGGCATTTTTTGGTTGGTAGGCTATTATTGCCTCAATTTCAGAACTTGTTATTAGTCTATTCAGGGATTCGACTTCTTCCTGGTTTAGTATTGGGAGGGTAGGGTGTATGTGTCCAGGAATTTATCCATTTCTTCTGGATTTTCTAGTTTACTTGTGTAGAGATATTTATGGTATTCTCTGGTGGTAGTTTGTGTTTCTGTGAGGTCAGTGGTGGTATCCCCTTTATCACTTTTTATTGTGTCTATTTGATTCTTTTCTCTTCTTTATTAGTCTAGCTAGTGGTCAATCTATTTTGTTAGCTTTTTCAAAAAACTAGCTCCTTGGTTCATTTATTTTTTGGAGGGTTTTTCATGTCTCTATCTCCTTCAAGTCTGCTCTGATCTTGGTTATTTCTTGTCTTCTGCTAACTCTTGGATTAGTTTGCTCTTGCCTCTCTAGCTCTTTTAATTGTAATGTTAGGGTGTTGATTTGAGATTTTTCTAGCTTTCTGTTGTGGGCATTTAGTGCTATAAATTTCCCTCTTAACACTGCTTTACCTGCATCCCAGAGATTCTGGTATGTTGTCTCTTTGTTCTCATTGGTGTCAAAGAACTTCTTGATTTCTGCCTTAATTTCATTATTTTCCCAGGAATCATGCAGGAGCAGGTTCTTCAATTTCCATGTAATTGTATGGTTTTGAGTGAGTTTCTTAATGGTGATTTCTAATTTGGTTGCTGTGTGGTCTGTGAGACTGTTTGTTATGATTTCAGTTATTTTGTATTTGCTGAAGAGTGTTATACTTCCAATTATGTGGTTGATTTTAGAATAAGTGCCATCTGGCACCGAGAAGAATGTATATTCTGTTGATTTGGAATGGAGAGTTCTGTAGATGTCTATTAGGTCCACTTGATCCAGGGCTGAGTTTAAGTCTTGAATATCCTTGTTAATTTTCTGTCTTGTTGATCTGTCTAATATTGACAGTGGAGTGTTAAAGTCTTCCACTGTTATTGTATGGGAGTCTACGTCTCTGTAAGTCTCTAAGAACTTGTTTTATGAATATGGGTGTTCCTGTATTGGGTGCATATATATTTAGAATAGTTAGCTCTTCTTGTTGAGTTGTTCCCTTTACCATTATGTAATACTCTTCTTTGCTTGTTTTGATATTTGTTGGTTTAAAGTCTATTTTGTCAGAAACTAGGATTGCAACCCCTGCTTTTTTTTTTCTTTCCATTTGCTTGGTAAATTTTCCTTTATCCCTTTATTTAGAGCCTATATGTGTCTTTGCACATGAGATGGGTGTCCTGACAGCAAACCAATTGGTCTTGACTCTTTATCCAATTTGCAAGTCTGTGTCTTTTAATTGAGACATTTAGCCCATTTATATTTAAGGTTAGTATCGTTATGTGTGAATTTGATCCCGTCATCATGATGCTATTTGGCTGTTTTGTGCACTAGTTGATGTGGTTTCTTCACAGTGTCATTAGTCTTTATGTTTTTGTGTTTTTCCAGTGGCTGGTACCAGTTTTTCCTTTCCATTTTTAGTACTTCTTTCAGTAGCTCTTGCAAGGCAGGCATGGTGGTAATGAAATCCCTCAGCATTTGCTTGTCTGGAAAAGATTTTATTTCTCCTTCGCTTTTGTAGCTTAGTTTGGCTGGATATGAAATTCTGGGTTGAAAATTCTTTTCTTTAAGAATGTTGAATATTGGCCCCCAGTCTCTTCTGACTTACAGAATTTCTGCTGAGAGGCCTACTGTTAGTCTGATAGATTTCCCTTTTTAGGTGACCTGGCCTTTCTTTCTGGCTGCCCTTAACATTGTTTCCTTCATTTCGACCTTGGAGAATCTGATGAGTATGTGTCTTGGGGTTAATGTTCTCATGGAGTATCTTAGTAGTGGTCTCTGTATTTCCTGAATTTGCATAGTGGCCTGACTTCTAGGTTAGGGAAGTTCACCTGGATAATATCCTGAATTATGTTTTCCAGCTTGTTTCCATTCTCCTCATGTTTTTCAGGTACTCCAATCAATCGTAGGTTCAGTCTTTTTGTGAAGTCACGTATTTCTTGGAGGCTTTGTTCATTCCTTTTTATTATTTTTTTCTCTAGTCTTGTCTGCATGCCTTATTTCAGCCAGGTGGTCTTCAAATGCTGATGTCCTTTCTTCTGCCTGGTTCGTTTGGCCATTGATACTTGTGTGTGCTTCATGAAGTTCTCATGCTGTGTTTCTCAGCTCCATCAGGTCATTTATGTTTCTGTTTTTTTTTTTAATTATTATTATACTTTAAGTTTTAGGGTACATGTGCACAATGTGCAGGTTTGTTACACATGTATACATGTGCCATGCTGGTGTGCTGCACCCATTAACTCGTCATTTAGCATTAGGTATATCTCTTAATGCTATCCCTACCCCCTCCCCCCACCCCACAACAGGCCCCAGTGTGTGATGTTCCCCTTCCTGTGTCCATGTGTTCTCATTGTTCAATTCCCACCTATGAGTGAGAACATGTGGTGTTTGGTTTTTTGTCCTTGCGATAGTTTGCTGAGATGATGGTTTCCAGCTTCATCCATGTCCCTACAAAGGACATGAACTCATCCTTTTTTATGGCTGCATAGTATTCCATGGTGTATATGTGCCACATTTTCTTAATCCAGTCTATCATTGTTGGACATTTGGGTTGGTTTCAAGTCTTTGCTATTGTGAATGCTGCCGCAATAAACATACATGTGCATGTGTCTTTATAGAAGCATGATTTATAATTCTTTGGGTATATACCCAGTAATGGGATGGCTGGATCAAATGGTATTTCTAGTTCTAGATCCCTGAGGAATCGCCACACCGACTTCCACAATGGTTGAACTAGTTTACAGTCCCACCAACAGTGTAAAAGTGTTCCTATTTCTCCACATCCTCTCCAGCACCTGTTGTTTCCTGACTTTTTAATGATCGCCATTGTAACTGGTGTGAGATGGTATCTCATTGTGGTTTTGATTTGCATTTCTCTGATGGCCAGTGATGATGCGCATTTCTTCGTGTGGCTTTTGGCTGCATAAATGTCTTCTTTTGAGAAGTGTCTGTTCATGTCCTTTGCCCACTTTTTGATGGGGTTGTTTGTTTTTTTCTTGTAAACTTGTTTGAGTTCATTGTAGATTCTGGATATTAGCCCTTTGTCAGATGAGTAGATTGCAAAAATTTTCTCCCATTCTGGATGTTGCCTCTTCCCTCCGATGGTAGTTTCTTCTGCTGTGCAGAAGCTCTTTAGTTTAATTAGATCCCATTTGTCAATTTTGTCTTTTGTTGCCATTGCTTTTGGTGTTTTAGACATGAAGTCCTCGCCCATGCCTATGTCCTGAATGGTAATGCCTAGGTTTTCTTCTAGGGTTTTTATGGTTTTAGGTCTAACATGTAAGTCTTTAATCCATCTTGAATTAATTTTTGTATAAGGTGTAAGGAAGGGATCCAGTTTCAGCTTTCTACATATGGCTAGCCAGCTTTCCCAGCACCATTTATTAAATAGGGAATCCTTTCCCCATTTCTAGTTTTTGTCAGGTTTGTCAAAGATCAGATAGTTGTAGATATGCGGCATTATTTCTGAGGGCTCTGTTCTGTTCCATTGGTCTATATCTCTGTTTGGTACCAGAACCATGCTGTTTTGGTTACCGTAGCCTTGTAGTATAGTTTGAAGTCAGGTAGCGTGATGCCTCCAGCTTTGTTCTTTTGGCTTATGTTCCTCTCTAAACTGTTTATTCTAGTTAGCAGCTCCTCTAACCTTTTATGAAGGTTTTTAGCTTTTTTGCATTGAGTTAGAACATGTTCCTTTAGCTCAGTGTAGTTTTTTATTACCCATCTTGTGAGGCCTACTTCTGTCAATTCTTCCGTCTCATCTTCTGTCCAGTTCTATGCCCTTGATGGAGAGATCTTGCAATCATTTGGAGAAGAGGCACTCTGGCTTTTGGGTTTTCAGCTTTTTTTAGTTGATTCTTTCTCATCTCTGTGAGTTTGTCTAGTTTTGATCTTTAAGGCTGCTGACCCTTGGATGGGGTTTTTGTGGGAGTTTTTGTTGTTGTTGATGCTGTTGTTGTTGCTTTCTGTTTGTTTTTCTTGCAATGGTCAGGTCCCACTCTGAACTCCGGGGGGCACCAACCTGATGCCAGTAGGATTGCCCTTGTATAGGGTGTCTGACAACCCCTGTTGAGGGTCTCACCCTGTTGGGTGGCACATGGAATAGGACCCATTTAATGAAGCACTTTGTCCCTTGGTGGAGGTAGTGTGCTTTGCTGGGGAAAAACCCACTTGTCTGGGCTGCCTGGATTCCTCAGAACTACCAGGAGGAAAGGCTAAGTCTGTTGGTCCACAGAGACTGTTGTCACCCCTCTCGCTAGGGGCTCAGGCCCAGTGAGATCTGGGTTCTTTCCCTGAACCTCTGGCTGGAGTTAATGGAGTTCCTGCAGGGAAGCTGTGCACAGTGAGAAAGGATGGCCTGGGTCAGGCCTGAAGAGGCACTCTGGCTGCAGTCTGCCACAGCCAGTGTGTTGGGTTGTCAGGGACACATCTTGGGACCAAGCCATGCAGCCTCCCTGACTCCAGAAGGGGAAAAGCACAGCCTGGAGCTATAGAGGTGGATGTTGCCCTTCCCTCACCCTGGGAGCTTAGCATGTTATGCAGTTGTGAGCCCCAGTGCTGGCTACTGCCCCTCTGCCAAGGAGCTCAAATGGCTTAGACAGCAGGCAGATGCAGCTGTGGTGCTTGTCGCCCCTCCCTGCAGGTGCTCTGTAGGCTTAAGCAGATTCCAGCTGAGAGGCTGTTGAGAATCTGTGCAGCCACAGGGTTGGGATGCTAAGACTCAGTGGCATGAGTTCACGAATGGGATCTTCCGATCCGTGGGTTGCACAGTTCCCTGGAAGAAGCATGGTTTTCCTGGCTGAGTAGCACACTCACACACTGACTCCTCTGGCTGGCAGGACAGGGCTCTCCTCCCCTGTGTGGCTCTCAAAGCCACACCACACTGTTATTACTTTCTCTGTGGATCATGCCAGCCTCCTAGTCAGTTCTGATGGGAGAATCTGGATACCTTGGTTGCTGGTGAAAGATTCACACACTTATTATTGTTCTTTTCGATGGGAGCCTCCGAACGCTACTGTTTCTAGTCAGCTGTATTGGCCCCGCCCCTGTGTGTATTTTTATGCCAGTACCATGCTGTTTTGGTGACTGTAGGCTTATAGTATAGTTTGAAGTTGGATAATGTGAAGCCTTTGGTTTTGTTCTTTTGTTTAGGATTGCTTTGGCTATTTGGACTCTTACTTAGTTCCATATGAATTTTAGAATAGTTTTTTTCTAATTCTGTGAAAAATGACGTTGGTAGTTTGATAGGAATAGTGTGGAATCTCTGGATTGCTTTGGGCAGTATGGCCATTTTAATGATGTTGATTCTTTGAGCATGGAATGTTTTTCCAGTTGTTTGTGTTGTCTATCATTTTTTTCAACAGTGTTTTATAGTTCCTCTTGTAGAGATCTTTAACCTCATTGGTTAGATCTATTCCTAGGTATTCGGTTTTTTCTTTGTGTGTGTGGCTATTGTAAATGGAATTATGTTCTTGATTTGGCACTCAGCTTGCATGTTATTGGTGTATAGAAATGCTACTGAGTTTTGTACTTTGATTTTGTATCTTAAAACTTTACTGGAGTTCCTTATCAGTTTCAGGAGCCTTTTGGCACAGTCTTTCCAGGTGTAGAATCATATGAGCAGAGATGATGTTACTTTCTTCTTTTCCTCTTTGGATGCCTTTTATTTCATTCTCTTGACTGATCTTTCTGGCTAGTACTTCCATTACTATGTTGAATAGAAGTGGTGAGAGAGGGTGTTCTTCTCTCATTCTTGTTTTTAAGGGGAATGCCTCCAGCTTTTGCTTTGTCAGTGTGTTGGCTGTGGGTTTCTCATAGATGGCTCTCATTTAGAGGTATGTTTCTTCAATGCTTAGTTTGTTGAGGGGTTTTTTTTTTATCATTAAGGGATATTAAGTTTTATCAAAAGCTTATCTCATATATATTGAAATGGTGATTTTTTTTGGAGCTGGAGTCCCACTCTATCCCCCAGGCTGGAGTGCTCACTGCAACCTCCGCCTCCTGGGTTCAAATTATTCTCATGCCTCAGTCGCCAGAGTACCTGTGACTACAGGAATGTGCCATCACACCCAGCTAATTTTTGTATTTTTAGTAGAGACAGGGTTTCGCCATGTTGGCCAAGCTGGTCTCGAACTCCTGGCCTCAGGTGATCCACCGGCCTCGGCCTTCCAGAGTGCTGGGATTACAGGTGTGAGCCACTGCGCCTAGCTTTTAAATTTTGATTCTATATGGTGAATCACATTTTTAAATTTCTATATGTTAGACTAACCTTGCATTCTAGGAATAAAGCCTAGCTAATTGTGGTAAATTAACTTTGAGTATGCTGCTGGATTTGGCTTGCTACTATTTTGTTGAAGATTTTTGTGTCTATGTTCATTAGAGATATTGTCCTGTAGTTTTATTTGTTCATTGTGTCTTTGCCAGATTTTGGTAACAGAGTGATGTTGGCCTCATAGAATGAAAGGGGAGGAGTCCCTTCTTATATTTTGGAATAGTTTAGTAGAACTGATACCAGCTCTTCCTTGTACTTCTGATATAATTCAGCTGTGAATCCATCTTGTCCAGGGCTTTTTTGGTTGGTAAATTTTTTATTACTGATTCAGTATCAGAACTTGATACTGGTTTGTTCAGGGTTTCAGTTTCTTCCCTATTCAATCTTTGGAAATTTTGTGTTTCTAGGAATTTATCCATTTCCTCTAGATGTTCTAATTTATGTGCATAGAAGTCTCTGAGAATCTTTTGTATACCTGTGGGATCGATTGCAATGTCCCCTTTGTTGTTTCTGATTGTGCTTATCTGGATCTTCTGTTTTTCTTTGTTAACCTAGCTAGTGGTCTATCAATCTCGTTTACCCTTTCAAAGAACCAACTTTTGGTTTTGCTGATGCTTTGTATGGAATTTGGGGTCTCAATTAATTCAGTTATCTGATTTTAGTTATTTCTATTCTTCTACATTTGTGCTCAGCTTATTTTTCTTTTTCTAGTTTCTTTACAAGTGATGTTATATCATTAATTTGAGATCTGACTTCTTGAAATAGGCATTTCGTGTTATAAGCTTCTTTTAATGTGGCTTTAGCTGTGTCCCAAAGATTTTGGTATGTGTTTTCTCTGTTTTCACTTATTTCAAAGAACTTTTAAATTTCTGCCTTGATATCATTGTTTACTCAAAAGTTGTTGAGGAGCCAGTTGTTTAATTTCTATGCATTTCTGTGGTTTTGAGAGATCTTCTTGGTATTGTTTTCTGTTTTTATTCTATTTTAGTCCAAAAGTATGACTGGTATGATTTTTTTCTTTTTAATTTATTGAGACTTGCTTTCTGGCTGAGTGTATAGGGTCAATCTTCAAGTATGTCCTGTGTGCATATGAAGGATGTATGTGTTCTGTGGTTGATGGGTGGAATATTCTGTAGATGTCTATTAGGTCCAGTTGGTCTATTCTGTAGATGCCTATTAGGTTATGTGGAATTGATGTCTAAAATTTCTTTGTGAATTTTCTGCCTCAGGGATCTAATGATGTCCATGGGATGTTGAAATACCTCACTGTTATTATGTGACTAATTCTTTTCTCAGGACTAGAAGCACTTGTTTTATGAATCTCGGTGCTCCGAAGTTTGGTGCATAGGTGTTTAGCATGTGTAGGTATTCTTGTTGAATTGAACCCTTTATCATTATGGAATACATCCTTGTGCTTTTGTATGGTTGTTGGGTTAATATTCTCATTTCTTAAAGAAGTCACAAAATGCCAGGTTCAGTTGCTGGTTTCATCCCAGCACTTTGAGAATCTGAGGCTATAGTATTCCTTGAGGCCAGGAATTTTTGACCAGCCTAAATGACCTAGCAAGACCCTGGTTGTACAAAGAACTTAAAAAATTATTCAGATGTGATGGTGTGTTTTTGTAGTCATAGCCACTTGGGGAAGTGAGGTAGGGTGACTGCTTTAGGCCAGGAATTCGAGGTTCCAGTGAGCTATGATTGTACTCTGGCCTGGTGACAGTGCAAGACCTTGTCTATAAGACAAAGATAGATATTTTAAATTATTTTAAAATTAGTTAATAGATTTCTACTTCTCTAGCTTCACTTGGATATTAATATGTTAGTTAATAGATTTCTGCTTCTTTAGATTCACTTTCATTTTGGTCCCTTTATTGAGCCATGTGTTTTGGTTACTTTGATGTCTTGTGATTTTGTTGATATTTTGATCAAGTAAGAGACAGCTACCTATTCCATCTATTATGGAATGAATTTGTACATGTGAAAACTGATACCCATCAGGTACTCTAGTCATTCTGGGAGATTCTTCATACTGTTGTCAGGATGTTTCTTCTCTGGACTACTGTGTGTATTTTCCTATTAAAAAGGTTTGCTTTTTTCTTTTTCTCTTAGGAGCCTTTAATCTCCCCCTTTGTTGAGTGTCATAGGCACTACTGTCTCTCTGTTCTTGTAACAAGCATTCATGTTTGTTCTCAGTTGACCCGACATATCATTTCAACTATATCACCATTTTCTTCAGCACCACATATTAAAGGAAGCAATGGCCAGTCTTTAGATAGCCCCAGAATAACCCAGAACTTTGGACATATGTTTTGCTCCTTTTATTTTTCTTTCCTGAGAGCGAAACAGAATGCGAAAAATTTTTGTGTAACTGCACTGTGCTGTGGTGCACAAATACAACAAACTTTCTTCCTTCTATATGTGACCATTCTTGGCTTTGTGTTCACCTAGGTGCTGCAAACTCACCTGGCTTTAGTCACCCTATTACATTTAAGTTCATATATCAATTGAGAAAACAAAGGGGCCTCAAGTTTTTGATTCAACTATCATGGTGTTCTCAACGTGATATAATTTGTGTATTAGATTTATAAAGTATTTTCACCTGAATTTAGTAATTGGAATTTTGAAAACTTTTGGTATCTTTCAGATATCTTTTCTCATGATACTCAAGGCCTCTTAAGAAAGAAGCTTATAGAAGCATCATTCCAAAAAGTGATATTGGATGGATATGGGAGCTGTGGCCCTCAGAATTTAAACTTAAGGAAAGAGTGGGAAAGTGAGGGTAAGTGTGAAGGTCACAATGGATATTATGATGGACATACAAAATGTAAGACAACTACCTATAACAAAAACCTCACTGTTACAGGAGGTCAAAAACATGAAAAAACTCAATTTATGTCAGTTGCTTTTTCTAAACCATGTGTTTCTGTAAGTAAGTGTCAACATCAATTTTTGAAACTTACCTTTTCTTTTAAAGGAAATTTGGATAATCCGAATAGTGACTTAGTCCATGTTTCAAATAATCATTTAAACCAATTAAAATATAGAACTGGAGTAAATGTTCAGTCAAATATTTCTGAAAAGGAGAGATTTAAAAACGAGGAGGTGATTTCTAAATATGATCAATTTGATGGATCTTTGTTAAAAGTTTGTTTCACCAACAAATAACACCTCGTTCTGCCTGTGATCAATATAGAAAGGTCTTCATTCATTCATCATTGCTTAATCAATGTCAAGGAATAGATAATTTGGGAAAATATCACACACATAATAAAACTTTGACAGCCTTTAGGCAGGACTATACCCTAAATAATTACCAGTATATTTGTGTTGCAGAGAAAAATCAGTACAATAAATCTGATACAACATTAAGCCAAGGCATAAGCCCCAGAAGACATCAGAAAACTCATTTTCTACATAACCATTGCAAACGTAAAAAATGTGAGAAAGCCTTTCATGAATGCACCAACCATGTCCATCAGAGTATCTTTATTCAAGAGAAGTCTGCCAAATGTAATAAGTGTATAGAAACTTTTATCCAGTCATCAAAACATACTCAGCCTCAGAGAATCCATATTGGAGAAAAGTCACACAGATGTAATAATGGTGAGAAAATCCTTAGTAAATTGTCAAGTCTAAGAAAACATAAGATAATCCATAATGAAGAGAAACCTTACAAATGTAAAGAATGTGACAAAGCCTTTAACCATCGTTCACACCTTACTCAACATCAAATAATTCATACTGGAGAGAAACCATACAAATGTAAAGAATGTGGCAAAGCCTTCAATTCTAGTTCATATTTTACTAGACATCAGAGAATTCACACTGGAGAAAAACTTTACAAATGTAAAGCGTGTAGCAAATGTTTTACTCATTCTTCAAATCTTCTTGTGCATCAGAGAATTCATACTGGAGAGAAACCTTACAAATGTAAAGAATGTGGTAAATCATTTAAAGTGTCTTCAGCCCTTACTCAGCATGAGAGAATTCATACTGGAGAGAAACCCTATAAATGTAAGGAATGCAGCAAAGCCTTTAACTGTAGGTCGTACCTAACTAAACATCAGAGAATTCATACCGGAGAAAAACTTTACAAATGTAAATCATGTAGCAAATCTTTTTCTCGTTCCTCAAGTCTTATTGTCCACCAGAGAATTCATACTGGAGAAAAACCCTATAAATGCAAAGAATGTGGCAAAGCCTTTAATTGTAGTTCACGCCTTACTCAACATCAAAGAATTCATACCGGAGAGAAACCCTACATATGTAAAGAATGTGGCAAAGCCTTTAACTGTAGTTCATCCCTTACTAAACATCAGAGAATTCATACTGGAGTAAAACTTTACAAATGTAAAGCATGTAGCAAATCTTTCTCTCATTCCTCATGTCTTTCTGTGCATCAGATAACTCATACTGGAATGAAACCATATATATGTAAGGATTGTGGCATCTCCTTTAACCGGTCTTCAAACCTTAGACGACATCAGATGATTCATACTGGAGAGAAACCCTACAAATGTAAAGAATGTGGCAAATTATTTAATCGATGCTCAACCCTTACTCGACATAAAAGTATTCATACTAGAGAATTTCTATAGTTGTAGTAAATGTGAAAAGAGTTTTATCCAAAATTTAGAACTTAAAAATCACCATAGAGTTTATAGGGAAACCGACTTTACAGATTGAATAAATGGGAGGAAGTATTTAATCAGAACTCAAATCTGAATGTGTCAGGACTTACACAAAAAAGGACTAAAGCACAGATCCCCACTTTAAAATTAAATAAGAGTATTTGTTATGGAGGATTACTCTAAAGCCAAAGCAGTTACTTATTTTGTTATGTGTTTCAAATGAGCAAAAGCATTGATGTTTGGACAAGTAATTATTCAGTGAGCATGTTATTTGTATTGAAAACATTTGAAATTTGTATAAAGCAAATCATAATTTAATTCTCAGATTAGTTGTTATACCTTAATGCCTAGTGTTTATATAAAAACATATAGTCTATTTTTTCTGCATCAGAGCTGTAAGAGGTCGTTCTATAGTAGGTGAACATCATTAATATCAACTTATTTTCTTGGAAATTTAATGGCAAATGTAAAATACATGAAGAAAATCTAAAAGAGGCTCTTTGTGTTTGAATCATTAAACAGTAATATGTGTAAACATATAGTACATATTTAGGGCATTAGTATTCTATACTAAAGTAAAAGAGGAATATTCTGAATTTATTTATTACATCAATTGCTCCTTAAGTAGAAAAACACTGGTCAGTTATTTAAAATACTGGCATACCTTTATAGTACAATGAAGTAGTAATCTTGAATATTATTTGATGTGTTAAAAATAAAAACATCTTCACAGATATCAGAGAAAAGTGAAAACTCATATCTGAAAGATTATAAATATACTTTATATCAATTTTCCAGAGAACTTAAACTTCTAATAATATTGGTAATATTCTCATGGTTACTATTTTATATTCTTTCCTGCTTTTTGTAGCTACTGGTGTACTATGACAGTTATAATAAAGATTATATGGGGGTATACTTAAATGCCATACTTTTAAAATCCTGAATCATTGTTTATAAAGTTTTATTCAATATTTTTCTTTGCACATGCCCTTTTTCAGTCCAATTGAACACTTAGAGATTTTTCTTTGCTTTCACTTGCATTAAATGGAATATACAGATGTACTAAGATAGAAAGAAAAAGGTGAAAGAGAACTATACAGGCAGAAATGCATGTGTGTGTACCTGTCTTCAAATGGAAAAGAAAATGATGGATCACAACAGGAAACTGGAGAACTGTTGATTTATTACAGTTCTCAAATTAGAAACCTCCCAAATTCTTAAAGCTAAATTAGCTTTTCATTGCACACTGAATTTTTCTCTGATAAATCTAATGTCTTCTGGGTTCAGACTTTATCCCGTACAAATCCTTTTTTCTTGCCTGTGATTCATGTGAGAAGAATTATATAATTTTCTTATTTCAAAGCTTATAAACTATTACTTATAAGTTCTCATGGATTTTAAGAATGTTTTTGTAAAATTTAATGGTGCTGTCCAGGTGTGGTGGCTCACGCCGGTAATCCCAGCATTTCGGGAGGCTGAGGCAGGAGGATCATTTGAGGTCAGGAGTTTGAGACCAGCCTGGCCAACATGGTGATATCTCGTCTCTACTGAAAATACAAAAATTAGCTGGATGTGGTGGCACACACCTGTAATCCCAGTTACTCAGGAGGCAAAGGCAGGAGAGTTGCTTGAACTGAGGAGATGAAGGTTACAGTGAGCCAAGTTTGTGCCTCACACTCCAGCCTGGGTAACAGAGTGAGACTCTGTCTATAAACAAACAAATTATCTGTCATCTACCTATAGACATAACCCTACTGAGGAGGATGGGGATAAAAGGTCTGCATCTAAGTCACTTTGAAAAACAGTATTTTGATTGAATGCTGTAAGACTACACAAATGCTGTATTCTACTGAGTAATATTTTATTTTCCTACAAGGATATGCATTAGCAATTCTGAAACAGTTTTACATGTTATTATATAATATATGGAGGCTGTTTCTCAGTGTAGTTCACAAAAGTTAAATGGTGAATGCTAGCATGAATCTTGTGGTCCTAGCCCAAAGTTGGAAATATCAGGATGAACCCATGACTAATACATCTGGATGGATGGATGGATGAATAGATATAAAGATAGGTAGGTAGGTAGGTAGGTAGGTAGATAGATAGATAGATAGATAGATAGATAGATAGATAGATAGATGAAGCGATGTCTAAGATATCTGGAAGGATGGATGGATGGATGGATGGATAGTTAGATAGATAGATAGATAGATAGATACATAGATAGACGATTCAGAGATAGATAATGTTCCAAACTCTTGAGGGCCAAGAACTGGTGACATCTTGTATCAACACATCTAGGTCTACAATCTTGGTTTCTAAACAACATTCATTAAAAGGACCCAAGGGTTGAAGTTAGAAAATACAAGTTGAGCTAGAGTATCTTGTAAAGCCACAAAGAAAAAAGTGCTTAATAAAAATGATGGGGACTTTTCAAAGGGAGCCAACCTGAAAGACCTCCCAATGGTCCAAGCTCCAACAATATGAGCAATAAGTTATGATAGCTTTGGATTATGGCCCACAGAATAAAGTAATACTCATCTCTACTGTGTGAATAAAAGAGATTAAATAAGGAAAGAAGGAATGAAATCTACAATATTTAAAATACAGATCAATGTAGTTGGATAATGCAAAATAAATCAACACTAGAACATCACAGTAATAATTACCATAGGGAAGATTCCCCGAGGAATTCAAAAATTTCAGGAAAAACTTAAACACTAAAGAGTGTATTTGGGCCAGTCTCGGTGGCACATGCCTGTAATCCTAGCACTTTGGGAGGCCTCTGCGGGTGGATCACCTGAGGTCAGGAGTTCAAGACCAGCCTAGCCAACATGGTGAAACCCCGTCTCTATTAAAAATGAAAAAATTAGTCGGGCATGGTGGTGGGTACCTATAATCCCAGCTACTTGGGAGGCTGAAGCAGGAGAGTCACTTGAACCTGGGAAGCAGAAGTTGTTTTGAGCCAAGATCATGCCATTGCACTCCAGCCTGGGCGACAAGAGCAGAACTCTGTCTCAAAAAAAAAAAAAGAAAAGAAAAGTGTATTTGCATATTTTAAGTATCTACCATCTAATATTTATTAATACAATTTTTTCTTAATTTCTTAGACTTGTGACTATTTGAAACAAATTATAACACTGTATTGTAGGATTTATAATTTGTAGTTGTAAAATTTATAACACATGGAATAAGAAGATAAATGGAACTGTTCTGTAGCAAATTTTTCATGTTTTATATTTAAGACAGTATAGTATTAACTCTAAAAGTATGGTGGATATGTTAAAGATTCATATTGTATTCCCTGCAGCAACCACTAAAAAATGCAAAGAAGTGTAATGTAAATGCTAAAAAAGGAGATAATTATAAAATATTTATTTGCACAATATTTATGTATCTTTTAGTCATAATAGCCCAAAACAGGAAACAACCAAAATGTCCATTAATAAGAAAATGAACTAATTGTATAGCTTTTAGAACAAAATACAGCTCAGGAATATGAAAAACCAAGCACACATCCTGGATAAAATTCATAAACCTGCTCAATGAGAGAAAAGTTGGACACAAAATTGTACTTTATGTATTTTGTATTTTATTCCAGGCAAAATAATCCTATGGTGAAAAAAATCAACAAGATAATCTCTGCTTGAGAAAAAGGACCAAAGACAAGTGAATTTTCTGAGGGTGATGAAAGTGTTGCTTCGAAAAGGGGTGAAGTTTATATGGGTCTATTTATTTGTCTAACATGTACAGTTAAGGTTTATGCCTTGCAATGTATGTACATCTTCACAAAAAAAATCTTAAAAAAATTAAATGGGTGGGGGTAGGGAAAGGGTTGAAGTATAGATGAAGCAGAAGTGGTACATGATTAGTAGTTGAAGCTGGGGGCAGGTCTATATATTTTATTTTTATGTCTTTAATAGCATTTGTATAAATGTACAATATTCGTTTACAATGTTAGCTCAGGATCTTGTTTACCTTTGGACAGGGAGGGAGGGAGAAATTTATTTTCTGGGTAGGAGTAAAGCTGGTTCTATTCCTCAGTTATGTAAATTATCTGTTATAATCCAAAAAGCTTTACATGAATGTTTCTGTATGTAATGTGGTATATCAATAAAAAATTAAATATTACATATTTGCACCAGAATCCTAACTCACTATCTCAGAATGTTAGCAGCATTTTCTTTTGTTGTAAAGTGGAACACAATCTCATGGCATTAGCAGATGGGTTTGAATATTCTAAAGTATCAACGTCCTAATCTCATGGGCACCTCTTGGGTCTTTCCATTTTTGCCTTCATTTGCTAAGTGGCATGCTTTTGATTTTTTGAGATGAAACTTTTTCCCAGCAAAGTCTTTTCCCCACAGTGATGCTCTGAAAGCCAGGACACCTAGCACAGGACCCTGGGCATAGTATGCACTCAGTACATGTGGAGCATGTTGATCAGGAACAAAAGGAGTAGCAAAGGTCAGTTCCTGCAAAGGTGAGTAGATAATACAGGTATGACTGAAAGGCTGCAACTCAGGAGTAAACATTTTACATTCATTCAAGAGACAATTTGCAACTAGTACACCAAAAAATTTTGGCTTGAAGCAGTACTTTGGGGACTTGGCTAAACTCTGTAATCACTTGGAGAACTTTAAACAATACTGACGTCTGGGCCCTACTCCAGGGATTTTGATTTTATTGGTCTGTTGCAATTTAGGTTTTGGGAATTGTAGGGCCTCCGCATGTGACTGTAATGTGGAGCCAGGGGTGAGACCCACTGTTTCAGGGTGAGGGATGCATTAGCTGTGTGTGATTTCCATGTGTGCTGCAAGTATTTAACCTATGACCACTCCTGCATTTGGAGTCTTGGAAATTGCAGCAGGAGGAAATGTCTCTCTACAGATCTATTTTTTATGTCACTTGCTTTTAGAGTAAGAGGTTATTTCAGGCACAGTAATTTGATTTAATCTGTTTTCAAATACTAAATCTGAAAATACTAAAATGAAAAGAATTTGCAAATGTGAGAATTTGCAAACATGTGGAGTGTGTTCTTATGTGCTTTCCAGTTTCTCTGATGATAAGAAATGAGTAATGTTGGGCCTTGATTTCCTAAACTCAGCCCTCAGTCACTTTCTCAAATTATTTGAAGACCTTCCAAGTTGCTTCAGAAGCATTGTCCAAAGGAGATTATTCCCAGTAGTGAAGAATAATAGATGGATGAGAATGTCTAAGGAATCCTACTTCTGTCGCAGAAGTGGCACTCTCCAGAACCTCAAGGGCCCATGGAGTTCATGGGCTTTGGAGTCAGGCAGAGTTGACCCTGAGTCCCATCCCAGCCTCTTAATAGACTAGTTACTTGACTTGGAACAGTTATGCAAGACAAAGCACAATGATACTGATTGCAGTAATGGGAACAATTCATTCCTCTCTGTATCCATGCCCTTTGCAATGCATGTTTTTAGCTACTCCCATGGAGGGAAAGATTCTGTTTTTCCAGTCCTTGGATCTGACTGGCCTTATTTGCTGTGGCCAATTCATACTTACTGTTCTAGTGAAACAATTAGGCATGTTTTGCTCCTCATTCTAGACTTTAATTAAAATTAAAATTTTATGATATTTTATTTCTACTGTATTTTGCTGTATTCATTCTGCTCAGTATTCTAGTTCACCGGTCCTCTTATCTCTGTTTAATTTAGTGGTGAACCTATACATTGTCTGGTAACTTAATTTTGTATTTTCGTATTCTATTGGGCTGTCGTTCAAATGTGGCTTTTAAACTTCAGTTACTTGTTCTTTCTACAAAAATAAACATTGATTTTCTACTTTTCATTGTATTCATTTAAACATTTTAAATATAATTCCAATGTGCAAAACTGTTGCATATTTTTTCTTCAGAAATTTCTTCCTTGTTATGTCACTCAGTTTTTCCTTTGGTTCTCACTTTTGGGAGATACCATATTTGAGGTGTCTATAGTCATATTATTTCCAGTGTTTCTTTCATTTTCCCTGGGAACAAGATGAAAAACACACATAGATTTGACATCCTTGTGATGAGTCAGTATCTGAAGGGAGCATTTTTTTTCTTAGTTTGACTACTCTGGATCATTATCTTGATTTACTTCTGCTCCTGTGAAGTTCTTATATTTTCCTTTAACTCCATTCAGCAACTTAAAGGTTCTTGTAACTTCTTGAGGATTTTTTTAGTTGTCTATATTAAAATATTTAATAATATATAGCATTTTTCCTAAAAGCACAAATATCCACAGTGTACATGAGTAAAATATTTCAATAGACATTGTGCAGCATACAGCAGAATCTTATGAGATATCCCGTTTCTTCATTCAGAACATTCCTCTCGAATATACCATGTGGTAATAGTAATTTGTAAACAGTAGTTTTTTGATACTTAAAATTTTGTTTTTTGCACATTTCCGAAACGATATACTTCATGCCAATGAACAGAACTGATCTAGATACAGCCAGAATTACTGTTTCTCTATAATATTAAAATAATATTGATAAAATTATGTACCTGAATTCAGGTCTTTTGGCTTTAATCACTCTGCTTCCTTTTTAGCATGTTTCTGAATTTACAAAAGAATCTGTTTGGATTTCTACTTGTTCTATAAACTAATTAAAAGAGACAAGGGAAATTTGTGTGTGGCTAGATAGTACTTGTTGGTTACAATTTATAATTTCTAGTGTCATTTTAGTTGCCTTGAAAATAGTGACCTCTTGAATTTCTGCTATCATAAAATTCATGTCATTGTTAGGCCTACACTTTGCCATTCAGTTTTTTTCACCTCTGGTACTAGAATATAATGTGTATCTTCTCTTTACTGGTGAAAAATGCTACACATTTGTCTCTACCTAATTAGTGAAACTATATTTAGCATGTTTATGTTCATTTAGTTACTGTATACCAAAACATTTTATTTCTGTGATGGTCTTAATTTTACCTAACGGGATTGTAAATGGCTTAGTTTGTCATTTTTCATGAATTTCTGTATTATACATTTCAGGTATTAAGTCCACGTGTAATTGGCTTAGAATAATCCCTAACACATTGTAGGGGCTAATACATACTAACCACTCTGCTTCCTCAAATTTCTATTTGTTCATACCATTCTGCATTTACTAAATTATTTTGTGTATGTTATTCACATTTATTTTTCTGTCCTCTCTAAATATTTATTAAAAAGAGAAGGTAGGCTAATGTGTCATGTTGATAAAATTCAATGTCAAATGGTATGCTTCATTGTTTTTCGTTAGATATAATAGCTTTTTTGACTCAATGAAGTTTTAGTCATATTCTCAACCCTAAAACAGAGGAAGCTTTTCTATAGCTGATTGAAATTTATCATTTAAATTTAAAAAATTATGGGTAAAGAATTTTACCCTTTAGCTTATGCTAGTAGTGTTGCAGGGTCTTTACTCATATTCCCCTTTTTGTTTTCTGAGCATATTTTTGAGAGTGGAATGGACACATTCTACTATGGCCTGCCCTTGGGGGTTATACGGGAGGCCTGTGGAATGTTGGATGTTCCATGTGTGAGAAAATTGTTGAAATTGTGAGCTGGCATAAGCCAGACCATTATCAGTTTTAATTTTTGTGAGCTGCCCCATAAATGCAAAAGCTAACAGAAGAGGTTTAGTAACATATCGGATGGAGTCTCCAGGAAGAGCATGTGCGCTAATTAGCTGAGAATTGGTATCAATGGATACAAGTACATATCTTAGTTTTCCACATTCGGGGATGTGTGTAACATCTGTTTGCCATAACTGATTAGGTTCTAGTTTTCTAGGGTTAACACCTGTTGAAGGAGAGGACATGCCTGTGAGCTGGCAATCTGGGCATTGCAGGGTAATATGTTTAGCTAGTCTTTGAGTAAGTTGAAATTGTTTAGTTAACTTCCTCCAACTTTGGTGGAACAATTGATGTGATTTGGTGGCTTGGTCAAGCAGTGACATCATGACTTGCAGGTCATGACTGATTATTGCCATAAACCAGTGGGTCAGGCAGTGAGCTGTGGGCTCGAATATGTGTGATAAAAATAGGATGTGTACGTTGATCCAGCAATTGCTGAAGTCAAAGAAAATGTGCACACAGGGTGGGCTTGAGAGTAGACTTAATGAGGGCTGTTTCAAGGTTCTGCAATAGAGTAAGCAGAGTCAGTAACAATATTCATGGGCTGAGCAGAAAAGGTCTCCAGGGCCACTATTATGGCTGCAACCTCAGCTCTCTGAGTGCTAGTAAATCCAGAACGAGTTAGGGAATTATATGGTCTCCACCACACAGCCGCTTTTCCATTTTTACCAGAGCTGTCAGTAAAAAGCGTTAAAGTGTTAGTTATGGGGGGAGTGAACTACTTTTGTAGGCACAATTACTGGAGTATTAGATAAGAATTGAAGTAGTTTGTCAGCAGGAAGGGCATGCTCTATATGACCTGCATAATCAGAGAGTGCTATCTGAAGATCTAGAGATAGGGGCAATACTCCCTCGAATTGCTTTTTACTCAAAGGAATTCTTATGACATCAGGGTCATAACCTAGCAACTGATTGCGTCATCTATGGCATGTATAGATGACTTTACTAACTAGCTGGATATAGGGAGATAGTGTTTTAGTCCCAGTATGTGAGCAAAAAATCCATTCTAGGAAGCATAGCCCTGGAGCTATCCTGTTGGGGAATGTTTAGTAGGAAAAACAAACAATTTAACTGAATGTTTTGGGTCTATGCAATCTAGTTGCCTCTGAGAAATAGCTTGCTCTATTTCCTCAATTTCCCTTTTTGCTGCAGGAGTTAAATACCTGGGAGAGTCTAGGGCTGTATTGCCCTTTAGGATAGAAAACAGGTTTTGCTGGATCCCTTCCTTACACCTTATACAAAAATCAATTCAAGATGGATTAAAGACTTAAAGGTTAGACCTAAAACCATAAAAACCCTAGAAGAAAACCTAGGCATTACCGTTAAGGACATAGGCATGGGCAAGGACTTCATGTCTAAAACACCAAAAGCAATGGCAACAAAAGACAAAATTGACAAATGGGATCTAATTAAACTAAAGAGCTTCTGCACAGCAAAAGAAACTACCACCAGAGTGAACAGGCAACCTAAAAAATGGGAGAAAATTTTTGCAACCTACTCATCTGACAAAGGGCTAATATCCAGAATCTACAATGAACTCAAACAAATTTACAAGAAAAAAACAAACAACCCCATCAAAAAGTGGGCAAAGGACATGAACAGACACTTCTCAAAAGAAGATATTTATGCAGCCAAAAAACACATGAAAAAATGCTCACCATCAGTGGCCATCAGAGAAATGCAAATCAAAACCACAATAATTTCTCTCCCTTTAAAGGCCACTGTTCTATCCAAATTGGATCTTGAGAGAGCCACATCAGGGGTAGGGGAGGGATAATAACAGTGGCCATTATTAGAAAGGGGTCTGCAGAGTGACCCCCCCATTGGGCTAATAGGTCCCATCCCCAAAGATTAACAGGGATGGGCATGACTAGAGGCTGTATAACTGCCTTTCTTCCCTCCAAATTGCAACATGTTAGGGGGCGTGTGCTCTACTTGGCTGTGTGCACTTCCCCGATGATGACAATTTTTTGTTTCTGAGTGACCCAAGCCCACGTTTCTGGCCAGTTTTGATCACTAATGATTGAAATATCCACCCCTGTGTCCAATAAGCCAGTAAAATTTTTATTTCCAATTTTTAAGGTAATCATGGGTCTCTAATCAGTGATTAATTGGTTCTCATATACTCCTGTGGCTCCCATGCTTCCAAAACTTCCCTTTCCCCTTTCCTTTCCCTGGCTGTTGGGGACCCAGTATGGTAAGAGTAGTAACTGAGCTATCTTTGATCCAGGAGGAAGAATATGCAGACCTTTACATTCCATCATAACTAATATCTCACCTTGATAATCACTATCAATTACCCTGGTGAGCACATTAATTCCTTTACTGGATAGGCTTGATTGCCCTAGGACTACTCCCACTGTTCCCAGAGGCAGTGGGCCCCAGATCTTGGTTGCAACCCTTTTAGGGTCTTCTCCTTTTAGCACTAATTCGTTGGGGCAGAGTAAGTCCAGTCCTGTGCTCCCAGTGGTAGCTGCTCTGAGAGAGAGGACTGTGGGCTTTCCATTGACCGAGGAAAGCTGCTGGCATTAAAATTTGGACCTGCATTGATTTGCCCAATGTTTCCCCTTTTTACATTGGGGGCATATAAAAGGGGGTTCTTTTCCTGAGTTACCTTGGTCTCTATTATTGGGGCATTCCCTCTTAATATGACCTGGCTTTCCACATAGAAAACAATTTGGGTTTTTCTCCCTTTTCACTTTAGGAGGCCTTAATGCCATAGCCAATATTTTGGCTTTGTGTGTTTCAGTCCCCACCAGTTTATATGCTTGTATAAGTTCCCTGACTGTGGCTGCCTTTCCTCTGATTGCCTGCATTGCTTGCTGGCAGTCGACGTTAGCATTTTCATAAGCCAGTTGCAGCAATAAGATATCAGCGGCCTGGGCATGACTAATTTATCTCTTAATTGCCTGGGTTAACTGATTGATAAATTTAACAAATGGCTCCTGAGGCCCTTGTGGAACAATTATGAAAGATCCCTGTTGAACACTGCTTTCAGGAATTTGGTCTCAAGCCCTGAGAGCACACAAAGACATTTGTGCATAGGCCTGGGTATCAAAATGTAGTTGTACATTGGCATGGGGACCCCTACCCTGGAGCATAGCAGTTGTTATGTCTTGCCTGGCCAACTGATTCTGGTTGGCTTGTTGTTCACATAAGTCATCATATTCTGCCTTCCAGAGGAGGTATTGGCTGGGCTCTAAAGGTTTTTTAGCTAGCACTGACCAGTCCCATGGACTCATACAGAAGTTGTCTGCTATGGCTTCAATTCGTCCTTTCATAAATGGGCTAGCAGCTCCATTTTCTTTAGTGCTTTTTCTTATCTCTTTATAAGCGTCAAAAGAAATGGGTTCAGTTACTTGATTGCCTGTTGATCTTGCATTACTGGGCAGTTTAAGAGCTCCCCTTCTAATGTCACTTGCCCAAGACAGGGTCCCATAGCTGTAGTGTATCCCTTGTCTTTTTCCAATTTATTGGAGGAGGGGTCTCAGGAAAAACCTCTGTTTCCTCTTTGGTATTTTTGCCTGTTAATGGTGGGGCTGAGGGAGAAGGAGGTGGTGGTAAGGTAGGTGACAGTTCCTCCTCCCTTACCTTTTAGGCTCTTCTGTGTAGAGCAGGACCAAAGCAGCCCTAATTAAAGCACATAATGTTAGAGATGTTACTGGGACCCGTTGCCCTTGTTCATGATGTTGTTTAAGACTTTTACCCACTTGTTCCCAGAGCTGTATGTCTAGCATACCTTCTTCCGGGAACCATGGGTTATGGGAAACAACAGGTTGCGTTAGGTCCCTTAATTGAGCCTGCAAAACTGAGGCTTCACTAGCTTTAAGCAGCTGTTTCAATACTTTTATATACTGTTGCTGTTGAGCTGATAACTGTTGTCGCATGATGAAACCGTAGCCTAAACAATTCCCTCGAACTTGGAAATCCCAAGGGGGCACCAATGACTTACTGCGCAATCTCTTCACCTTCATTTTTGAGGTTTCTGTCATGATCCATTGTAGCGTTCCTCACATGGGGCACAACCTGCCGAGTTTGTCCTTCAGACTGGCTGAGCGACGGATGAAAGAAGTATGCTGACACAGGTATTTTGCCTGACAGCGCAACTAGGGGAACTATACTCCTTAGAACCACGATGAGAGTGCAGCTCAGCCAAGAGTGCTTATTGCCCTATAAGCCAGTGATGCTCACATTTATTTAGCACAGATTTAATGACAAAGGCTTGGAGCAAACACAATTTGTGGGTAATAAACATTGTCAAACCCACAAGTAGAGAGCAATCCTGTGCACGAATTATCAAAGGTTGGTTTCTGGAGACAGGAGTAAACAAATTTATCTAGACAAGTTCATTTGCATTCCCTTGTTATCTACCCTTTGCTCTCAGGCTCCAGAGAAGGGAATTTGGCTGCCTTCAGCCAAATTTTATTTAGAAGCTTTTGCAAAATCTCCCAGCCTTCCAAGAAGGTTTTCATCTTTCCTTATAATTTTCCCCACCACCCTGACCAATCTTCTACACCACAGGGGGTAGGGGAAGGAAGGAAGGAATTAAGGGCACCAGAGAGAGAAAGTAAAAGGTAAAAGACAATATTTTAGTAAGGAAGTGACATTCCATAGCTTCAGTTGTATTCTTTTCCCAAGAGGTGAGTCGCTAACCACTTACTGGTTACACTAGGATGTGTATACTGGGAAATGGGGATCTTCGTGAACCATCATGGAGGCTGCTTACCACAGAGGCCAAGGTGAGACAAAAGGACCTGATTCTAAATAGAATGAGAAGACGTTGGAAGGTCTATAGCCTCAGGATGACATCGTCAAAATTTTATTTAATTTCAGTTCCCTTATGGTGGATCTTGGGAAATGAGACCAGGAGGGGAAGTGACTTTCCCAACACGCAACTTATAAAACCCAGGCATGTTTGAGTTGTTCCACCCATGTAATTCTTCCATCTCTTTTTATATTAGTTACATGTGATACCAACTCACGACCATTGTATTATTTCACATGCTCCTGATGAGTTCCCTTAGAATTAGGTAACTCCTGATGAGTTCTCTTAGAATTGGGTAACTAGCATGATCTCTATTGTGCAGGTTGGGAGACTGTGGAGCCCCCAAGAAGCACAATGACATATCTAGGATGACATAACTCATAAATTTATTAAAAGGAGGTTCTGACCTAGCTCTCCTCAACCTGTCATCCTGGCTTCACTGAGTCTTCTCAGAATCTGGGGGAGAGGGGTCTGTGTTTGCATAATTGTGTGCAGGTAATAAAATAACATGGAGCAGGAAGATGAGCAGTCAGCATCCTAGAGGAGCCTATGGGTAGGTCTTAGTAAAAGGATGAAACCTTGAAGAAGTGACCTCACTTCCTTGGTGAAAGACCCCAACAGAACTTAGAACTTTGGTAACCAGGCACTCATATTTCTGAAGACAGTCTCCTATCAAGTTTAGTTAGCCAGAGACTGTCAAGAGAGCAAGATGTTCTGCTGTATCCCAACTTTTCAAAGCTCTTGCTTCAGTGAGAGCCTTTTCTAAAGATGCAGAATTTGGCTTAGCTCTCAATCCCCAACCTCCATGCTTCAGGTCATTTGGCAAGAGGTACCCCAAAGTAACCACAGGGTAGCCCTTTCCAGACCAATCCTCACTTGAGATCCCATCTGGACAACCTCATACCCTCTCCTCATCACCATATATGTGTGTAGGGGTGGGGAGCAGAAGGTGAGGTGAGGCTCTTCCTGGGAAGGAGCAGGTTGTTAGGTGCTGGAACTCTACTGCGTTCATACCCCAGGTCATGGCTGGCAGGATGGGAAGGTGAGTGTTGGGGATTAAGCTTATTTACTCAGATTTGATTTTGAGACCTCAAGCTGTCATGTGGCTTTTGCCCTGGCTGGAGGTTCATGGAGATGCTCCTCTGTGCCTAATCTAGAATGCAGAACTTTAATCAGAGTATCTCCTTGTGGGAACAGCCAAGCAGGCTACTAACACCTCTCAGTCAATTTGCTGGGTACTCTATTTGCAGAATTGCATGCAGGAGATCAGTGAAGAGCTGTTTGATAGGTCCAATTGTATCTCCTTGGAAGAAAGATACTTGCGCCACATCACCAACCATGGTCACTGCTGGGCAAGCATGAGAGTGAGCACAAAAGGTTCATCACAGACAAGGACCTGAGATGACCAGGGTGGGCCCAGGGCCTAAACCTGAATATACAGACTTCCCTGGGCTCTGTCCTATACTTTTGCCAATTTACTGGCCGATAGTCCCATTCCCAAAGGAAACTGGCCTCCATTAGTCCCCAGTGGCAACTTGGCTAGGTGCAAAGTCCCTGTTCACATACTTCAGAAATATCAGAGAAAACACTTTTGCATTGTTTTTACTTTAAAATAGGCCATGAGTATCTTTGCATGTTGTTGCTGTTTTTATTGTTTTCACAACTTGCCCCAAGTATTCCATGTAGCAGGCAGCTCCACTATTCTTCCAGACCTCCAACTTAACCATCACTCTAAATTGGGTGGTTTATATAGGAAAGGGAGGGGTTTAGGCTATTCTAACATTTGTCTATAACTTTTAATCTTATAAAACATATCATCATAACCCTGCCAGGTCAGAACCTGTGCCCTCACTTGTCTTCATAATATTCCATGAGGGAGGCTGTTTCCCACAGTGGTGCAGCCTTTCCATGCTGGTGAAGATTGACATGATTCAATTCTGTGGTCATCTCAGATACACCGTAGTGGACATCCTGTGTGTGTTTTAATAGACTATCAGTTTGCTGGGGCTGCCATACCACATTACCAGATTATCACATGCTGGGTGGCTTTAGAAACAAAAATGTACTCAATTATGGAGACTAAAAATCCTGTATCAAAGTGTCAGCTAGGGTGATTTGTCTGACTCAGTGGCTTCCATTTTTATATTTTCATGTTTTATATTTAAAACATTTTAAATTTGGTGAAGTATAGTTTTCCCTTTTTGATTGTCCTTTGGTGTAAAATCTAAAATATCATTGCCTAATGCAAGGTTGCAAAACTTTAATATTCCTCCTAAGAATTTTTTAGTTTCAGCACTTACATTTAAGTGTATGATCTTTTTAACTTTTGTTTGTTGGTTGATTGGCTTGTTTTTTGTTTTTTGATGTGTGATTTGAGTTAGGAGTGCAGTGTCATTATTTTGCAGGCCAATATCCAATTTTCCAGTATCATTTGTTGAAAAGACTTTTCTTTCCTCAGAAATTTCTTGGCCCCTTTGTTAAAATCACTTTACCATAAATGCAAGTTTATTAATGAAACTTCCTATTTCATTGTTCTATATGAATCTATCCCTGTGCTACCACCACAGGCTTATTTTTACTTTGTAGTGAATAAAAATTAGTTTTATTGAGTTTAAGTTATAGAATTTTGTTATTCCTTTTTTTTTTTTTTTTTTGAGTTGGAGTTTTGCTGCTCTTGCCCAGGCTGGAGTGCAATGGCGTGATCTCGGCTCACTGCAACCTCCGCCTCACAGGTTTAAGCAAGTCTCCTGCCTCAGCCTCCTGAGTAGCTGGGATTACAGGCATGGGCGGTCGTGCCAGGCTAATTTTATATTTCTAATAGAGATGGGGTTTCTTCATGTTGATCAGGCTGGTCTTGAACTCCTGACCTCAGGTGATCCACCCACCTCGGCCTCCCAAAGTGCTGGGATTACAGACGTGAGCCACCATGCCTGGATGAATTTTGTTATTCCTTTTAAGGATTGTGTTTATGTCTTTGGTTTACTTTGCATATATATGTGGATTTTGAGAAAGCTTGTCAATTTCTATAAAAACTATGGAAATATAGGAAAATTTGAGAAACTTTGTCAATTTCTATAAAAACTGTAGAAGCTATAGTTTAAATTTGAAGAGACTCCATTTAATTTGTAGGTCAATTTCTGGGGTATTGTATTCTTTACAATATTATCATTTAATATTGGAGTTTTTTCATTTATTCTGCTCTTGGATTTATTTTAGCATAAGATAATCTTCCAGTGTAAAGTCCTTGCATTTCTTTCGTTAAATTTATCCATGGGAGGAAGGGACCAAGATAGCTGACTAGAAACAGCTGCAGTTGAAGGTTCCCAGTGAAAAGAATGAAAACGGCAAGTGAATCCTGCACCAGCAACTGAGGTATCCAGGTTCTCTCAATGGGACTGACTACACAGTTGGCATGACCAACTGTGTAGGAAAAGTAGGGTGATGCGATGGCTTACCTGGGAACCACACAGGGCAAGGGGAGTGCCCAACCCCATCCAAGGGAGGCAGTGACTGATCCTTCTATCCTGCCTGGGAAACCATTGCTTTTTCCATGGATCTGTACAACCTACAGATCAAAAGATCCCCCTCATGAGCCCACACCACCAGGGCCTTGGGTTCCAAGCACAGAGCTGTACAGATTTTCAGCAGCCACTTGGCTGGAGACTACCTAAGACTACCTAATTCTCAGGAGAGGGGTGGCCATTATCACTGCAGCTGCCTGCTGCCTAAGATGACTGAGCTCCCGGGGGGAGGGGTTCCAGGCTGCCATTTTTCCCCTGCTGGTGCCAGGAAGATTGGACAGTTTGGACCCAGAAGGAATTCCCCACAGCGCAGCACAGCAGCTGTTGCAGATTGTGGCCAGACTGCCTCTTTAGGCCAGACCCTGACCCAACCCTCCTCACTGAGGGTGAGGGGCCTCCCTAAAGGAATTTTAGGAACTCCAGCCAGGGGTTTAGGGACAGAACTCTGATCCCCCTGGGACTGAACCCCTGAGGGGAGGGGCAGCCACAGTCTCTTTGGATCAGCCATATCCTCCTGCTTGCTCTGAGGAATTCGAGCAGTCCAGATGAGTGGGATTCCCCTCAGTGCAGCACACTGACTCTGCCAAGGGGCAGCCAGAATGCTTCATTAAGTGGGTCCCAGATCCCATGCCTCCTGAGTGGGTGAGACACCCCCAAACAAAAATTGCCAGACAGCTTATACAGGAGAGTTCCTTCTGGCATCAGATCAGTGCCCCTCTGGGACAGAGATCCCAGAGAAAGGAGCAGGCAGCTATCTTTGCTGTTCTGCAGCCTCCACAGGTGACACCTCCATGTGTGGGAGGAATCCAGGCAAATAGTGTCTGGAGTGGACCCCCAGCAAACCACAGCAGCCCTATAGAAGAAGGCCCTGACTGTTAAAAGAAAAACAAACAGAAAGCAACAACAACAATAGCATCAACAAAAAAGTCCCCACAAAAACCCCATCCAAAGGTCAGCACCTTCAAAGTTTGAAGACAGATAAATTCATGAAGATGAGAAGGAATCAATGAAAAAGCTCTAAAAACTCAAAAAGCCAGAGGGCCTCTTCTCCTCCAAATGATCACAACACCTCTCCAGTAAGAGGGAGAAGGCTGAGATGGATGAATTGACAGAAGTAGGCGTCAGAAGGTGGGTAATAGTGAACTTCGCTGAGATAAAGGGGCATGTTCTAACCCAGTGCAAACAAGCTAAGAACGATGATAAAACATAAGGAACTTAACCAGAGCAGCCAGTTTAGAGAGGAACATAAAAGACCTGATGGACAACATGAGAATGTCAAAATTTATCACTAGTATCACAAGTATCACTAACCAAATAGACCAGGAAGAGGGAAGAATTTCAGAACTTGAAAACTGTCTTGCTGAAATAAGATAAGGTTAGAGAAAAAAGAATGAGAAGGATGAACAAAACCTTCAAGAACTATGGGATTATGTAAAAAGAACAAACCTACGACTAATTGGGACACCTGAAAGAGACAGGGAGAATGGAACCAAGTTGCAAAATATAATTCAGGATATCATCCAGGAGAACTTCCCCAACTGAACAAGACAAGCCAACATTCAAATTCAAGAAATCCAGAGAACCTCAGTAAGATCGTTTATGAGAAGATCAATCCCAAGACACATACTCATCAGATTCTCCAAGGTCAAAATGAAGGAAAAAATGTTAAGGGCAGCCAGAGAAAAAGGCCAGGTCACCTACAAAGGGAAGGCCATTGGAATAACAGCAAACATCTCAGCAAAAACACCACAGGTCATAAGAGATTGGGGGCCAATATTCAGCATTCTTAAGGAAAAGAATTTTCAGCTGAGAATTTCATATCCAGCCAAATGAAGCTTCATAAGCAAAGGAGAAATAAAATCTTTTTTTGACAAGCAAATGCTGAGGGAATTTGTCACCACTAGGCCTGTCTTGCAAGAGCTCCTGAAGGAAGCACTAAATATGGAAAGGAAAAACTATTATTAGCCACTGCAAAAACACACAGAAGTACAAAGACCAATGGCACTAAGAAGCACCTATATCAACAAGTCTTCAAAGTAACCAGCTGACATCATTTGACAGGATCAAATACACACATAACAATATTAACCTTAAGTGTAAAGGGGCTGAATGCCCCAATTAAAAGACACACAATGGCAAGCTGGATAGAGTCAATCAAGATCCATCAGTGGGCTGTATTCAAGACACCCATCTCACCTGCAAAGACACATATAGGCTCAAAATAATGGGATAGAGGAAAATTTACCAAGCAAATGGAAAGCAGAAAAAAGCAGGGGTTGCAATCCTAGTTTCTGACAAAACAGACCTCAAACCAACAAAGATCAAAGAAGACAAAGAAGGACATTACATAATCATAAAGGAATCAATTCAGCAAGAAGAGCTAAGAATCCGAAATATATATGCACCCAATACGGGAGCACCTAGATTTATAAAACAAGCTCTTAAGAGACTTACAAAGAGATGTAAACTCCCACACAATAATAGTTGGAGACTTTAGCACCCCACTGTCAATATTAGACAGATCAAGACAGAAAATTGACAAGAATATTCAGGACTTGAACTCAGCTTTGGATCAAGTGGACCTGATAGATATCTACAGAACTTTCCACCCCAAAACAATAGCATATACATTCTTCTCAGTGCCACATGATACTTACTCTAAAATCAATTACATAATTGGAAGTAAAACACTCCTCATCAAATGCAAAATAACTGAACTCACAAGAAATAGTCTCTCAGACCACAGCACAACCAAATTAGAACTCAAGATTAGGAACCTCACACACCTATATGGAAATTGAACAACCTGCTCCCGAATGACTCCTGGGTAAATAATGAAGTTAAAGCAGAAATCAACAAGTTCTTTGAAACTAATGAGAAAAAAGAGACAAGGTACCAGAATCTCTGGGATGCAGCTAAAACAGTGTTAATAGAAAATTTTATAGCACTAAATGCCCACATCAAAAAGCTAGAAAGATCTCAAATCGACAGCTTAACATCACAACAAAAAGATCTAGAGATACAAGAGTGAACAAACCCAAAGCTAGCAGGAGACAAGAAATAACCAAGATCAGAGTGGATCTGAAGGAGATAGAGACATGAAAAACTCTAAAAAATCAATGAATCCAGGAGCTGGCTTTTCGAAAAAATAAATAAATAAATAAAATAGACAAACCACTAACTAGACTAATAAAGAAGAAAAGAGAGAAAAGTCCAATAGACACAATAAAAAATGATAAAGTAGATATTACCACTGACCCCACAGAAATACAAACAACGATCAGAGAATGCTATAAACACTTCTATGCAAATAAACTAGAAAATTTAGAAGAAATAGATAAATAAATTCCTGGACACATACAGCTTCCCAAGACTGAACCTGGTAGAAGTTGAATTTCTGAATAGACCAATAACAAGTTCTGAAATTGAGGCAGTAATAAATAGCCTACCAAACAAAAAAAGCCCAGAACCAGTTGGATTTACAGCTGAATTCTATCAGAGGTACAAAATGGAGCTCATACCATTTCTTCTGAAACTATTCCAAAAACTTGAAAAGGATGGACTTTTATCTAACTCATTTTATGAGGCTAGCATCATCTGGATACCAAAACCTGGCAGAGATACAATGAAAAAACAAAAAAGAAAGAAACTTCAGGCCAGTATCCCTGATGAATATTGATGCAAAGATCCTTAATAAAATATGGCAAACTGAATTCAGCCACACATCAAAAAGCTTATTCACCATGATCAAGTCAGCTTCATCCCTAGGACGCAAGGCTGGTTCAACATATGCAAATCAGTAAATGTAATTCATCACATAAACAGAACTAAAGACAAAAACCACATGATTACCTCAATAGATGCAGAAAAGGCCTTCGATAACATTCAACATCTTTTCAAAGATGTTAAATCTTTGAAAAGATTTAACTCTTTTAAAGAGTTAAATCTCTCAGTAAAGTAGGTATTGATGAAGCATACCTCAAAATAATAAGAGCCATTTATGACAAACACACAGCTAAGATCATACTGAATGGGCAAAAGCTGGAAGCATTCCCCTTGAAAACCAGCACAAGACAAGGTTGCCCTCTCTCACAACTCCTATTCAACATAGTATTGGAAGTTCTGGCCAGGGCAATCAGGCAAGATAAGGAAATAAAGCGTATTTGAATAAAAAGAGAGGAAGTCAAGCCATCTCTGTTTGCTGATGACATGATCCTATATCTAGAAAACCCCATCATCTCAGCCCAAAAGCTTCTTAAGCTGATAAGCAACTTCAGCAAAGTCTCAGGATACAAAATGAATGTGCAAAAATTACAAGCATTCCTATACACCAACAATAGACAAGTAGAGAGCCAAATCATGAATTAACTCCTGTTCACAATTGCTACAAAGAGAATAAAATACTTAGGAATACAGCTAACAAGGGAAGTGAATGACCTCTTCAAGGAGAACTACAAACCACTGCTCAAAGAAATCAGAGAGGACACAAGGAAATGGAAAAACTTTCCATGCTCATGGATAGAAAGAATCAGTATAGTGAAAAAGGCCATTCTGCCTGAAGTAATTTATAGATTCAACGCTATTCCCATTAAACTACCATTGACATTCTTCACAGAATTAGAAAAAAAACTGCTTTAAAATTCACATGAAACCTTGGCCAGGCGGGGTGGCTCATGCCTGTAATCTCAGCACTTTGGGAGGCCGAGGTGAGCAGATCAGGAGGTCAGGAGTTCAAGACCAGTCTGGCCAGCATCATAGTGAAACCTTGTCTCTACTAAAAATACACAAAAAATTAGCCAGGTGTGGTGGTGTGTGCCT
Organism: Homo sapiens; assembly: GCF_000001405.40. Taxonomy (NCBI): domain Eukaryota; kingdom Metazoa; phylum Chordata; class Mammalia; order Primates; family Hominidae; genus Homo; species Homo sapiens. Next base: position 31,776,496 of record NC_000016.10, read on the forward strand.
ATAATCCCAGCTACTCAGGAGGCTGAGGCAGGAGAATCACGTGAACCCAGGAGGCGTAGGTTGCAGTGAGCCAAGATCGTGCCACTGTACTCCAGCCTGGACGACAGAACGAGACTCCATCTCAATAAAATAAAATAAAATTCACATGGAACCAAAAAAGAGCCTGTATAGCCAAGATGATCCTAAGCAAAAAGAACAAAGCTGGAGTCATGTTACCAGATTTAAAACTATACAACAAGGTTACAGAAACCAAAACAGCATGATACTGATACAAAAACAGATGTATAGACCAGTGGAACAGAATAGAGACGTTAGAAATTGACCCCACATCTACGACCATCTGTTCTTTGACAAACCTGACAAAAATAAGCAATGGGAATAGGATTACCTATTTAATAAATAGTGCTGGGAAAACTGGCTAGCCACATGCAGAAAATTGAAACTGGACCTCTTCCTTACACCTTTATACAAAAATTAACTCAAGATGGATTAAAGACTTAAATATAAACCCAAAAGTATAAAAACCCTAGAAGAAAATCTAGGCAATATCATTCAGGACATAGGCACGGCAAAGATTTTTTGATGAAAATATCAAAAGAAATTGCAACAAAAGCAAAACTTGACAAATGGGGTCTCATTACACTAAAGAGTTTATGCACAGAAAAAGAAACTATCATCAGATTGAACAGACAATCTACAGAATGGGAGAAAATTTTTGCAATCTATCCATCTGAGAAGGTCTAGTAGCCAGGATCTACAAGGAAGTTAAACAAATTTAGAAGAAAAGAGCAATCCCATTAAGAAGTAGGCAAAAGACATGAACAGATACTTCTCAAAAGATGACTTTTCAGCCAACAAACATTTTAGAAAGCTCAGCATCACTGATCATTAGAGAAATGCAAATCAAAACCACAATGAGATACCATGTCATGCCAGTCAGAATGGCGATTATTAAAAAGTCAAGGAACAACAGATGCTGGCAAGGCTGTCAAAAATAGGAATGCTTTTACACTGTTGGTGGGAATGTAAATTAGTTCAACCATTATGGAAAACAGTGTAGCAATTCCTCAAAGACCTAGAACCAGAAATACCATTTCACCCAGCAATCCCATTAGTGGGTATATACCCAAAGGAATATAAATCATTCTATTATAAAGATACATCCATGTATATGTTCATTGCAGCACTATTCGCAATAGCAAAAACATGGAATCAACCCAAATGCCCATCAATGATAGACTGGATAAAGAAAATGTGGTACATATACACCATGTAATACTATAAAAAGGAATGAGATTATATCGTTGGCAGGTACGTGGATGGAGCTGGAAGCCATTATGCATGTCTAGCAAACTAAAACAGGAACAGAAAACCAGACACCACTTGTTCTCACTTATAAGCGGGAGCTGAACAGTGAGAACACATGCACACAGGGAGGGGAACAACACACACTGGGGCCTGTCGAGGGGGGTGGGAGGAGGGAGAACATCAGGATAAATAGCTAATGCAGGTGGGGCTTAATATCTAGGTGATGGGTTGAGAGGTGCAGCAAACCACTATGGCACCCATTTACCTGTGCAACAAACCTGCACATCCTGCACGTGTATCCTGGAACTTAAATTTAAATAAATAAATTATCCATGAATATTTCTTTCTTTTTGATCTATTGTAAATAGAATTGTTTCCTTAATTCCATTTTCAGATTGTTGTTTGCTAGTATATAAAAATACAATTCAATTTACATGTTGATCTTGTATCTTGTGACATGGATGAATTTCTTAGTTCTAGTGAGTTTTTAGTAAATTCCTGACAAATTTTTATGTGGAAGATTATGTTGTGTGCAATGAAACACGGTTCTACTTTTTTTATTCAATCTGGACAATTTTTACTTTCCAGTATAATTTCCCGAGGTGGAGTACAATGTTGGATAGAGTGCTAAAAGTGGAAATTATGGTCCTGTTCCCAAAGTTATCAGTCAAGTACTCAGTCTTTCACCATCAAGTATAATGCTAGTTGTAGGTTTTTATAGATGGCTTTTAGCAGGACTCACTTTTTTGTCTATTAGTAGCATTCTGTTTTTTTTTTTTTTATCACAATGTATGTTAGATTTTTGTCAAATGTTTTTCTGTGTCTATCGAAATGTTCTTTTTGTCATGTATTCAAGTAATATTGTGTATTATCTTAATTGACTTTTAGATATTAAGCTAACATTGCATTTATGAAAATAAAATCTCACTTGGCTATGGTATATAATCATGTTTATTATGTTCCTGGAATAAATTTCCTAGTATTTAATAAGGATTTCTGTGTCTGTAGTCATTACGGATTTTTCTTTCTAGTCTTCTTGCAATGCTTTTTTCCAGCTTTGGTATCATGGCACTCCTGGCCTCATAGAGTAAATTGGGAAGTGTTGCTTCTATTTTTGGAAGTTACTTTGAAGAATTAGCATGAATATTTTATTAGATGTTGATAAGATTTATCATTTAAAGCTTTTGATTCAGAGATTTTCAATGTGGAAAGACTTTTAATTAATATTTTGTCTTCTGACATGACTTTATATACAGTCATGTGTTATTTATCAATGGGGATATGTTCATAGATATGTGTTGTTAGGCATTTCATCATTTTGCAAACAGCATAGAGTGTACTTACACAAACCTAGATGGTAGACCCTATTGCACACCTAGGCTATATGGTATAGCTTGTTGCTCCTATGCTACAAGTCTGTGAAGCATGTTACTCTACTGAATGCTATAGGCAGTTGAAACACAATGGTAAATATTTATGTATCTGAAGATACCTAAACATAGAGGAGGTACAGCAAAAAATACAATATAAAAGATAAAAAATGGTACATCTGTATAGGGCACTTACGATGAATGGAGCTTATGGGGCTGGAAGTTGTATAGTAAATACATAAATTAATAACATAGTCATTTATTATCATTATCAAGTATTATATACTGTACATAATTGTATGTGATATACATATATATGACTGACAGCACAGGGTTGTCTACCCCAACTGATATGGTTTGGCTCTATGTCTCCACCCAAATCTCATCTTGTAGCTCCCATAATTCCTACATGTTGTGGGAGGGATGCAGTGGAGGATAACTGAATCATGGGGGTAGGTCTTCCCCGTACTGTTCTTGTAATAGTGAATAAGTCTCATGAGATCTGATGATTTTAAAAATGGGAGTTTCCCTGCACATGCTCTCTCTGTTTGCCAGCCACCATCCACATAAGATCTGACTTGCTCCCCCTTGCCTTCTGCCATGATTGTGAGGCCTCCTCAGCCATGTGGAACTGTAAGTCCATTACACCTCATTCTCTTGTAAATTGCCAAGTCTTGAGTATGTATTTATCAGCAGTGTGAAAATGGACTAATACAGTAAATTGGTACCAGGAGTGGGGCACTGCTGAAAAGACACCCAAAAATATAAAAGCGACTTTGGAACTGGGTAACAGGCAGAGGTTGGAACAATTTGGAGGGCTCAGAAGAAGACAGGAAAATGTGGGAAAGTTTGGAACTTCCTAGAGACTTATTGAATGGCTTTGCCCAAAATGCTGGTAGTGATATGGGCGATAAAGTCCAGGCTGAGGTGGTCTCACATGGAAATAAGGAACTTTTTGGAAACTGAAGCAAAGGTGACTCTTGTTATGTTTTACCAAAGGGACTGGTGACATTTTGCTCCTGCTGTAGAGATCTCTGGAACTTTAAATTTGAGAGAGATGAGTTAGGGTATCTGGTGGAAGACATTCCTAAGCAGCGAAGCATTCAAGATCTGACTTGGGTGCTTTTAAAGGCATTCAGTTTTATGAGGAAGGGGGACCATAAAAGCTTGGAAAATTGCAGCCTGAAAATGCAATAGAAAAGAAAATCCCATTTTCTGAGAAGAAATTCAAGCCAGCTGCAGAAATTTTCATAAGTAACAAGGAGGTGTATGTTAATCCCCAAGACAATGGAGAAAATATCTCCAGAGCATTTCAGAGGTATTCACGGCAGCTCCTCCCATCACAGGCCTGGAGGCCCAGGAAGAAAAAATGGTTTTGTAAGCTGGGCCCAAGGCTCCCCTACTGTGGGGAATCTAGGGAGTTGGTGCCCTGAGTCCCAGCCACTTGAATGACTAAAAGGGGCCAAGGTATAGCTCAGACCATGGCTTCAGAGGTTGCAAGCCCCAATCCATGGCAGCTTCCACCTGGTGTTGAGCTGCAGGTGCACAGAAGTCAAGAATTGAGGTTTGAGAACCTCTGCCTAGATTTCAGAGGATGTATAGAAATGCCTGGATGTCCAGGCAGAAGTTTGCTGCAGGGATGTGGCCCTCATGGAGAACCTCTGCTACGGCAGTGCTGAAGGGGTCAGAGCCCCCACACTGAGTCCCTACTAGGGCCCACCTAGTGGAGCTATGAGAAGAGGGCCACTGCCCTCCAGACCCCTGAATGGTAGAACCACTAACAGCTTGCACTCTTCACCTAGAAAAGCTGCAGACACTCAACACTAGCCTGTGAAAGCAGCTGGGAGGAAGGCTGTACCCTGCAAAGCCACAGGGGCAGAGCTGCCCAAGACCATGGAAACTCACTTCTTGCATCAGTATGACCTGAATGTGAGACATGGAGTCAAAAGAGATCATTTTCAAGCTTTAAAATTTGACTGCCCTGCTAGATTTTGAACTTGCATGGGACTGGCAGCCCCTTTGTTTTTGTCAATTTCTCACATTTTGAATGACTGTATTTACTTGCCATTACTCCCATTGTATCTAGGAAATAACTAATTGGCTTTTGATTTTACAGGCTCATGGGCAGAAGGCGCTTGACTTGTCTAGGATGAGACTTCGGACTTTTTAGTTAATGCTGAAATGAGTTAAGACTTTGGGGGACTGTTGGGAAAGCATGATTGGATTTGAAATGTGAAGACATGAGATTTGGGAGGGGCCAGGGGTGGAATGATATGGTTTGGCTCTGTGTTCCTACCCAAATCTCATCTTGTAGCTCCCATAATTCCCAGGAGTTGTGGGAGGGACCCAATGGGAGATTACTGAATCATGGGGACAGGTCTTTCCCCTGCTGTTTTTGTGATAGTGAATGGTCTCATAAGATCTGATGGTTTGAAAAATGGGAGTTTTCCTGCACAAGTTCTCTCTGTGTGTCTGCTGTCATCCACATAAGATGTGACTTGCTCCTCTTTGCCTTCCACCATGATTGTGAGGCCTCCCCAGCCATGTGGAACTGTAAGTCCATTAAATTTCTTTCTTTTGTGAATTTCCCAGTCTCTGGCATGTCTTTATCAGCAGCATGAAAATGGACTAATACACCAACATTACCAGAAATGTGTGAGTAATGCATTGTGCTACAATGTTAAAATGGCTATATTACTAGTTGATAGGCATTTTTCAGCTCTATTATATTCTTATGGGACCATTGTCATATATGTGGTACATTGTTTACTAAAACATTGTTATGCAGCACATGACTGTATTCTAGTTTTCATTTATATGACTTTATATCATCTACTTTTTAAGTTTACTTTCAAAATGTGTGCCTATCATAATTTTTATTTCTAATTTGTTTTATTCCATGCCAATGGATTTTCTGAGAATAATAATAAAGAATGAAACTTTATGCCCATCAGTGAATGACCCAAAGCTTTCTCTGTTGTAGGATGGAGATTATTACTACAATTATCGTACCTAAATAGTCATATTTACTGTCTGTGACAAATACGTAACTGAATATATAAGCTGTTTGTGAAATTTGACTTTGGATTTGTTGAAGAGGGTTCTCATAGAGACTACCTCATATTTTTTCACCTATATTAAGATAGAACAGAAACATAATTTTTAATAAGAACAAAAAAAATTATTGTAATTGAGGAATGGCATGAAAAAAGATTACTTGATGACTCAAAGTGATTAGCACTTACTTACCACATACAGTGTTTTAGACACTGTACTAAGCTGTGGCACATTTATAGGCATAACACCCAAAGTTTAAAAATAAATAATTGAAAGATTCATTGGAAATGACAAATTGGCATATTTTTAGTCATACCAGGTGACAGTAAGGCAATCATAAAAGTTGACTTTTGGTGTACAATTAATAAATGAATATAAAGAATGTTACATAATTTTGTTAGAAATTTGACTAAGTTGTCATAGAAATAAACCAGCAGCATTTCAACCAGTAAACAGAGGATGTGCATTTTTAAAAGGAAAATCTGACAAAGGTATGCTTTAGGCCGGAAAATTGTTATTGAATTAACGATAGGAATGTAATGTCATATTTTCTGAACACTCTAAGTTACAATAGAAAGTATCTATTAAAATGTATTAGTCAATTCTCATGCTTCTATGAAGAAATTCCCAAGACTGGTTAATTTATAAAGGAAGGAGCTTTAATTGATTCAGTTCCACAAGGCTGGGGAGGCCTCATGATACTTAAAATCATAGTGGAAGAAAAAACAAACACGTCCTTCTACACATGATGGCAGGATAGAGAAGTGTGGAATGAAGGGGGGAAAGCTCCTTACAAAACCATCAGATCTTGTGAGAACTCACTCTCTATCATGAGAAGAGCATGGAGGTAACCGACCCCATGATTCAATTACCTCCCACTGGGTCACTCCCACAACACATGGGGATTATGGGAACTACAATCAAGATGAGATTTGGGTGGGGACACAGCCAAACCATATCATTATGCCCTTGGCCCCTCCCAAATCTCATGTCCTCACATTTCAAAACACAATCATGCCTTCCCAGCAGTCCCCCAAAGTTTTAACTCATTCCAGCATTAATGCAAAAGTCCAAGTCCAAAGTCTCATCTGGGACAAGGCAAGTCCCTTTCACCCATGAGCCTGTAAATTCAAAAACAAGTTAGTTACTTCCTAGATACAGCGGGGGTACGGGCATTGGGTAAATACACCCATTTCAAGTGAATGAAATTGGCCAAAATGAAGAGGCTACAGGCCCCATGCAAGTCTGAAATCCAGCAGGGCAGTGAAATCTTAAAGCTCCAAAATGATCTCCTTTTACTCCGTGTCTCTCATCCAGGTCACACTAATGCAAGAGACGAGTTCCCATGGCTTTGGGCAGCTCCACCCCTTTGGCTTTGCAGGGTATAGCCCCCCCTCCTGGCTGCTTTCACAAGCCGTCATTGAGTGCCTGTGGCTTTTCCAGGTGTAGGGTGCAAGCTGTCCATGGATCTACCATTTCTGGGATCTTGAGGATGGTGGCACTATTCTCACAGCTCCACTAGGCAATGCCCCAGTGGGCACTCTGTTTGAAGGCTCCGATTCCACATTTTCCTCCCGTATTGCCCTAGCAGAGGTTTAGTTTTTTGTGTTTTTTTGGTTTTTTTTTGAGATGGAGTCTCACTCTGTCACCAAGGCTGGAGTGCAATGGTGTGATCTCGGCTTACCGCAACCTCCGCCTCCCGGGTTCAAGCGATTCTCTTGTCTCAGCCTGGGACTACAGGCACATGCCACCATGCCTGGCTAATTTTTGTATTTTTAGTAGAGATGGGGTTTCATCATATTGGTCAGGCTGGTCTCGAACTTCTGACCTCAGGTGATCCACCCACCATGGCCTCCCAAAGTGCTGGGATTACAGGCATGAGCCACCGGGCCCAGCCACAAGTGCCAGTTTCTTACATGCATACATTGCATAGTGGTGATGTCTGGGCTTTTAGCATACTCATCACCTGAATAGTGAAATTTCTGCTGAATCGTTTTTCACCCCTCACCCTCCTTCCACCCTCCAACCTTTCGTGGACTCCAGGGACTGTTATTTCACTCTATAAGTCAATAAGTGCCCATTGTTTAGCTCCTACTTATGAGATCAAACAGTATTGAATGTTCTCTTCTTGAGTTATTTCACTAAGGAAAATGGCTTCCAGTTTCATCCATGTTGCTGTGAAATACATGATTTCTATTTTTTATTGCTGAGTATTTTGTGGTACATGTGTACCACATTTTAATTTTTTTATTTTTAATTTTTTGGGTAACATAGTAGGTTTATATGTCTGTGAGGTATACGAAATATTTTGATACCGACATACAATGTGTAATAATCACATCAGGGTAAATGGGGATTCATCACCTCAAGCATTTCTTCCTTGTGTTATAAACAATTCAATTATACTCTTGTAGTTATTTTTAAATGTACAATTACATTAATTTTGACTACAATCACCCTCTTGTGCTAGTAAATACTATATCTTAATTCTATTTTTTTGTATGCATCAATTATTCCCACTCTCCCACCCACTGGTAACCATCAGTGGATTATGGGCTAGGGGTGCATATCATTCTCAGCCTCTGGTAAACACCATTCTACTCTGTCTCCATGAGTTCAATTGCTTTAATTTTTAGCTGCCACAAGTAAGTGAGAACCTGCAAAGTTTGTCTTTCGGCACGTGGCTTATTTTGCCTAATATGATGACTTCCAGTTCCATACATGTTGTTGCAAATGACAGAATCTTATTCTTTTTTACAGCTGAATAGCCCATTGTGTACATGTCCCACATTATTTATACATTCATCTGTTGATGAACACTTAGGTTGCTTTCATATCTTGACTATTGTGAATAGCACTGTAAATAAACATAAGAATGCAGATTTTGTTTTAATATAGTGATTTATCTCTCTTTGGGTATATACCTAATAGTGGGATTGCTGCAGCTAATGGTAGTTCTATTTTTAGTTCTTTAAGAACTCTCCATACTGTTTTCCATAAAGGTACTAATTTACATTCCCACCAACAGGGTATAAGCGTTCCCTTATCCCTGTAGCCTCACCAACATCTGTTGCTTTTAGACGTTTTGATAATAGCCATTCTGACTCATGTAAGTTGGTATCTCATTGTGGTTTTCATTTGTATTTCTCTGATGATTAATGATGTTTAGGATCTTTTCATATGTTTATTGGCCACTGGCATATGTTGTTTTGGAAAATGTCTCTCTGTTATGTTCTTTGCCCACTTTGTAATGGGGTCACTTGTTTTCCTCTTATTGAGTTGTTTTGAGTTCCTTGTAAATTCTGGATGTCAGCCCTTTGTCATATGCATAGTTTGCAAATATTTTCTTCTGTTCTGTAGGTTGTCTGTTTACTCTGTTATTTCTTTTGCTGTACAGAAGCTTTTTAGTTTAATTGAGTCTACTTCTGTTTTTCTTGTGTTTGCTTTTGAGGACTTTGTCATAAATTCTTTGCCTAGGCCAATGTCTAGAAAAGTTTTTCCTAAGTTTTCTTTCTTCCAGAATTTTTATAGTTTCAGGTCTTATGTTTAGATCTTTAATCCATCTTGAGTTAATTTTTCTATATGGTCAGAGGTCTAGGTCCAGTTTTATTCTTCTGCATATGGCTATCCAATTTTCCCAGCACCATTGTTGAATAGGGAGAGTGTCATTTCCCCAGTGGACATGTTTGCCGACTTTGTCAAAAATTGGTTGTTTGGATGGTTGATTGGATGAGACTTTGTTTCATGGCTCTTTCTTCTGTTCCATTGACCTATGTCTATTTTTATACCAGTACTACATTGTTTTGATTATTATAGCCTCATAGCATAATTTGAAGTTGGATAATGTGAAGCCTCTGGCATGGTTCTTTTTGCTTAGAACTTCTTTGGCTATTTTGGTTCCATATCAGGATCTTTTTTTGGTTCCATATGAATTTTAGGACTTCTTTTCTAATTCTGAAAAAAAGGACATTGGTAACTGGATAGGTATTGCACTAGATCTGTAGGTTGTTTTGGCCAGTATGGCCATTGTGAAAATATTGATTCTTCCAATTCATGAGCATATGCTATTTTTTCTTTGTTTATGGAATCTATGCTTTTTTTCACTAGTGTTTTGTAGTTCTCCTTATAGAGATCTCTTACCTCCTCAGTTAAATATACTTCTGCATATTTTATTTTTTGAAGCAATTGTAAATGGGATTGCCTTCTTGTTTTGTTCCTCAGCTAGATCACTATTGGTGTATAGAATCAGTATTGATTTCTGTACATTAATTTCATATCCTGAAATTTTACTGAATTTATTGATCAAATCTGAGAGTTTTGTGGTGGAGTCTTTAGGGTTTCCTTAATATAAGATCATATCATTAGTGAATAAGAATAATTTTACTTCCTCTTTTTCAATTTACATGCCTTTTATTTCTTTCTCTTGCCTGATTGTGCTGGCAAGGATTTCCAGTACTGTGTTGAATAACAGTGGTGACAGTGGGCATCTTTGTCATGTTCCAGTTCTTACAGGAAATGCTTTCAGCTTTTCCCCAGTAAGTATGATGTTGACCTTGTGTTTGTTGTATATGGGCTTTACTATGTTGAGGTGTGTTGCTTTTATAGCTGGTTTGTTGTGGGTTTTTTAATGAAACGATGCTGAATTTTATCAAAGGCTTTTTCTGCATCTGTTGGGATAATCATATCATTTTTGTCCTTAATTCTGTTTATGTGATGTATCCCGTTTATTGATTTGTGTATATCAAACTATCCTTGCATCTCTGGTGTGAGTCCCACCTGATCATAATGCATTATCTTTTTTATGCTCTATTGGATTTAATTTTCTAGTTTTTTGTTGAGGGTTTTTACATCTGTTGAAGTATACTGGTCTGTAGTTTGTGTGTCCATGTCTGATTTTGGTATCAGGGTGACACTGGCCTTGTAGAATGAGTTGGGGAGAATTCCCTTCTCCTTGATTTTTTGGAATAGTTTCAGGAGGATTGGTATTAATTTTTCTTTGTGTGTTTGGTAGAATTCTGCTGTGAAGCCGTCTAGTTGTGAGCTTTTTGTTGTTGTTATTGGAAGTTTGGTTGGGAGGTTGTTTTGTTTTTTTGGTTTTGGGGCTTTTTGTTTGTTTGTTTTTACTAATTAAGTCTTGCTACTCATTATTTGTTGTTCAGGCGTTGTACTTCTTTCTAGTTCAATCTTGATAGGTTGAGCATTTCCAGGAATTTATCAATTTCCTCTCGGTTTGTGCATGTACAGTTTTTCATGATAGTCTCTGAGGATCTCTTGCATTTCTGTGGTATCAGTTGTAATGCCTCCTTTTTTCACTTCTTATTATGTTTATTTGGGTCTTTTCTGGTTAGTCTAGCTAGTGGTTTATCAATTTTCTTTTTAAGAACCAACTTTTTGTTTCATTGGTCCTTTGTATTTTTTGGTCTCTATTTCCTTTAGTTCTGCCCTGATCTTTGTTATTTCTTTTCTTCTGCTAACTTTAGGTTTGGTTTATTCTTTTTCTATTAATAGTCACTGAGGTTGTAATGGTAGGATGTTAATTTGTGATCTTTCTCCCTTTTTGATGTAGATGTTTAATGCTATAAACTTCTCTCTTAGCACTGTTTTTGCTATATCTCACAGGTTTTGGTGTGTTATGTTTTTCTTTTCATTCATTTCAGAAAAAATAATTTCTGACTTAATTTTTGTTATCAACCCAGTGATTAGTCAGGAGCATGCTCTTTAGTTTTCATATATTTATGTAGCTTCCAAAGTTCCTCTTGACATTGATTTCTAGCTTTATTCCACTATGATCTGAAATAATTGGATTGTTTCAAAATGATATAATTTTGATTGTTTTAAATCTTTTAGGACTTGTTTTGTGGCCTAACATGTTGTCTATCTTGGAAAATGTTCCATGTGCTGATGAAAAGGATGTATATTTTATGGTTGTTGGATAGAATGTTCTGTAAGTCTGTGAATTTCCTTTGGTCTAAAGTCCAGTATAAGTTCAATGTTTCTGTTAATTTTCTGTCTTGGTGATCTGTCTAGTGCTCTGAGTAAGGTGTTAAAATCCCTAATATTATTGTATTGCTGTCAAATTCTTTCTTTAGGTCTAGTAGTATTTGTTTTGGGTGCTCCAAAGTTGGGTGCATATATATTTAGAATTGTTATATTCTCTTGCTGACAACTGTTAATCTTCTGGCTCTCAAATGGTCCCTTTATCATTATATAATGACCTTCTTTGTCTTTTACTACCTTTTTTGATTTAAAGTCTATTTTATCTGATATAAATATATCTATGTCTGCTTGTTTTTGGTTTTTGTTTGCATGGAATATCTTTTTCCATCTCTTTGCAATCAATGTATGTGTCTTTACAGGTGAGTTTCTTATAGGCAGCATATAGTTGGATAATGTTTTTAATCAATTCTGCCCAATCTGCATTTTTTAAGTGGGGGATTTAGTCCATTTACATTCAAGGTTAATATTGATACATGAGTCTTTATTCCTGTCATATTATTGATTGTTTTCAAGCTGTTTTATAAATTCTTTGTTTCTTTATTTTTCTTTTTCTGTCATTGTGGTTTGATGAAATTCTGTTGCATTGACATTTGATTCCTTTCTCTTCCTGCTTTGTGTGATTGCTTTGTATAAACACACGAAGTGAGTTTTATATTTACCTGTGTTTTTGTGATGGTGAATATTGAGATTTCATTTCCATGTTTAAGACCACTTTGAGCATTTCCTGTTGTGCTGATTTAGTGTTGACAAATTCACTCAGCATTTGCTTGTCTGGGAAGAACTTTCCTCTTCATTTATGAAGCTTATTCTGGCAGGATACAAAATTTTTGGCTGACAAATAACATTTTAAGCATATAGAAAATATATCAAGTAATGTAATAAACCTGTCACCCAGCCTCCACAGGTACTAATCATGTGCCATTTTTGTTTCATCTATATTTCAACCCACTCCTCACGCCCCCAACTGTATTATTATTTGGGGGTTTTTTTGTGAAACAATGTATATACATTAAAAAGTAGAATCTTAACTGTATCCTTTTGAGAAAACAATGTACCCACATAAACTTCCTCCTTCTAAGAATAAAATTCCCAGCCGGGTATGATGGCTTACGCCTGTAACCCCAGCACTTTGAGAGGCCGAGGCAGGCGGATCACCTGAGGTCAGGAATTCGAGACTAGCCTGGCCAACATGATGAAACCCTGTTGCCACTAAAAATACAAAAGTTAGCCTGGTGTGGTGGTGCCTGCCTGTAGCTCACCTACCTGGGAGGCTGAGGCAGGAGAATCGCTGGAACCCAGGAGGTGGGGGCTGCAGTGAGCTGAGATCATGCCACTGCACTCCAGCCTGGGTGACAGAGTGAGACTCTGTCTCAAAAACAGAAAAAAAAAAAGAATAAAATTCCCCACTTCACAACCATTAATGTGCATATGAATCACATGGGAATATGATGTGTCAGAGGTTGAAGAGGTGGCCAGGAAAAGCATTTTGATGGCAGGCTGGAGAACATCGTGAGAGGAAACTTCGGGCCTGTTGACTGTCATCTTGGCAATAAGTGTTGGATCCTAGCCAAAGTGCTTGGATGCAACATGGAGCCAATCAATAAATCCATCCCCCATGCTTTTCCTGGCCATGAGGTAATTGGCAGCCTAGTTCATGTCTTGATGGGAAGCTCTGCCATGTGGAAGGATCACATCTCAGGTTTCTTGACAACTGGATGACTTTTGAGAACAGATCTAGGACAGATCTATTCTTGGATTGTGGACAGGCATCAGCCTACTAACATCATATGGAACAGGTGACATCCAAATATGTTAAGAACCTCTGACAATGAAGAGTAAAACACAAACTCAATTTTAAAAGGCACGGGACCTATGAAAACATTTTATGGTAAAAGAAATACAAATGGTCATTTCCCATATAAAGAGGCATCCAACCTCAGTGGTGGTCACAGGAAAATAAATTACAAAAAAAGAAGTTTTGTGTGACCATCAGTTAGGAAAATAGAATGCTAGCCAGGCATAGTGTCTCATGCCTGTAATCTCAGCACTTTGGGATGCTGAGGCATGAGGATCTCTTAAGCTCAGGAGTTTGAGGCTACAATGAGCTATGATCATGCCCTCTAGCATGGTTAACAGAGAGTGAGACCCATTTCTAACTAAATAAATAAATGAGTGAATGAACATACGTACATACATATATACACACTGTTTTTTACAAGTGTATAGGGACTGTAAATGGCCTTTTAAGGCACAATTAACAAATATATATTGAGTTGAAAGAAACATGTTCTTGCACGCAGGATTCTACCTCCTGGAATGCATCTGATGACACTACTTGAAAATGTGCATAGAAATGCCCATGCTAGCATGTTGGTGGTGGACATATAAATAATAGAAAAACAAAACAAAACAAAAAGAAAGGTACATATATGTGAGGAATCTTTTTGATTACCCTGGGTTTTTAAGATAATGTTCATAGAAGCAAAGCAAGTCAAATGAAGAACAACTGAGCAGGAAATGAGGGGGGAAAATACCCTCAGAGTAATAAGATTATCTCATTACACTTAAGTTTTGCTGATGCTTCAGGTTTCCTGGCTAAGTTATGCAGAAGCATCTCTCTCTGAAAACCTTCTTGCTGCAGAACAAACCATGTTTAGTGTCTGTATGTGTCTCAACTTCCCGTCTGCACCTGGGGGATGGGAAAAAGGGCATGGTCCTTGCTTGTGTTTTGGAGTGAAAGAAACATTAAAGGTCTTGTAAACTTTACCAAGGATTCAACTTCCAACTTCCAACTACAGGCAGCCACTGTGTTTTTTTTTTTTAATGTATAATCAAGATGTACTTTGATTTGGACTCTATTGCTATTTGACCTGTATATGCAGTTTCAAGATAGCCCCATACACCTGCCTGCAATGATCCTTCAGGAATAGAATGGGTTTCTGAGTTGAGGAACTTGGGAGTATACTGAGCCCTTTGTGTATTTTTATTAAGTTTCTCTATTTATGCCAGGAGAAGGCTGTGGACGAAAAGTAAAGGAGGGTATACTGGAATCCTGATGTCCAAAGATTCCAGTGTTCAAGGATTATTTGAACCCTTCAGATATCTCATTTTTGCTTTGTTCCTTCTGTCAGTCTTAGTAAAGGGTCCTGGAGTCAGAAGTTGCTGGGGCTTTCTTGGTTTCAGTGTCTACTTTTTATTTAAGCCCATGGGTTTGGGAACAGGGTCCCACCACAGCACTTCACTGGGCACCTCCTGATCCTGGCCATGTGTCCTAAAGTCTGGCAGTTCTTGCATGTTCTCTGTGGGTTGAGGAGCAGGGAGGTCAATGAGTTAGCAGCAATCACAGGTGGCTTTCAGAGGTTCTTGTGAGGATATATTTTTGGATTTGGGTATTGGTTTTTCAGGACAGAAACAGACAAGTGGCCCATTAGGTGTCTGGAAATTCATAATGCAAAGTCATATCCACAACTTATTGTAAACAGAAACACAGAGAGAAAGAACCAGAGCATGCAAAGTTGATGATGATAATCCAGCTGAATGGGTCAGCTTAGATCATGGATGCTGAGCAGACTCTACAGATCATAGTGGGGCTCCCAGGGTGACTGAAGGGGAATGAGGTAGAGGGAGAGTTTCCCTCTTCAGCTGGACTTTTTGCTGCCTCAAAAATTCAGTTGATTGGGTTAGCTTTACATATGATCTAATCAGTCCAATGCAGTCACATTTGATCTAATCATCTCCCCCACTTTCAAGCTAGGAAAGGATATTTTATTTGGTGTTTATTTTTTCTCTGCATTATTATCTTATCACATATGCCTACATCTAATATAATGAACTATAATTTGATATTTGTCATTTCCAAGCATTTGAGAAATTATAACATCTGTGTGTACAATTTTAACACTACATATAATTTTCTTCATGTGCAAAATATATATACACATGTCAATATGTGGTCTGTCTAATTCTGCATCTTGAAATCTGGGCAGGGTCTTAAATACTTCTAGGTGGGTATTGGAGCACAAATCAGATAAGCATAAGTTCCTTGCATTCCTGTTCCTGTGCCCCCAGCTTTGAATTCCTGCTTATTAACACGATGATGGGGCTCTGCAAGTCTCCCCTTATCTGTATCTAGGTCCCCAGGGCATTCACTGATGGAAAAATTTCTTACTGAGGTCATGATGAGTGGCAGGAGGGAGCAGTCTCTTCAGCCAATAGGACTGACCCATGTCCAGCTTAAGGGCTTAGAAAAGCAGGTTCACAAGAACAACCTGCACCTGATTCTGGGCATGTGAGAGAGAGCAAGCACCTTTCACTGGAGCTTCACCATAGGATGGGGAACTGAAGACCAGACTCCCACTGCCCCTCCATCCAATGCCCCATTGACCCACCTTTTTTCCAACAGGTCTCCTTTACAGAAAGGGGCTTGGATAAGGAGGAAAGACCATCAGAAGAAAAGATAAGACACTCTCTTCTCATTCCAGTAAGAGCCACATGCAAGGCAAGGTAAGGCCTTTGGCTATTCCTATGGAGGTTGGCAAGAGGGGTAGAATTAGGGATACTGATCTGTGTCTTTGGTGGGGTTTCATTTTGAGATTAGAAATGGAAAATGACTTATAGTCATCAGAGAGATTTCAGAAATATGGCGATCATCCCCTGGAATTCTATGCTTCCCATTCACACTCGACACTGGTGAACAGCCTTGATTGAGAGAATGACCCACAAATATGGGTCAAGTATAGACTTTGCAGCTCTGTGCCTAGGAAGAGATGAGTCACCTAAACTTTCTTTTGCACTGAGATCAGAGCCCAATTCAAATGAGGAAGAGAATTCCAAGGAAACTAAACTCAAAGTCAGAAGCAGCACTGCTAAATTATGTAAGATGTGATTCTTCCAAGGTGAGAAGAGATAGTGGATGGGTAAACACAGTCTCCTCTGGGAAGGGAACTGGGAGCTCTTTGGCATCCAGGTTCTTATAAATCTTGGACTCTGGAGAACAGAGAAGAACCGAGTTTTGGTGGCTACCTCAGCTCTGGTGTGTCCAGGATGGACTAGAGTGCCTAAGGTGTTCAGTTGGAGGCAGTCACTCAAACTCCCATTTTATCCACAGAATCAGAGTCCAGCTCAGATGGGGGAACTCTAGGAAGAGAGAAATCCATTCCATGGACAGCTGCCAAGATAGAGCAGGTAGGATCTTGCTTTTTTGTTCCAAAGGGCAGATAAGCAGGTTATTTATACAGAGATTGAGCAGGAAAGGGGTTTCTCAGTGGCTGAGAGGATTTTAGAGATCCTGACATCCAGAAAGCATTTGGGGTCCCAGGAGGGGTTTAGCCTCCCTTGCTTAGGGAGACAGAGGGGGCAGGGAAGGAGGAGGAAAGACAAGTGGGGTTCACCTGAAGGTGCATGGGGACATTCTGGGAATGAGCATCCATGGGAGCTGTTCTGGTAAGTCTCTCACTCACATGCTTCCTCTTCAGGACAGCATCAAGGACATGAGCCAAAAGTGCAAAAGGACTGCTTGACTTTGGAAAAGAAACCAAAGGCCTCTGACACTGTACACATCAGTGAAATGAGGAGACCCATGATGCCTGCTGTGGGGGACCCCCAGAGGCCCACACCGGGCACAGCGAGCGGCCCAGATCTCAGTCTCTAGGAGACCACCCACTACCACTTCAGAAAAGCCTGGTGACCTCTCTGCACACTCCATCTGAAGCCATTTATCACAACACAGCCCAGGTGTGGGAACAGTAGGCCTATTCTCTGCTGACCTGGGAGCAGCTGTCTGAGCTCACCTGGCTCCAGGGGCCTCTGTGCTGTGGTACAAACCTGTGCCATGGCCACCCAGGTGGCCTATGTCTTTCGCACTGAGGGCTGGCTCATCCCAGCCATACTCCCTGGTCCCTAGGGTGGAGAAGCTCAGAACTCCTCCTAGGAAGAAAATGGATCCACCCTTTCCCTGGAGAGGAGATAAAGGAGCCTGTTGGTGGATCAAATGAGGCTTTAGCTGGGGTCGCCCAGGCCCTATTCAACAGAGGACACAGCTGTGTGAGTGAGAACAAAGACCTGCTACTTCTCAGGCAATTTTAGACACACTGTGTTAATACATGACACAACTGGGGGCACTCTTGGGAAAGGAGTTTGAACAATATCCTCAAAGTGGAAACTGTGTTTCGTTTAGGTCTAAAACCACTGACAAATTTTGTATTTCATGTTAGACATTTGATGTTTTTGGATGTTTTATGACAGTCACGCATTTCTTTGTAATCAGAAAATATTAGGGTATAATCATTCATATGTGTTTGTGTATTGAAAAGTACAGCAAAATGAAGATATATGTAGATCCTCCCCCTATAAGTCAAAAAGACTGTAGCTCTTTTCTCTCCCACCCTGAGTCAATAAAGGACTGATATCTACTAACCTTTAATAGCATTCTCTATGGAGAAATGTTGGTATTTTTTCAATTTGAGGAAATGATAAAATCACCATGCTATTGTTTCATTTTCTTTGTTCTAAAACTTTCAGAATGTATTAAGTGCTTGTTGATCATATTTTTATTTATTCTTCAACCTGGATTATATTTTTTGCCTAATTTTAATCTTCCATTTTACAGATTTCAATTGAGCTTATTTTTTAAAACAGGTTGATTAAAGTATAATTAACTTTCAGTAAGCTGCACATATCTAAAAGGTTTATTTTGTTTTGATGTATGTGTATACCTGGGGAATCATCAACACAGTCAAGACAATGAACATATCAATTCCCCCCAGACATCTTATCATGATTACCCCCCATTGCAATTCTTCCTCTGCACTCCTTCCAACCCATCTCTAAGCAACCACTGCTTCCAGTAACAACAGACTGATTTTCACTTTCCAGAATTCTATATAAATAGAATCACACAGCATAAGATCCATTCCCACTGTAGCAGGTATCAACAGTTCATTGCCTTTCAATGCAAAATTGCATTCTAGAGCTTTATTCATTCACTAGTTAAAGACCATGTAAACTGTTTCTAGTTTTTGTCTATTACAAATAAAACTGGCATGAATATTCATGTACAAGTTGCTGAATAGGCATACATTACAATTTCTCTTAAGTAAATACTTCAGAGTTTAATGTTTAAAAAAGGAAACAACCACCAAACTGTTATGGAAAGGGTGGCATCGTTACACATTCCCATGAAGACTGTACGAGGATTCCATTTCCCCTGCATTCTCATCACATTTGGTGTAGTCCCTCTTTTTAATTTTTCTTTTTTTTTTAACTTTTATTTTAGGTTCGGGGGTACATGTGAAGGTTTGTTACATAGGTTGAAAATTTGTTACATAGGTAGATATATGTCACGGGGATTTGTTGTGCAGATTATTACATTACCCAGTTGTTAAGCCCAGTACCGAATAGTTACTTTTTCTGCTCCTCTCCCGCCTCCCAATCTCCACCCTCAAGTACACCCCAGTGTCTCTTGTTCCCTTTTTTGTGTCCATGTGTTCTCATCGTTTAGCTTTCACTTATAAGTAAGAACACATGGTATTTGGTTTTCTGTTCCTATATTAGTTTGCTAAGGATAATAGCTGCCAGCTCTATCCATGTTTCTGTGAAAGACATGATCTTGTTGTTTCTTACGGCTGCGTCGCATTCCATGGTGTATATGTACCACATTTTCTTTATCCAGTCTGTCACTCATTTAGGTTGATTCCATGTCTTTGCTATTGTGAATAGTGCTGCAATGAGCATTCACATGTATGTATGGCAGAATGATTTATATTCCTCTGGGATATATCCAGTAATGGGATTACTAGGTCTAATGGTATTTCTGTTTTTCAGTCTTTGAGGAATCACCATACTACTTTCCACAATCGTTGAACTAATTTACACTCTCACCAACAGTGTATAAGTGTTCCCTTTTCTTCACAACCTCACCAGCATCTGTTATGTTTTGACTTTTTAATAGCCATTCGGACTGGTGTGAGGTGGTATCTCATTGTGTTTTGATTTGCATTTCTCTAGTGATCAGTAATATTGAGCTTTTTTTCAGATACTTGTTGCCCACATGTATGTCTTATTTTGAAAAGTGTGTGTTCATGTCATTTGCTCACTTTTTAATGAGGTTGTTTGTTTTTCTCTTGTAAATTTAAGTTCCTTGTGGATAAGAGACCTTTGTCAGATGCATAGTTTGCAAAAACTTTCTCTCATTCTGTAGGTTGTCTGTTTAATCTGTTGATAGTTTCTTTTGCTGTGCAGAAACTCTTAAGTTTAATTAGATACCATTTATCAATTTTTGCTTTTGTTGCGATTGCTTTTGTGTCTGTCATGAAATATTTGCCCATTCTTATGTCTAGGATGGTATTGTCTAGGATGGTATTGTCTAGGATGTCTTCCAGGGTATTTTATAGTTTTTGGTTTTACATTTAAGTCTTTAGTCTCTTGTGAATTGATTTTTATATATGGTATAAGAAAGGGGTCCAGCTTCAGTCTTCTGCATATGGCTAGCCAGTTATCCCAGCACAATTTATTGAATAGGGATTCTTTTCCCCATTGCTTGTTTTTGTCAGCTTTGTCAAAGATCAGATGGTTGTAGCTGTGTGGCCTTATTTCTGGCCTCTCTATTATGTTCCACTGGACTATGTGCCTGTTTTTTACCAGGACCATGCTGTTTTGGTTACTGTAGCCCTGTAGTATAGTTTGAAGTCAGGTAGCATGATGCCTCCAGCTTTGTTCTTTTTGCGTAGGATTACCTCGGCTATTCAGGCTCTCTTTTGGTTCCATATGAATTTTTAAATAGTTTTTTCTTGTTCTGTGAAGAATTTCATTGGTAGTTTGATAGGAATAGCATTGAATCTGTACATTGCTTTGGGCAGTCTAGCCATTTTAATGATATTGATTTTTCCTATTCATGAGCATGGAATGTTTTTCCATTTGTTTGTGTCATCACTGATTTACTTGAGCAGTGTTTTGTAATTCTCACTGTAGGGGTCTTTCACCTTCCTGGTGAGCTGTATTCCTAGGTATTCTATTCTTTTTGTGGTGATTGTGAACGGGATTGCCTTCCTGATTTGGCTCTCAGCTTGGCTGTTGTTGGTGTACAGGAATGCTAGTGATTTTTGTATGTTGATTTTGTATTCTGAAACTTTGCTGAAGTTGTCTATCAGCTGAAGGAGCTTTTGGGCTGAGACCATGGAGTTATCTAGGTATAGAATTATGTCATCTGCAAACAGGGATAGTTTGACTTCCTCTCTTTCTATTTGAATGCCTTAATTTCTTTGTCTTGCCTGATTGCTCTGTCTGGGACTTTCAATACTATGTTGAATAGGAGTGGTGAAAGTGGGCATCCTTGTTTCTTGCTTGTTTTCCAAGGGAATGCTTCCAGCATTTGCCCATAGCTATAATGTTGGCTGTGGGTTTTTCATGGATGGCTCTAATTGTTTTGAAGTATGTTCCTTTGATACCTAGTTTATGGAGAATTTTTAACGTGAAGCAGTGTTGAATTTTATCAAAAGCCTTTTCTGCATCTATTGAGATAATAATGATGTTTTTGTCTTTGGTTATGTTTATGTGATGAATCACATTTATTAATTTATGTATGTTGAACCAACGTCCGCCTCCTGGGTTCCAGCGATTCCAGTGGATTAGCTGTTTGATGTGTTGCTGGATTTGGTTTGCAACTATTTGTTGAGGATTTTTGCATCAGTATTTATCAAAGATATTGATCCTAAAGTTTTCTTTTTTGTTGTGTCTCTGCCAGGTTTTGGCCTCATAGAATGAGTTGGGGAGGCCTCCCTCCTCAATTTTTTGGAATAGTTTCAGTAGGAATAGTACCAGCTCTCCTTTGTACATCTGGTAGAATTTGGCTGTGAATCCATCTGGTCCTGGGCTTTTTTTGGTTGGTAGGCTATTTATTACTGACTTGATTTTGGAGCTCATTATTGGTCTGTTCAGGGAATTAATTTCTTCTTGGTTCTGTCTTGAGAGGGTGTATACGTCCAGGAATTGATCCATCTTTTTTAGGTTTTCTAGTTTGTGTGCATAGAGGTATTTGCAGGCATTTCTGATGTTTATTTTTATTTCTGTAGGGTCAGTGGTAACATCTCTTTCATTATTTCCAATATATGTTTATTTGGATCTTCTTTCTTTTCTTCTTTATTAGTCTAGCTAGTGACCTATCTTATTAATTTTTTCAGCAAAGCAACTCCTGGATTTGTTGATCTTTTAAATGGCTTTTTCATGTCTTGATTTCCTTCAGTTCAGCTCTGATTTTGGTTATTTCTTATCTTCTGCTAGCTTTAGGGCTGATTTGTTCTTGCTTCTCTAACTCTTTCAGTCGTGATGTTAGGTTGTTAACCTGAGATCTTTCGAACTTTTTGATGTGGCTATTTAGTGCTATGAATTTCCCACTTAACACTACCTTAGCTGTGTCCCAGAGATTCTGATATGTTGCATCTTTGTTCTTATTAGTTTCAAAGAACTTCTTGATTTCTGCCTTAATTTCATTATTCACCCAAAAGTCATTCAGCAGCATATAAGAAAAGCCATAGAAAGTACCTAAAATATGTAAATATGGACATAAGCAAATGGAAAATTACACATTTTTAGGTCGAAAAAATATTATGAACATCAGTTGTGCTTAAGCTAATTTATTAATTTAATTTTGTTCCAATACAGATACCATTAGGTATTAGAGGTAGGCATGTTATTGGGGAAAAAATCTTACAGATGCAAACACAAATAAGCCAAAAAAACTCTAAGGAAAAAAAATAAGATTGGCCATCCCTATGAGACATCTTGATTGATGAAAAGACTGAAAGACCATTGTAGCTAAAAATTCAGACACAGACCAAAGTTAAACAACAGAAATTTGAGCCTCACAGTTAAGAGAGCCTCACAGCTATTGAGGCTGTAAAGTTCAAGATCAATGCATCAGCAAATTTGGTGTCTGATGAGAGCCCTATTTCTCATAGATGGTGTGTCCTCACATGGCAGAAGGGGCAACGGCACTCCCTTCAACCTCCTTCACAAGGGCACTAATTCCATTCATGAGGATGGTGCCCTCCTGGCTTATTCACTTCCCCAAAGATCCCATACCTCATACTATTACATGGGGGATTAAGTTTCCACATATTAATTTGGAGATTGGGGCACACAAATATTCAGACTACAGCAAAGGGTTAAAAAGCAGTAAAAATTACAGTAGAGATAACATCATTAATACTTGGGGTTTGGGAATATGATGTTCCTATCACAAAGGCTAAAACAACAATGTATTTCTTACAACCTGTAACAAAATAAAGCTCCAATAAAAGGTAAATCTGTATAGCAAAAAAATAAATAAGTTTTGATAAGGTTACAATGCTAACGGATTGTACAAGGAACTTTGAGGTTTCTGAGGATTGTCAGGGCCCCAGCATTCCCTCGTATGATATTTTTCCTGAAGTTTCTGACACTCTTCCTCAAACTGAAAGTGAATAAAAATATTTTCCATGTCCTGAGTTCCACATATCCCCAGTGAAAAATGTGAGTCACTGAGAGAGACTCTCTGTCCCTTTCACATACTAGGGATTCACTCACTTTTCTCAGATGAATGCCACCACCCAAGCTGCTTGCCCACCTTCCCTTCCTCAGGATCTGAAGTTAGCTATGCTTCTCTGGTGAACTCTCATATTTCTGCTTGAATAAAAGCTCAGTGTGCCTCTCTATGCACTATTTTGCTATTTCCAACGTGGAAGACAAAAAACAACCAGTATTCCTAATAGCCCCATCATGAATACTACTCATGTACATTTATAAAGGCATGATTAAATTCATTGCTTGATGTTCACATGATGCCATTACTTTAGAGGGCAAAAACCACAACCAACCTAAAAATTCTATCACCCACTCTAATGAATGAACCACAATAACATGCGATCAGGCAGATAAGTTTCCAAACATGTGGAATTCAAAATCTACATAGAAAATAAGTCATGCTATATGATTCCATGTATATAAGATACAAATAGTTGAAAGTACACATAAATTATACTGTTAGGAGTCAGAGTCATGGTTACTCCTGGGGTAGTGACTGGGAAGGGCACAAGGAGGTGGCTGGGGTCTGATGAAGTTCTGTTTTGCAACCTAAGACATGCACACAGAGGTGGGTTCACTTTGTTGAAATTTCATTTAGTTGTGCACTCATGGCCTGTGCAACTATTCCAACTTTTTTAAAAAAAATACATATCATCAATTAAAACACAAAGAGGGAACATAAATGGATTAGTGATTTTTTGTTGTTGTTGTTGTTGTTGTTTGAGATAGGGTTTCACTCTGTCACCTAGGCTGGAGTCAAGTGGTGTGACCATTTGACTCCAGCCTAGGCAAGACAGTGAAACACATGGCCTTGGCCTCCTCCTGAGTAGCTGGGACTTCAGGCATGTGGCACCATGCCTGGCTATGTTTTTAATTTTTTGTAGAGACTGGGTCTCACTGTGTTGCCCAGGCTGGTCTCAAACTCCTGAGCTCAAGCGATCCTCCTGCCTTGGCCTCCCAAAGTGCTGGGATTACAAGCATGAGCCACCTCACCTGGCTGGATTAGTAATTTAATGCCTTAATGTTGTCAAAGTGGAGGTTGAAAGTATTAAATAACTTTATACCATGATTAATATTTTAAAGTTTGTTGTAACCTCTGTTAAAAAGTAAGATCTACTGATATAACCCCCAAATAACAGAGTTAACTATGAATTTTTAAAATATACGTATAACATAGAAGATGTTAAAATAGGAAGAATCAGAAAAGATGATGGGTATTCTGAAGAATACAGAAAGTTGGTATATCCAATGCCAAATATGACCTTTAAAATATTAAACGTAAATAGCTAAATTATGCCTGTCAAAGTCAAATATTATTTGACTATATTCAGTCAGATGTTCCTCCAAGAGATACAACTAAAACATAATCTTTATATGTATTTATGTTTTAGTTATATATCTCTTGGAGTAGAAAAATTAGAAGATACATTATATGTAATTTTAACCAATTAAAATTAAAGTAGAAGAAGTAAAGATACATTATATGTGATTTTAACCAACTAATCAGTGAAGATGGTGATATATCAGATAAAAAAGACAATACAGTTAAAGTAGTTTAACATCATTATAATTAATATTATTTTTACATTTCTTAAAGTATAATCTTCCAATATTATTGCTTGATGAATAGCAAACATAGTCTGATTATCCCCACACAGTTAGACATATGCAGGTGTTTTTCTGCATGTATCACCAATCCCTTGTAACGTCAGTTTCACAACTGTGCTTATAATTCTGTGGGGGATGAGTAAACAACTGGACATTGTGCAAAAGTACACAGTATGCATATAAATGATAAAATCAGCGGATTTTGTATTCTGTGTCAGGCAAAGCAGAGCCTGGAGACACCAGAGTCACAGCTGATGGAAACAAAAAGGCTGAGAGTTGGGGAACACACACCATTGTGAGCAGAAATGCTCACCAGCCACCGCCTAAGAGGAATAAAAGGAGCCAAAAATTGACAAAAGGAAAAGACGATGTAAAAGCATACATAAATGCTCCCCAGGACCAGTATGGTTTAGGTGACTCTGGACTCAGGGGAGGACCTGGACGGCAGGTGGGTCCCATGAGTGTGTTGGACCTGCAGCTTGTGCCGGCGCAGGATGAAAACCATGGAGCCTCTGGCCCAAGCCATAATTCCCAAATCCAAAACATCAGGGAATCAGAACAGCACTGCACACAGGGAGTGTGAGATTTTGACACGAATCATGGCATAACAGTATCCATTATCTATTTTCCTTGTGATGGCTGCATTGAGTTATAGCCAGACGCATAAAGAGGAAAATTATTTACTAGTGTGTTTAGGATCCAGCATGAGAGAATCAAGTGTCCAATGAGCTCGGGAACTATTATTCTGAGCTCTGCCCTACTGGAGTCCCTGGGGAAATAGCGATGGCCTGGAAGACACTCAGGCAGCAAGTGCTGCCAGGAGGAACACCCCTGCCCAGTCTCTGAAGGAAGAATAGAAGTTCACATGAAAAATCATTGAAGTTGTTCAAACCAAAGATGTCACTGTCTGCCAGATTTCTTTAGAGGGAATGACCAAGGAGTTGGCTATGATCAGGTGCATGAGAATCAAATCTGTGCACCTTAACCTGCACCCAGTGAGGAAAAGGGAGACATAATGATAAAGAAGAGAGTTTCCCAGAATTTACAGAGTCAAATGTGTCAGTCTGTCTTCTGCTAAACAATCCATCATGGTTGAGTATCGTTGAACAAAGTGATTCCTGCACCTGCAGATTATTCAGGTGATTATGACATGACCTCTCGGACAGAGTATTCCAGAGAAACAAAACCAATTTAAATTGTTTAAATTTAAATAACTCAAATCATTGAATTAATAAATTATTCTAATTTACTTAAAATAAATACATGCAATGTATTTATACATATTAATATTTAATAAATGTTTATTCATTTTAAGAAATTGGCTCATGTAACTATAGAGGCTGAGAATTCCCATTATCTGCTGCCTTCAAGTCAGAAACCCAGGACACTCAGCGGTGTCACTTGAAGGTTTGAGAACCAGGAGTGCTGAGGGCAATAGAAGATCCCTTCAGGAGTAGCCCCAGATAAGGGACCCCAAAGAGTGACTTCACTTCCTTGACAATAGACCCCAACAGAACTTGGAACACTGGAAACCAGGCACCCACATTCTAGAAACAGTCTCTTCCCAGCTCACTTGGCTGAAGACAATAAAGAGAACTAGATGTCATCCTGCTGATCCCAATTTCCTATGTTTCTGGCACCAGAAAACCCTGAATGATAGGTTTTTCTGAAGCTGCTGACATTGGGTCAGCCCTCAATATCATCACCTCTAGCCATGTTCAGGAGGTACTCAAAGGTAACACTGGCAGCTGAGAGCAGGCCAGTCAATGTCTGGCCACCACCCTAATCCCACCTGGACAGTCACACCCCACCTCCCTATGTGTGTTCGCACAGTGGGGGTGATGTCATGTGGGTCTGGCCTGTCCTGAGCAGACCCAGGTGTTGGGTTGTCAGAAACCCAGTGACCCATCACATTCACTCCTCAGATCATGGCTCAAAAGTCTACAGAGCAGAGACAAGAGATTGACAAAGAGGTGTTGATGAGGTAATGTATTCCATTTCCCTAGGTGAAAGGCAGGCACACCACACTGTGAACAAGGACAAGTGCTGGACTGGAATGAGTGCAGGAGCAAAATGTTCTCTAAGGTGGGCACGGTGGCTCACGCCTGTAATCCCAGCACTTTGGGAGGCCAAGGTGGGGGGTCACCTGAGGTCAGGAGTTCGAGACCAGCTTGGTCAACATGGTGAAACCCTGTCTTTACTAAAAATACAAAAAAAAATTAGCCAGGCATGGTGGTGGGTGCCTGTAATCCCAGCTACTTGCCAGCCTGAAGCAGAATTGCTTAAACCTGGGAGGCAGAGGTTGCAGTGAGCCAAGACCACATCATTGCACTCCAGCCTGGACAACAAGAAAGAAACTCTGTCTCAAAAAAAAAAAAAAAAAAAAGTTATCTAATCCAGAACCTGGAGGGGGCTGGGGAAGGCCTTCTACTGAGACACTACTGTAAATGGCTTCATTCTGTACACACACATACACACACACACACACACACACACACGTGGGTGAACAAGTATGTAAACCTTGATATACAGATGTAGATATTCATTCTATTAGTTCTGTTTCTCTGTCTTCTTGAGTATAGCCATCTTAGTGGGTGTGAATTAACACTTCATTGTGGTTTTGATTTGAATTTCCCTAATGAATAAGAATTCTGAGCATCTTTTCATGTGCTCATTGGCCATTTATGTTTTATTGCAATATCCTCATGCATTGTTATCACCAATAATTAAAACATTCTCTGGTAAAGTATTTTTCTAAGTTAATTTACTTATAAAAATTACAAAGGCATGAAGTGATTTACTCAATGAATGCTGTTGTCCCATTTAATTTTTCATGTCATATGTCATAATATGAGCTTATTCTCTCATTGGCATGTCCTGTATTTCTGAAATGAACTCTTTTCAATCATTTTGTATACCTGTATATTAATTATACATGCAAATCCATGACTTACGCTTGCTTAGTTTTAAGTTTTGACATAATGTATGTATTAGGTATCTTATTATTTGACAGAAATCACTTTTTCCTCTAAGTTTTCTAATTTATTAGCATAAAGTTGTTTGTCTTAGAACGTAGACTTTTTAAAAATCTCCATGAAGTTTTAAATACTGTTTATTTTTTAATATTAAGTATATCTTTTCACATTTTTATTAACATTGCAGTAAGCTCTATTTTATCATTAATTTTATTTTATTCTATTCCATGTAATACTTATTCTAAATTTTTTACTTACATTATACTTTATGATAACGCATTATTTAGGCTAAGCTTCTTTTATTTTTTTGAGACAGTGTCTTGCTCTGTTGGCCGGACTGGAGAGCAGTGGCACAATTTAGGCTTACTGCAACCTCCGCTTCCCAGGTTCAAGCGATTCTCCTCAGCCTCCCAAGTGGCTGGGATTACAGGTGCCCACCACCACGCCTGGCTAATTTTTGTATTTTTAGTAGAGATGGGGTTGTACCCTGTTAGCCAGGCTGGTCTCAAACCCCTGACCTCAGGTAATCTGCCCACCTCAGCCTCCAAAATTGGTGGGATTACAGGCATGAGCCACCTCACCTGGCCAAGGTTAAGCTTCTTTTTATAATTTAATTTCAGAGTTTGACATCAAAAACACATATTGTCAGGCATCTTCTATTGTAGCATTTGAATTTGCAGCCATCTAATTTTCTCTAACTACTTTTGAACAAATACAGTGTACAACTTGAATATGAAGAATTTTTATTGTCTTTTCATCTGAAAAGTTCTAAATATTAATTAGGAATATTGCTCAGTTTTTAGGTTTAGTATTTAAAATTGCTTCATAAGCTATTTAAAAATATTTAATAGTGGCAAGGTTAATCTCTATGATTAAAATATTTTACATTCATTAAAGCTCCCTTTGTGATTGCATTATTTCAATCGTTCTATATTGCTGAGTAATGCAACACATAGCCCAATTTCGATATATGTCCATTAGGCCAAACTTATGCATTGTATTTTTCAAATATTTGAATTTTCAAGACATTTTACCTGCTTTACCTAACAATAATAAGAAAATGTCTGTGGAAATTTTTCACTTCAGCTACATGATTACCCCATTTGTTTTATGATTCTTTCAAATGGGCTTCCTTGAATATTTCAAGGCAGCAATTACCACCAACTCCCTAGAAAAAGGGAAGCATAAGCCTCCCCAGGGTCCCTGGCGTCGGCTCCTCCACCGACGGTGACTGGTTCCACCAGATTCACTTCCCAGAGGTCACCCTGATGCTTATTTCTTCTGAACAGGCTAATTGGGATTATTGCTAATACAGCATAGTCTACCCTCACAGGGTCCCGAAAATTAGGCAGTTTTCTTGATGAGTCTCATATTCATCGGCTGTGAGTCAAATTCTAATGAAAACCTCTTTCTACAGTCCTGTGCTCATTTCACTCCACCCAGACCACTGCATCCATTTTTACCTTAAAATATTTGAAATGGACCACTCTCCTCCCACAAAAAATTGTGCGAGAAGGCAAAGGAAATTTTAACAAAAGGATCAGATGTGCAAGAGGTTCGTTGCCCTGATACTGTCTGTGGAGATGTGCATGGTCAATTACATGATCTTATGGAACTCTTTAGAATTGGTGGAAAATCACCAGATACAAACTACTTATTAATGGGTGACTATGTAGACAGAGGATATTATTCAGTGGAGACTGTGACTCTTCTTGTAGCATTCATTATCCAGAATGCATTACAATATTGAGAGGAAATCACAAAAGCCAACAAATTACCCAAGTATATGGCTTTTATGATGAATGTCCGCGAAAGTATGGGAATGCCAATGTTTGAAAATACTTTACAGATCTCTTTGATTATCTTCCACTTATAACTTTAGTAGATGGACAGATATTCTGCCTCCATGGTGGCCTGTCTCCATCCACATACACACTGGATCATATAAGAGCCCTGGGTCATTTACAAGAAGTTCCACATGAGGGCCCAATGTATGATCTATTACGGTCAGATCCAGATGATCGTGGTGGATGGGGTATTTCACCCTGTGTGCTGGCTACACATTTGGACAAGACATTTCTGAAACCTTTAACCATGCCAATGGTCTCACACTGGTTTCTCGTGCCCACCAGCTTGTAATGGAGGGATACCATTGGTGTCATGATCAGAATGTGGTTACTATTTTCAGTGCACCCAATTACTGTTATTGTTGTGGTAACCAGGCTGCGATCATGGAACTAGATGACGCTTTAAGATATTCCTTCCTTCAGTTTGACCCAGCACTTTGTTGTGGCGAGCCTCATGTTACACAGCACACCCCAGACTACTTCCTATAAATTTCTCCTGGGAAACCTGCCTTTGTATGTGGAAGTATACCTGGCTTATTAAAATATATGTATTTAAAAACAAAAAGCAACAGTAATCTATGTGTTTCTGTAACAAATTGGGATCTGTCTTGGCGTTAAACCACATCATGGACCAAATGTGCCATACTAATGATGAGCATTTAGTACAATTTGAGACTGAAATTTAGTACACTATGTTCTAGATAGGTCACTCTAACAGTTTGCCTGCTGTATTTATAGTAACCATTTTCCTCCAGACCGTTCAAGCAGAAAAGGTAACTAATTGCTTCATCTCCTTTTGTGCTTATTTGGAAATTTTAGTTACAGTGTTTAACTGGCATGGATTAATAGAGTTGGAGTTTTATTTTTAAGAAAAATTCACAAGCTAACTTCCACTAATCCATTACCCTTTATTTTATTGAAATGTATAATTAACTTAACTGAAGAAAGGGTTCTTCTTGGGAGTACGTTGTCGTAACATTTACAGATTTCCCTTCATTTAAACTAAATTACTGTTGTATGTTGATCTGCTGCATATTTCTGTCATGACAGTGCTTGCATCCTATTTGGTGTAGTCAGCAAATAAACTTTTCATTTTAAACGAACAAATATAAGAAGCATGAATACAGGATCTACACATCAGAAAAATTATAGAGGGACAGAATTTTTAAAAAATAACCAAAACTAGTCTCAATAAAGTATAATTATCAAGGACAAAAAGAAAATTTTACAACTTGAAAATAGGAAAAAATGAAGATTAATTCAAAACAAAAAAGGACATGAACTATGACTTTCTTCTCACTTTCTTCATTGATCATTACTTAAGCTTCTTTATTTCATCAAACTTTTCTTACACTGCTGTGCCCAGTTAATTCCATGACATTTTTTATTAATTGGTTTAAAGTTGCATTGTTCCAACTTATTAGAGGCCCATTTTTAATTAATAATTTGCCTCTTAACTTCTCCATTGCAACATTAACAAAATGAAAATTATGAAATTACAAACAAAATGAAAATTATGAAAGCACTTTGCAAAAACATTTCATCTGTAACTGTTGTTTATGATACGTGAAAAATCCTTGAAGGGCAAAGACGGATTCTGAGTCTTATATACACTGCAATTGACTGCCCATTGCGGTGCTTAACCTGCAGGAAGAAATCAACAAACGGCCATTCATTATACAAAAAGAAGACAATCCACATAAATCGGAGAACTATCTGACCAGCTTAGGAAACTGTGGATTCCTTCCACAGCAGGCAGAGCCCAGCCTGGGTATCCTGGGATGGCGGCTCATGAGCACAAAGGGGCTGACCATGGGAAAACAGGCAGTGATCAGTGCAGAGGTGTTCAACAGCCACCAACTGGGATTAGGAAAAAGAGACATATGTAAAGATGGAGGAGAGCGAGTAAAGTAACACAAGGTGCTCACCAGGACCAGGATGCTTTGGGTGACTCTGGACTCAGGGGAGGATCTGGCGGAGAGGTTGGTCCCATGAATGTGCTGGACCTGCTGCTTGTGCCTGTGCAGGATAAAAACCATGGAGCCACTGGCCAAGGTCATGAGCCCCAAACACAAAACATCAAGGGATGATAACAAGACAATATGTAATGAATGTGGAATTCTGCTCCTACTTCCTCCAGAACAATATCCATAATCATTTGTCTTTGTGCTATTTATGCTGTTCCACTTGCCAGTCACATGTAGAAGAACAGTAATATTTACCAGCGTGTTCAGAATCCAGCACAGGACCAGGATAAAAGACCTGATGTATTTGTGAGCATGTAGCTTCAGCTCTGCCCACCTGAATTCACTGGGGCTGATGGTGATGACCTGGAAGACACTCAGTGCACACAGCCCTGCCCACTCTGTGAACATAAAACACAAATTTGCATCCAATATCACTGAGGGAATCTTTCAACCCAAAAGCAGCCATTGTTTGTGGGATTCCTTTAGAGAGTATAACCAAGGAGTTGGCTATGGTCAGGTGCTTGAGAATCAGATCTGTGGACTGTAACATACCTCTGGTGAAACAAAGGAAACTATAGTGGTAGAGAAGAAAGAAATTCCCCAGGAATCCGACCATGATCTGAGATAATAAGATCATGCCTATTGCAAAATCCTTGGAGGCCATTTGTCATTTTTCAGTGACTGATAATTACATTCAAAGTGAGAGAACCCTGTGTGGAAACATAAAGTTTCACTTTTGCAAATAAAATCCACTATTGTAC
Source organism: Homo sapiens (assembly GCF_000001405.40). Lineage (NCBI taxonomy): Eukaryota > Metazoa > Chordata > Mammalia > Primates > Hominidae > Homo > Homo sapiens. The sequence goes on from NC_000016.10 coordinate 31,808,942, forward strand.
ACTTACCATTGTTTCCAACTTAGACATTTTCTTATTAGACCCTGTTTTTTAAATAAGAGTTTTGCTCTAAAAAGAAGAACATATGCATCCCCATGAGAGGAGTACTATATTAGTGTTTTGCATGTAACTTTTACAATAATTCTGTGGTATAAGTGCTTTACTATTTCCATTTTACAGGTAAGAAGATCTTACACAAGGAAGCTTAATGAATTTTCTAAAGTAACTGCTTTGTAAGAGGCAGAATCAAAATTGGACAATGTGTTTAATCACTGTGTGTCTCACCCTTGGACATAGTATTTTTTTAATGCTTCACACATTTCATGTTGTATATATTGTCGCTTTCTTTAAACCTGGATGTAGTTTTTTCTTCATTTTTGATTGTGGCAATTTCTCATTTAAATCTAAGTGCTTATTTCATGAGCAAATATCACCTATAATGATTCAGAAATCCAAGTAGAATATAGATGCACTGATTTAGTATAATCCTAAAAGAATAATCATACAAGACCAAATGATATTTATTGAATGCTTAAATGATTTCATGCTGAAATTAAAAAAGAAGATTCTTTCTCATCTTAACCAAGAAGGATACAGAAATGACTGTTGCTAAGCAAGGGGTCAAGGGACATGAGTAGGAGATAAAACAGTGCAAAGGAGAAACAGGTTGTCATGAATTACAGATAAATTTAGTATTTGTTTATGAATACAAAAATATCAAATGAAATTATTTCAGGCTGGGCACCATGGCTCTCATCTATAATCCCAGCACTTTGGGAGGCCAAGGTGGGCAAATCATTTGAGGTCAGGAGTTCGAGACCAGCCTGGCCAACATGATGAAACTCCATCTCTACTAAAAATACAAAAATTAGCTGGGCATGGTGGTGCATGCACCTGTGGTCCCAGCTACTTGGGAGGCTGAGGCAGGAGAATTGCTTGAACCCCGGAGGCGGAGGCTGCAGTGAGCTGAGATCCCACCACTGTACTCCAGCATGGGTGACAGAGAAAGACTCCATCTCAAAAAAAAAATTATTTCAATGTCAGAATTGTTAGGTATATTAAAATATAAGTCTGTTATGTAAAAGGAAAACTCGAGGTAGGGAAAATTATTCACTGAATTAAGTGTTACTAAGATGAGTATTGAGCCTAAGAATGGCTTCAGAACATTTTTGAAGACAGAGTAAATATTACCAAATAATTTACTTCAGAAAACGACTGAAGTCCTTGATTTTTGTTCTAATATGAAAACCTAAGGTCATCAAGATACCTTTCCTTGACCGCTCCTCCCCTGACTTCATGAAAGAATATGGTCTTTTCGTCATTCTCAGAGACCAGATGTTTCCTGTCACCACACATCACGGTCTCCATTAGGTACTTTATATGTCCAGAGTAGGTTAAAGCCCTATGTTTAATACTTTTGAGAAGAATAAGATAATTTAATCAGCTACATCTTATACATTATCACAGGCATGAAGGAATTGTAGAAATGCTTCCATTCATCCTAGAAATCTTTCTGATTCTTGTGGAATTGATAGAACAGCTAGCGGATTAATTTCCAAATTATTCTAGGAAACTTTTTTAAAAAATGCATTCTTCCCACTTAACAGGTAAGGAGATCTTAGACAAGAAGGATCAACAAAAACAGATTTTGGGGGCCAGGCACGGTGGCTCAGGCCTGTAATCCCCACAATTTGGGAGGCCGAGGCTGGTGGATCACCTGAGATCAGGGCTTCAAGACCATCTTGACCAACATGGCGAAACCCCATCTCTACTAGAAATACAAAAAATTAGCCGGGCGTGGTGGCAGGCGCCTGTAATCCCAGCTATTCAGCAGTCTGAGGCAGGAGAATTGCTTGAACTTGGGAGGCAGAGGTTGCAGTGAGCTGAGACTGCAACATTGCATTCCAGCCTGGGTGACAGTGCAAGAATCCGTCTTAAATTAAAAAAAAAAAACTTAAAAACAGATTTTTGGCTTCTTCCATCAAAAACCGACAATGACAAGCATGAGGATTTTGTTAAGTGAGCTGCAGCTGGGGACTGGCTCATGCTCTTGGAACTTTGCTCCCTCTCCACAACTTAGCCCATGACCCAGCCATTATTTCCTTTCCCCACATGGCCTTGACACTGGTCAGTTTCTGGCCCAGTGGAGTCCTCTTTCCACACCAGAGCATTTACCCCACCTCCTGACAACTTCCTAACCTTACAGGTGCTCTCTCACAGATCAAAATGTAACACACCCACCAGGCGCCTCCCTGCTGCTGGGCTGTGGAAACCAGTGACTGTCACGGCCAGGGAGTGTGTGGAGGGAGGCGGCCAGGTCTGAGATATGGGCTCGGGACCCTGCGACCTCACCTCCCCACCGCACTGCAATTATACTTTACCTGTGGCAGCAATGACAGTACACACTTGGGGAATTGAAAATATTTTTGAAAACCTTTGTCCCAGTTACAATTACCAAAAACAATGACAACTTCCCTGCAGCACCTCCAGAGAGATGGCAGTGCCTGGAGAGGCTCTGCTTTTCCATGATCCTTTGAGGCAGACAGGGGCTATCTTGGAGGAAGCAGAAAATGCGGAGTCGGAGACAGAAGGGGATGACAATGAAGCGCGGTGGGTGCTGGATTCTGTGCCTCCTGGGATGTGTTTTTGCTGAAACTCTCATTTTCTGTTACTCCCCAAATTCTTTAAATGAACAATCATTGAATTATAAATAGAGAAATGGGATCACACAAGTAACTTGAGAAGTATTTGTCAACAGTTTACAGTGCCAGGAAGAACGTGAGGTTCAATATTGACCAAGAAAATAGAGACATCTGTGTAATTCAATGCAAGTTGATACACACATGTAGACTGCATATGTATGTGTGTGTGTGTGTGTGTGTGTGTGTGTGTGTGTGTGTGTTTGGAATATATGTTTTATCAAAATGTAACTCAATAGAGATAGACTCTAAACTGAGCAATATTCATAGAAGAAACAAAGACATTTAATAAGGAATTTCCTCACACACACACAAACACCAAGTTTATGTAGTTGAAAGGGAAATTCTACCGATAAAGTAATCCATAAACCAATGCTACTTAAACTTCTCAAGAGTTATAGTGTGGTCAATCTTTCCTGAAATACTTTTTAGGAAGGGTTTATAAAGGTGATACTCGAACCTTGCCTAGATTTAGCCATATGGAATACTATAGACAAATAGAACATGCAAATTTAAGAGTGAAAATATTAAATATTAGAAACCATTGCATCAGTATATTGATGCATAATCAATCACCCTTTATCTTATAAAGGGAAGTATGATTCAATATTAAGAAATTCAATGATGAAATTAATCACATTAATTGAATGAGAATGTCATGTGACTATGTTCATCAATGCAAAAAAAATTGGCAGAATTCTACAGAAAATTGTGTTTAATTTAGTAAGAAATTGGTGGAAAGATTTCTGAAAAACATGAAAATAGATTTATACAAATGAAAAATAATGCCACCAAATGTTTGGGTAGGAGAATTCAACAGTATTGGGAAGTCAATAATCTTTAAAGAAATGTATATGTTGAGTTTGACCCCAATATAATACCATGTGCTTGTGTTCTGAAGGTCTTAAAAATGTATTGCTATGAAAAATAAACAAAAAAATCCACAAACAATTTGAAATGAAAAAAGAAAAAGGCCAGGGGTGGTGGCTCATGCCTATAATCCCAGCATTTTGGGAGGCTGAGGTGGGCAGATCACATGAGGTCAGGAGTTCAAGACCAGCCTGTCCAACATGGTGAAACCCCATCTCTACTAAAAATAAAAAATTAGCCAGGTGTAGTGGCACATGCCTGTAGTCCCAGCTGATCGGGAGGCTGAGATTAACAGGAGTAAGGAGATTTTGGGCTGAGACAATGGGGTTTTCTAGATATACAATCATGTCATCTGCAAACAGGGACACGATTTGACTTCCTCTTTTCCTAACTGAATACCCTTTATTTCCTTCTCCTGCCTAATTGCCCTGGCCAGAACTTCCAACGCTATGTTGAATAGGAGTGGTGAGAGAGGGCATCCCTATCTTGTGCCAGTTTTCAAAGGGAATGCTTCCAGTTTTTGTCCATTCAGTATGATATTGGCTGTGGGTTTGTCATAGATAGCTCTTATTATTTTGAGATACGCCCCATCGATACCTAATTTATTGAGAGTTTTTAGCATGAAGGGTTGTTGAATTTTGTCAAAGGCCTTTTCTGCATCTATTGAGATAATCATGTGGTTTTTGTCTTTGGTTCTGTTTATATGCTGGATTACATTTATTGATTTGCGTATATTGAACCAGCCTTGCATCCCAGGGATGAAGCCCACTTGATCATGGTGGATAAGCTTTTTGATGTGCTGCTGGATTCAGTTTGCCAGTATTTTATTGAGGATTTTTGCATCAATGTTCATCAAGGATATCGGTCTAAAATTCTCTTTTTTGGTTGTGTCTCTGCCCGGCTTTGGTATCAGGATGATGCTGGCCTCATAAAATGAGTTAGGGAGGATTCCCTCTTTTTCTATTGATTGGAATAGTTTCAGAAGGAATGGTACCAGTTCCTCCTTGTACCTCTGGTAGAATTTGGCTGTGAATCCATCTGGTCCTGGACTCTTTTTGGTTGGTAAGGACACATTCAAAGCAGTGTGTAGAGGGAAATTTATAGCACTAAATGCCCACAAGAGAAAGCAGGAAAGATCCAAAATTGACACCCTAACATCACAATTAAAAGAACAAGAAAAGCAAGAGCAAACACATTCAAAAGCTAGCAGAAGGCAAGAAATAACTAAAATCGGAGCAGAACTAAAGGAAATAGAGACACAAAAAACCCTTCAAAAAATTAATGAATCCAGGAGCTGGTGTTTTGGAAAGATCAACAAAATTGATAGACCGCTAGCAAGACTAATAAAGAAGAAAAGAGAGAAGAATCAAATAGACGCAATAAAAAATGATAAAGGGGATATCACCACCGATCCCACAGAAATACAAACTACCATCAGAGAATACTACAAACACCTCTACGCAAATAAACTAGAAAATCTAGAAGAAATGGATAAATTCCTGGACACACACACCCTCCCAAGACTAAACCAGGAAGAAGTTGAATCTCTGAATAGACCAATAACAGGCTCTGAAATTGTGGCAATTGTTTGGTTTTTTAAAAAATATATAGTGGTTGGCCGGGTGCGGTAGCTCATGCTTATAATCCAGCACCTTGGGAGGCTGAGGCAGGGGTATCAGGAGGTCAGGAGATCAAGACCATCCTGACTAACATGGTGAAACCCCTTCTCTACTAAAAATACAAAAAAATTAGCCAGGTGTGGTGGTGGGTGCCTGTAGTCCCAGCTACTCCAGAGGCTGAGGCAGGAGAATGGTGTCAACCTGGGAGGCGCAGCTTGCAGTGAGCAGAGATCACACCACTGCACTCCAACCTGGGCGACAGAGCAAGACTCTGCCTCAGAAAAAAAAAAAAAAAAAAAAAAATATATATATATATATATATATGTGTATATATACACACACACACATATATATGTGTATATATACACTCACACATATATATGTGTATGTATATATATTTATATATATATGGTGGTCAGGGCCAAATCACCACCCCATTAATATTGTGTTGGACACATTCAAAAGAGTGATATGCAGTTTTGTTTTTTGTTTTTGTTTTTTTTTTAGACGGAGTCTTGCTCTGTCCCCAGGCTGGAGTACAGTGGCATGATCTCAGCTCACTGCAATCTCCCCCTCCTGGGTTCAAGTGATTCTCCTGCCTCAGCCTCCCAAGTAGCTGGGATTACAGGCACACGCCACCATGCCCAGCTAATTTTTGTATTTTTAGTAGTGTTTGAAATGCTTGTTCCCCAGTGCCGTAAAGAAATAACACTTGAACATAAATTTAATTTATTTAGTAAGGCCATTTTTATTTATTGCAGAAAAAGTACACTCGCCGGCAGTTTTGCCACGAGAGTACACTGAACAAAGGAGACAAAGTCATTTATAACCTGACGCATCCACCCTACTGCTGTGTCCGGTTTTCACTGGCTGGAATGGGACCTCACATTCTGTATTTGTCCCAATTGGCTAGAAACTTAGAACTTTTAAAAAGAGGCAAAGGTAGAGGAGAAAAAAGGAAGGAGGAAGTAACTTGTGGAATGCTGAGAAAGGTAAAAACACTCTTAAATAAGGAAGAGGAACAGGCTATGACCTAATGCTTGCTTGGACCAGTATAAGCATGCCAGACAAATATTTAGGCTAAATTGTGAGAGCTAAGAACATAAAGTATATTGATTTCTTTATTACAGCTAGCAGATATTTAAGAATGTTAGCACAAGTCTTTGAATAAATTTTGCTTCTAAGAGAAGTTACTATTTATTCCTAATTAGATGGGGAGGAGAGTCTTTGAAGAGGAACCTCTACTTTACTTTTTACAGTAGAGACGGGGTTTCACCATGTTGGCCAGGATGGTCTCAATCTCCTGACCTCACGATCTGCCCGCCTCGGCCTCCCAAAGTACCGGGATTACAGGCGTGAGCCACTGTGCCTGGCCGTGCGGTGTTTTAATGTGCTTGAATCCCGCCACAATTAAAATCATTTGCTATGATTTAAGTGTATGATGCAAAAATAAGTGTCTACAAAACCTGCGTGGGAGTATACACAAAGATTCTTTAGGGGGATGGGACAAAGAATTTGAAGACAATTAGTTTAAAGGAAAGAATATCTGAAAGTCTAATCCCTAGCTGATGTTACTTTTCCTCCTGAAACATGCAATGGGGCTGCCCAGGGCTTTGTCTCCATTTGTTCCATTTTCCTGTAGGAAAATAAGACTTGGTTCTCATCATAATTTTACCAGTCATGACCTACATGGGCACAAGGAAGTTCCAGAGGATGTTTTAGGCTCCAGGAGCCACTTACAGGATGTTTCTTTCCAAGGAAAATGTTCATGTCATGAATTTTATTTCACTAACATAATTTGAACATACAGGTCTACCTTTAAATTATGGGCCAGATGACCCCAGTTTATCTACTGGGATATACCTGTATTTGCTTAAAGGAGTGCAGTCTTCTGTCAGGGCAGATGTCCTTTCTACTGTGGAGAATTGCATTCTGAGACCCTATGAGTCTGAGCATGTCTGTAAGGGGCTGCTGCTGTCTATTATTAGGGCGGCCTCTTTAGCTTTGGCTCTATACCATGTGGCTTGAAGATTTTCCTTGAATTTGACCTGAGCCCCTGACCCCACCCACATTGCTGGGGAGGAGGGGCCCGTTCTGGACTCTGGCAGCTGTAACTCCTGACCCCCGGTCTTGCTTGCAGCGGAAAAGGAGAGGCAGAAGAGGGAGGTGCACACTCAGCCACTCTGGGCATCCTTCCTGGGTGGACTGGGCCCCCTGCAGGGCCTGCTCTCACCTACCCAGGAGCACAGCTGATCTCGGCTGGGTCTCCCTCAGCACACTCAGGATGTGTGGGGCAGGTGTCTGCGAGTCCCCGGGGGACTCAGGTTCCTGGCCAGTCTCACTGCCCCCTGCCCCAGCATTGAGACCCTCATGTGGCTGCAGATGTGGCTGGTAGTGCCAATCAAGGGAGCCTCCGTCTTCCCAAACTTAAATTTCCCCTCCCATAACCTATAACTTCAGCCCCCTCCATTTTCTGAGCTAAGCTCCAATTAGTGGAAACAAAGTCAAGTGGGAGTCAGGGGACAGGAAAGTGGCCCAGGGGTGGGGCAGAAGAGGGGGAAGGGACAAGTCTCTCTAGAATGGATCCAGAGCGAGCTCCTCCCTCCTGCAAGTAGCCACGCTGCCGAGACGCTGAACTTCAGATACGCAAGACCCCTGTCTCCTCCCCAGCCCTGGGACCCTCTGGTGGCTGCAAGTCCTGATTGCTGTGCCAGTCGCAGCAGGAACAGGCCCCCAAAATGTCACATCTCCAGGAAATAAGACCAAGGTTCCACCTAACCAGTTCAGCACCTAACTCATTTCCACCTAACCAGTTTACCTCTCTCCCAAAGTATTGGCAGTGGAAACCATGGGCCAAACTATGTAATGTGAAACCTACAACCTGCTTTTTGCCATGATTCTAACCTGGTACCACCATGAGCAAGTCAGGGTCCCACTTTGACTGATGGTGGTATTTGTGTCATCATTTCCAATCAGATTTCTGGAGAAGACTCTTCTTTCACTGATGGTTGAGTTCTTCATTGTAGTCCTCTTGGTGGAAGAAACATGAGAGCTTTTGGCCTTCCTGGAAGTCCAAACAGTTACCACATCAGTTCTCTTTTCCTCCATCTGGCTCTGGCTAATTTATTCCTCAGCTGAAGCAGAGCCTGCCTCGATGAGGGAGTTCCTATTAAGTTTCTTAATTTAAGAGACATCACCAGTTGTGAATTCCTCTGTAAATCAGTGGTGCTTCATTTTTGTTACAGAATGAGTTTGTGATCCTGGTTTTCTACAATTCTTTAGAAAATGTGTTTTTGTAATCTCACAGTCAACCCTTCCTTCATTGACTCATCTAGCATGCTAAACGGGAATCAGTTTCCCCTGCTATTCTCAAGACACTGGGTTGAGAGAAAAGACTTCAGTTCTTCACTACGTCTCACTAATGTTACCCTGAAATTCATTATAGTCCAGGTAGTTGGATTAGTTCAAACTGTGCCAGGAAGTTTTGAGGAATCAACAAAATTAGATGTTTTTTCTTTTCTTTTTTTAAGAGATGGGGTCTCACTATGTTGCCCAGGCTGGTCTTGAACTTCTGGGCTCAAAGGATCCTCTAGTCTCTGCCTTCCAAAGTGCTGGAATTACAGGCATGAGCCATTGTGTGTGGCTTCAATGCTAGACGTGTTCTTGGCAGCATTGTCTTCTAAGGCATCTGAGGCAGCACCATCTCCTGTGAGTTTCCTGGCATGTACCAGAGGCCTTCATAAAACTTTTCCTTAATGAGCTTTGAAAGGGCATTGGAATCTTGATCTTTCCCATCTGGTAATGAATTATTTTTTAAGAAACATTAAGTGTAAGAAATAAATACCTACACACTGGCCATGCGGTTTGGCAACTTTGTGAGCCTCAGTTTCCAAGTGAGTAATATCCCTCTAATTAAAAGTTCTCACAACTTAAAGTGCTTGTTAATTGTCCATGTCATTACAGGTTAAATTATGGTTCTATTCAGCTGACTGTGAGATGGAGAGATTATCCTTGACTATCCTGGTGGGTGCAGCAAAATCACAAGGGTCCTTAGAAGTGAAAGGATGCAGGAGAGAGTCGGCCTGGTGTGATGTGAGAAAGACTGGACCTGGTGGTCATTGCTGGCTTTCAAGCTGGAAAGGGACCAGGAGTGAAAGAATGTGGGTTCTTCTATAGAATGAAAGAAGAAAGAGAAAGAACTCTTTTCCAGAGACTCCAAGGGGAACACAGCCTAGAGGACAACTTAATTTTAGCCTAGTGAGTCTCATTTCAGATTTCTGACCTGTAAGTCCATAAGATCATAAATTTGTTTGCTTATTTATTTATTTATTTTGAGACAAGGTCTTGCTCTGTCGCCCAGGCTGGAGTGCAGTGGCATGATCTTGGCTCACTGCAACCTCTGCCTCCAAGGTTCCAGCGACTTTCCCACCTCCAACTCTCTAGTAGCTGGGACTACAGGCGCCCACCACCACACCTGGCTAATTTTTGTATTTTTAGCAGAGACGGTGTTTCACCATGTTGGCCAGGCTGGTCTTGAACTCCTGGCCTCGGGTGATCTGCCTGCTTTGGCCTCCCAAAGTGCTGGGACTACAGGCATGAGCCACTGCGCCCAGACCATAAGATAATAAATTGATGATGTTTTGAGCTACCAAGTTTGCGGTCATTTGTAATGACAGTCGTGGGAAACCACACCACAGATATGGAAAGATGTTCACCCTCATTTACCATGAAAGTAATGGAAAAAACTAGATCATCTTTTTTTTTTCTTTTTTGCCAACTAGGTTAGCATTAATTAAACATTTTTTGTTAAAAAACAGTTAATAACCTTGAGCCAGTCCATGGAAAAAATGAGAAAGAAAAAAATTCTTACTGGAGAAAGAAAAAAAATTAGCTCAAACACTTAAGGTGATAATTTGGAAATATACCTAACTATTTTACATGGACTTGTCCTCTGACCCAATATACTAATGGCTAGGAATGTACAGTCCTGTATTTCCTAAAGTCTGCCAAACAACATGCACAGAATTTTTTTAAAGCAGCTTTATTGAGGTAAAATGGAATACCAATAACCGCATATATTCAACTTGCAAAATGTGATGAAGTTGAATACCTCTTGAAGCCATCACCAGAATCAACAGCGTGACCTTCCCTGACCCCCAGCGGCGTCCTCAGGCTCCGGAATCGGAATCTCCTTAATTTGCACTGGGCTCTGGCGGTGTGCGGCCCTCCGGGGAAGCGCAGCCCGGGGCACGCAGCGAGGGAGGGCAGCGCGCTGGGGGCCCCGAGGGGCGGCGGTGGAGCAGCAGGTTCTGGGCGGGTCCCAGCCAGCGAGGCCCCGGGGGGCGTCCCAGGAGCCCGGCGGCGGCGGGCCGGACGTGTCTGTCGCCAGTTCCTCCTGCGGGAACTTGGGGGCGGCTGAGCGAGGGGTGGCTCCACGGGCGGCTGGTCCCAGGTGAGCTGCGGCCGGGGGTCCTGGGGCACCGGGGCTGTCCGGGGACGGGGCCTGGGCCTTGGGGACCCTTGGACCTCCGCGGGGACGCGCAGGGGACGCAGCCTGGGCCTGGCTGCTCCTGGGCTCCGGCCAGGGAGTCGCGGAGCGGGAACTCCCGAGAGGGGCGGGCCCTGGTGACAGCGTCCTGGCTGGGGGACTTTGGGGCAATGGGCTATGGGGGCGCCCTTGGGTGCCGCCCGGGACATGCTGGAGTTCCCACAGGTGAGTTAAAGGGCGCTCGGCGGCATCGAGGTGGGTGAATTGTACAGAACACCCTAAATTGTCACATAACGTCACGTCTTCGCTCCTTTGCTCTCAAAAGGATACCCCCCGACTTTTGTTTTTCTTATTTAGGGGTGTGCTTCTGAAGTGGAAGAGTTTGCAGCTTTGCTTTGGCAAACCTTTTGAACCCGACCTTTCTAGTGGGTTTGAACTCACATCTAGGAACAGAAAACTAGGCCTAGGGAGGCCGCGCTTCCGTCCGGGAGCAGCGCCGCAGCCCCCACCTTGTCTTGGGAAGACAGCCTTTGTGCAGCCTTGGGAGCCCTGAAAGGCCACAGCCCGAGGACAGGACGGCAGCCCAGGAACGCGCTGTGAGTGGCTCCTGCGCTCAAATCCTGGGACTTCCCCTACCACTGCACTCGTGACGTCGTTGTATTTTACCAACTACAATTTTGAAACTCTTGTTTTTGGACTTAAAAGGGTTTTTTTTTTTAAATCAAACAAAAATATTCTTAAATAGATTTGATAAAAATCTTGTGATGGAAAATGACATGATAATTCTCAACCCTAATGGACTTCTGGCTGTCTTTAGAAGAGGATGTGCGCACCTGAGTCCTTCCTGGCCAGGCTCACTAACCGCTCAGGACCGCGGGCAACCACGGGAAGGAAGTCATGCACCTGGCTCCTGGCTCCCTTTAGAAAAATGATACTGAGGGCCAGGCGCGGTAGCTCACGCCTATAATCCCAGCACTTTGGGAGGCTGAGGCAGGTGGATCACGAGGCCAGGAGATCGAGACCATCCTGGCCAACATGGTGAAACCCCGTCTCTACTAAAAATACAAAAATTAGATGGGCCTGGTGGCGCGCGACTGTAGTCCCAGCTACTTGGGAGGCTGAGGCAGGGGAATCGCTTGAACCCAGGAGGTGGAGGTTGCAGTGAGCGGAGATCACGCCACTGCACTCCAGCCTGGCGAAAGGGCGAGACTCTGTCTCAAAAAAAAAAAAAAAAAAAAAAAAAGAAAGAAAGAAAAATGATACTGAGAAGCAAAGTCCTCCTCCTTGTAGACTTTGAGGCTCAGATTGTTTTTTTTTTTTTTTTTTTTTTTTTTTTTGAGATGGAGTCGCGCTCTGTCACCCAGGCTGGAGTGCGCTGGTGCGATCTCGGCTCACTGCAACCTCTGCCTCCCGTGCTTAAGCGATTCTTTTGCCTCAGCCTCCGGAGAAACTGGGATTATAGGCAAATGCCACCATGCCTAGCTAATTTTTGTATTTTTAGTAGAGACAGGGTTCCACCATGTTGGTCAGGCTTGTCTCAAACTCCTGATCTCAAGTGATCCACACGCCTCTGCCCCACAAAGTGCTAGGATTACGGGCGTGAGCCACCACACCCGGCGAGGCTCGGATTTTAATTACAGAATTTCCATGGCTCGATGATGTCACACAGGACTTACTTTTAAACCTTGTTGGGGAAAAAAATTAATACGACTTCTCCCTGCTCGTTCTGTGGAGTCCTATAAGTAAAACATAGCCTAGAAGGGCAGGTCCCCACTCTCAGTGTTTTGGCTCTAGAGTATGGATTGTTCCTACCAATGATAGCTACACAGACATTTGAAGGTTTTGCCTTCTCTTAGGTAAATTCAAGGACGATGATCTCTAAACGATCAGTGACATATTTCTACTTTTTTTTTTTTTTTGACAGAGTCTTGCTCTGTCGCCCAGGCTGGAGTGCAGTGGCACGATCTTGGCTCACTACAACCTCCGTTTTCCAGGTTCAATTCTCCTGCGTCAGCCTCCCAAGAAGCTGGGATTACAGGCGCCTGCCACCACGCCCGGCTAATTTTTGTATTTTTAGTAGAGACAGGGTTTCACCATGTTGTCCATGCTGGTCTTGAACTCCCGACCTCAGGTGGTCTGCCGGCCTCAGCCTCCCAAAGTGCTAGGATTACAGGTGTGAGCCACCACGCCTGGTCTACATTTTCTACTTCTTTAGTGGAACTTGATAGCTGTGGGAGCTCCAGGAGAGAATTCCATGTGATTATTTATACTTCTCTTGTGTACCACAACAGCCTCTCTACTGGTACCCTGATGCTATCTTCATCTACAATCTGTTTCCTTACTGCAACCAGAGCATTGTTTTTTTTCTTAACATGGTATTTCCTCGTTTAGAACTGTTCAGCAGTTTTTGTTGATGATTAAATTCCAGCATACCCTGGCGTTAGAATAGCTTAACAGTTAGGAGTTGTGAGTGGGGGGCTCAGAAGTCAGAGCACCTGAGTAGATCCCATGTTCATTGAGCTCAATGAGAAGTCACGTTACTTCTCATCGTTTGCCTCTTCAGTTTGTCTAACTTAAAAAAAAAAAAAGGAAAATCACAAATTTCCCGATATATTTCTTTTTCTTTTTCTTTTTCTTTTTTTTTTGAGATGCCCAGGCTGAAGTGCAGTGACGCTCGGTCGCCCAGGCTGGAGTGTAGTGGCACAATCTTAGCTTACTGCTGCAGCCTCTTCCTCAGGGGTTCCAGCAGTTCTCCTGCCTCAGCCTCCCGTGTTGCTGGGATTACAAGTGTCTGCCACCACGCTTACCTAATTTTTGTATTTTTAGTAGAGATGGGGTTTCACCATGTTGGTCAGGCTGGTCTTGAACTCCTGACCGCAGGTGACCCACCCGTTTTGGTCTCCCAAAATGCTGGGATAACAGGCGTGAGCCAGCACGCCCAGCCATCGATACACTTAATACAAGCTCCTTGTTCTGTTATTTTGATATGTTAAATATCCAGCAATAAATTTATAGGTTCATACATCTACAAAAATAAAATTAATCCTATTGCTGAAGACAAATTTTGTATTGCAGTTTTATGAGCTTTCATTCCCTCTTCACTTGAAGGTAAATGTTATTTAGTGGTATGAAGACATTTTACTTCTGTAAAAGGTATTAGAAACAATATAGCAGCAATAGAATTTATAACTACAAAACTTGTGTGCCCTTAAGATTGAAAATTCAAGCACATCTCTCCCAAAACATTTGTAAAGAATAATGTGTCAACAAAAAATATACAGTCATTATAGTCAACTCAATTTATACACTAAAGTCTTTGTTTTGGGGTTTTTTTTTGAGATGGAGTTTTGCTCTTGTTGCCTAGGCTGGAGTGCAATGGCCCAATCTCAGCTCACTGCAACCTCCACCTCCTGGGTTCAAGCGATTCTCCTGCTTCAGCCTCCCAAGTAGCTGGGATTACAGGTGGCCACCAACACACCCAGCTAATTTTTTGTATTATTATTATTTTTTAATAGATATGGGGTTTCACCATGTTAGCCAGCTGGTCTCAAATTCCTGACCTCAGGTGATCTACCCGCCTCGGCTTCCCAAAGTGCTAGGATTACAGGCATGAGCCACTGCGGCCAGCCTAATTTATATACTAAAGTCTTTTGTATTTTAATTTTGGGCAATAATTCCATTATGTGGCACTCCTTCTGCTTCTGTTTGTTTTGTTTTGATTATGGTATCAGCAAAAACTTTAAGTTGTAGGAGGGAAGAAAGTGTAAAAAACCAAAATATTCGTGAAAAATGTAATTAATTCTCATGAGTCCACAAACTCTGGAGGTTACAATTGAAGTTTTACATGGAAAATCCAATCAATACAGTAACTTGCAAGGTTGGGAGAGGGGATGCTTATGGACAGTTGGGCCTCTGACATCTGTAGAATCTTTATTTTGGTTCATCTACCTTCAGAAAACCTTTCACAAAAACATAACATTTGCTATAGAAAGACCAAGTAGTTTCTTCCCTCACACATACAAAAGTATGAAACTGAGGCTTATGGAACCTAGATTACTTACCTTGAAAAAAATTTTTTTTTTTTTGAGATGAAGTCTCACTCTGTCTCCCAGGCTGTAGTGCAGTGGGGTGATCTCTGCTCACTGCAACCTCCACCTCCTGGGATCAAGCGATTTTCCTGCCTCAGCCTCCCAAGTAGCTGGAACTACAGGTGTGCACCACCACGCCTGGCTATTTTTTGTAATTTTAGTAGAGATGGGGTTTCACCATGTTGGCCAGGTTGGTCTCAAACTCCCAACCTCAGGTGATCTGCCTGCCTTGGCCTCTCAAAGTGCTGGGATTACAGGCGTGAGCCACCGTGCCCAGCCACCTTGAAAATATTTGTTCCACAAATCAAACCACATCTAGGTAATCAGACTGCCAATAACTTAAAATCAGTACATTTGTTACTATAATGCGTTAATTGCTAAACATTATACCAAATTTTTGCTAATTTTGATCAGGCAAAATTGCACAGAAGTGTTATTCAAGATCATCTGCTCATCATGCACTCTGGCCTCTGGTCATTTCTACAATACAGTCTTGCTCAGGACATTGCTTACTGTGTTCCTGGGCCAACACCCTGGCAGCCCATACACATTCTCTGCTTCAACTAATCCTCATTTTCCCCAGGCTCAAATTCCATGGGCAAGGAGGGATACTTACAGATGTGACTATTCAAAGTCACTTTTATGCTAGGCAGAAAGTAACACGTATATGCCAGCTTCACTTACATTCTGGCAAATTGTGAAGGATACCAAAATACTTTGCAAAGCACCATGCAGATGAGAGATATTAATACAAAATAAGTAGGAAAAAGTGAGCTCCTACTCTCAGCCAAGACAAAACAAGGACCTAATTAACACTTCCTACCTAAAACATGAAAGGAAGGAAAGAAGGAAAGGAGGGAGGGAGGGAGGCAGGGAGGTGACAGGCAGGCAGGAAAGAAGGAAGGAAAAAAAGAAAATGAAACAAAGGTTTTTGTGACACTGGATATGAGGCAGTGAAGGAAAATAATCCTTCAAGATTGGAAACAAACAAGGTGACCTCTCCAATTGCCCCAGCTTACTGATCAGAGAAAGATCTAAGTTGGAATGAATGTAGGGTGGTGGAACCCAGACAGAGCTCAGGAAACTCCTTGAGTTGAGAAGATGGAACCGAGAGTTTGGAGAGAAGAAGGTGGTTAGAGTTTCAAGGAAAGAGTATTTGGAAAGGAAAGAGCTATACAGAAAGATAACTTCTTAATAAGAACCCTAATTTTTAACAACTAGACACATTGCCACCCAGCTAAACACTGTATTCTCTAATCTCTTTTTCAGCCAGGTGTGACTGTGTTGCTGCTTTGGCCAGTGTAAGGAGATGTAAGGAAATGATGTATGTGGAAGTTAACAGAAAAGATGCACCTTTTTCCTGTGGGTTAGAATGCAGTGTGATTGTGCAAGTTTAAACTACCTTTTTGTTTTTTCTTGAGACAGAGTCTCATTCTGTTGCCCAGGCTGGAGTGCAGTGGCACAATCTGGGCTCACTGCAACCTCTGCCTCAGTTCAAGCGATTCTCCTGCCTCAGTCTCCTGAGTAGCTGGGATTACAGGCACGCACCACCACGCCTGGCTAATTTTTGTATTTTTAATAGAGACAGGGTTTCACCAAGTTGGCCTGGCTGGTCTTGAACTCCTGACCTCAGGTGATCCACCCACCTCGGCCTCCCAAAGTGCTGGGATTACAGACATGAGCCACTGTGCCCAGCCTAAACTACCTATTAAACAATGAAGCATATGTGCAAAGCCATAGCATCAAACTGAACTGTTAGAGCTGAAAAACTCACTACAATAAGTTCATAACACAATTGGAAATATTAATAGCAGAATAGACCAAGCTGAGGAAAGAATCTCAGCTCAAAGACTGGTTCTTCAAATTAATTTAGTCAGACAAAAATAAAGAAAAAGAATTTCTAAAAATGAATAAATGTCCAGAAAATATGGGATTATGTAAAGAGACTAAATCTATGGCTGACTGGTGTCCCTAAAAGAGGGGAGAGAGAGCAAAAAACTTGGAAAACATAATTGAGTATATTGTCCATGAAAATTTTCCCCAACCTTGCTAGAGAGATCAACATGCAAATTCAGGATATGCAGAGAACCCCTGTGAGATCCTATACAAGAGGACCATCCACAAGACACATAGTCATCAGATTCTCCAAGGTCAATGTAAAAGGAAAAATGTTAAAGGCAGCTAGAGAGAAGGGGCAGGTCACTGACAAAGTGAACGTCATCAGGCTAATAGTGGACCTTTCAGCAGAAGCCCTATGAGCCAGAAGAGATGGGGGGGCTATATTTAGCATCCTCAAAAAAGAGAGATTCCAATCAAGAATTTCATATTCAGCCAAATTAAGCTTCATAAGCAAAGGAGAAATAAAATCCTTTTCAGACAAGCAAATGCTAAGGGACTTCATTACCACCAGGTCTGCCTTACAAGAGGTCCTTATGGGAGTGTTAAACATGGAAATGAAAGACTGTTAACAACCACCACAAAAACACACTCAAGTACATAGACTACTGACACTGTAAAGCAAATATACAATCAAGTCTTCATAACAACCAACAACAGGATGACAAAGTTAAATCCATACATATTAATAGTAGCCTTGAACATAAATGGGCTAAACACTCCCACTTAAAAGATACATACTGGCAAGTTGGATAAAGAAACAAAACCCAACTGTATTCTGTCTTCAAGACACTGATCTCACATGCAAGGTCACTCATAGGCTCAAAGTAAAAATATGGAGAAAGATCTATCAAGCAGATGGAAAACAGAAAAGAGCAGGGGTTGCTATTCTTATTTCAGACAAAGCTAACTTTAATAATGATGAAAAGGACAAAGAAGGGCATTAATAATGATAAAGAGTTCAATTTGACAAAGAAGACTTAACTATCTTAAATATATATCCACCCAACACAGGAGCACCCAGATTCGTAAAACAAGTTCTTAGAGACTTAAATAACACACAATAATAGTGGGAGACTTTAACACCCCACTGACATTATTGGACAGATCATTGAAGCAGAATACTAACAAGGATATTCAAGACCTGAACTTGACACTTGACCAAATAGACCTAACAGACATATAAAGAACAGTCTAACCAACAAAAACAGAATATACATTCTTCTCCTCTGCACATGGCACATACTCTAAAATTGACCACACTTGGTCATGAAGCAATTTTCAACAAATTCAAAAAAACCAAAATCATACCAATCACACTGTCAGACCACAGCACAATAAACATGGAAATCAATACCAAGAAGATCTCTCAAAACCATAAAATTACATGGAAATTAACCAATCTGCTCCTGAATAACTTCTGAGTAAACAATGAAATTAAGGCAGAAATCAAGAAATTCTTTGCAACTAATGAAAACAAAGATACAACATACCAGAATCTCTGGGATGAAGCTAAAGCAGTGTCAAGAGGAAAATTTATAGTGCTTAATGATCTCAAATTAACAATAACATCACACCTAGAGGAACTAGAGGAACTCAAAAGACAAGAACAAACCAACCCCAAAGCTAACAGAAGAAAAAAAAAAACAAAATCAGAGCTAAACTGAATGAAATGGAAATGAGAAAACCCATACACAAATTTTTAAAAGAAGAAAAATAATTAATGCAAATAAATAATAAAAAAAAACCATACAAAAGACCAACAAAATCATTGGTGTTGAGAAAGAATAAATAAGATTGATAGACTGCTAGCTAGACACATTCAAAGCAGTGTGTAGAGGGAAATTTATAGCACTAAATGCCCACAAGAGAAAGCAGGAAAGATTCAAAATTGACACCCTAACATCATAATTAAAAGAACTAGAAAAGCAAGAGCAAACACATTCAAAAGCTAACAGAAGGCAAGAAATAAGTAAAATCGGAGCAGAACTGAAGGAAATAGAGACACAAAGAACACTTCAAAAAATTAATGAATCCAGGAGCTGGTTTTTTGAAAGGATCAACAAAATTGATAGACCGCTAGCAAGACTAATAAAGAAGAAAAGAGAGAAGAATCAAATAGATGCAACAAAAAATGATAAAGGGGATATCACCACCGATCCCACAGAAATACAAACTACCATCAGAGAATACTACAAACACCTCTACGCAAGTAAACTAGAAAATCTAGAAGAAATGGATAAATTCCACGACACATACACCCTGGCAAGACTAAACCAGGAAGAAGTTGAATCTCTGAAGAGACCAATAACAGGATCTGAAATTGTGGCAATAATCAATAGCTTACCAACCAACAAGAGTCCAGGATCAGATGGATTCACAGCCGAATTCTACCAGAGGTACAAGGAGGAACTGGTACCATTCCTTCTGAAACTATTCAAATCGATAGATAAAGAGGGAATCCTCCCTAACTCATTTTATGAGGCCAGCATCATCCTGATACCAAAGCCGGGCAGAGACACAACCAAAAAAGAGAATTTTAGACCAATATCCTTGATGAACATTGATGCAAAAATCCTCAATAAAATACTGGCAAACCGAATCCAGCAACACATCAAAAAGCTTATCCACCATGATCAAGTGGGCTTCATCCCTGGGATGCAAGGCTGGTTCAATATACGCAAATCAATAAATGTAATCCAGCATATAAACAGAACCAAAGACAAAAACCACATGATTATCTCAATAGATGCAGAAAAGGCCTTTGACAAAATTCAACAACCCTTCATGCTAAAAACTCTCAATAAATTAGGTATCAATGGGGTGTATCTCAAAATAATAAGAGCTATCTATGACAAACCCACAGCCAATATCATACTGAATGGACAAAAACTGGAAGCATTCCCTTTGAAAACTGGCACAAGACAGGGATGCCCTCTCTCACCACTCCTATTCAACATAGTGTTGGAAGTTCTGGCCAGGGCAATTAGGCAGGAGAAGGAAATAAAGGGTATTCAATTAGGGAAAGAGGAAGTCAAATTGTCCCTGTTTGCGGATGACATGATTATATATCTAGAAAACCCCATTGTCTCAGCCCAAAATCTCCTTAAGCTGATAAGCAACTTCAGCAAAGTCTCAGGATACAAAATCAATGTACAAAAACCACAAGCATTCTTATACACCAATAACAGACCAACAGAGAGCCAAATCATGAGTGAACTCCCATTCACAATTGCCTCAAAGAGAATAAAATACCTAGGAATCCAACTTACAAGGGACGTGAAGGACCTCTTCAAGGAAAACTACAAACCACTGCTCAGTGAAATAAAAGAGGATACAAAGAAATGGAAGAACATTCCATGCTCATGGGTAGGAAGAATCAATATTGTGAAAATGGCCATACTGCCCAAGATAATTTATAGATTCAATGCCATCCCCATCAAGCTACCAATGACTTTCTTCACAGAATTGGGAAAAACTACTTTAAAGTTCATATGGAACCAAAAAAGAGCCCGCATCACTAAGTCGATCCTAAGCCAAAAGAACAAAGCTGGAGGCATCATGCTACCTGACTTCAAACTATACTACAAGGCTGCAGTAACCAAAACAGCATGGTACTGGTACCAAAACAGAGATATAGATCAATGGAACAGAACAGAGCCCTCAGAAATAATGCCACATATCTACAACTATCTGATCTTTGACAAACCTGAGAAAAACAAACAATGGCAAAAGGATTCCCTATTTAATAAATGGTGCTGGGAAAACTGGCTAGCCATATGTAGAAAGCTGAAACTGGATCCCTTCCTTACAGCTTATACAAAAATTAATTCAAGATGGATTAAAGACTTAAATGTTACAACTAAAACCATAAAAACCCTAGAAGAAAACCTAGGCATTACCATTCAGGACATAGGCATGGGCAAGGACTTCATGTCTAAAACACCAAAAGCAATGGCAACAAAAGCCAAAATTGACAAATGGGATCTAATTAAACTAAAGAGCTTCTGCACAGCAAAAGAAACTACCATCAGAGTGAACAAGCAACCTACAAAATGGGAGAAAATTTTCGCAACCTACTCATGTGACAAAGGGCTAATATCCAGAATCTACAATGAACTCAAACAAATTTACAAGAAAAAAACAAACAACCCCATCAAAAAGTGGGCAAAGGACATGAACAGACACTTCTCAAAAGAAGACATTTATGCAGCCAAAAAACACACAAAAAAATGCTCACCATCACTGGCCATCAGAGAAATGCAAATCAAAACCACAATGAGATACCATCTCACACCAGTTAGAATGGCAATCATTAAAATTCAGGAAACAACAGGTGCTGGAGAGGATGTGGAGAAATAGGAACACTTTTACACTGTTGGTGGGACTGTTAACTAGTTCAACCACTGTGGAAGTCAGTGTGGCGATTCCTCAGGGATCTAGAACTAGAAATACCATTTGACCCAGCCATCCCATTACTCGGTATATACCCAAAGGACTATAAATCGTGCTGCTATAAAGACACATGCACATGTATGTTTACTGTGGCTCTCTTCACAATAGCAAAGACTTGGAACCAACCCAAATGTCCAACAATAATAGACTGGATTAAGAAAATGTGGCACATATACACCATGGAATACTATGCAGCCATAAAAAATGATGAGTTCATGTCCTTTGTAGGGACATGGATGAAACTGGAAATCATCATTCTCTGTAAACTATCGCAAGAACAAGAAACCAAACACCGCATATTCTCACTCATAGGTGGTAATTGAACAATGAGAACACATGGACACAGGAAGGGGAACATCATACTCTGGGGACTGTTGTGGGGTGGGGGGAGGGGGGAGGGATAGCATTAGGAGATATGCCTAATGCTAAATGACGAGTTAATGGGTGCAGCACACCAGCATGGCACATGTATACATATGTAACTAACCTGCACATTGTGCACATGTACCCTAAAACTTAAAGTATAATAATAATAAAATAAAATAAAATAAAAAAACCCTCAACAAACTAGGCATCAAAGGGACATACCTCAAAATACTAACAACCATCTAACAAACTCACAGCAAACATTATACTGAACAGGCAAAAGCTGGAAACATTCTCTGAGAACTGGAACAAGACAAGCTCACACTCACCACTCCTATTCAACACAGTACTGGAAGTCCTAGCCAGAGTAATCAGGGAAGAGAAAGAAATAAAAGGCATCCAAATAGGAACAGAGGAAGTCAAAATATCTCTTCACAGATGGTAGGATAGTATACCTAGATAACCCCATAGTCTCATCTCCTAGATCTGATAAACAACTTCAGCAAAGCTTCAGGATACAAAATCAATGTACAAAAATCAGTAGCATTTCTATATAGCAATAATCTCAATAGAACTGAAAAGAGAAATAAATAACAAAGCAATAATAATAGGGGACTTTAGTACCTTGTTTTCAACAAAGAGTAGAATATCTAAATATAAAATCAATAAGGAAACTGAAGATTTGAACAACACTGTAGACAAATAGACCCAGTAAACATATGCGCAAATCCAATAGCAGCAGAATACACATTTTTCTGAAGTGCACACGGAAGATTCTCTAAGATAGATCATACATTAGGCTACAAAACCAGTCTTAGCAAATTTAAGAAGACTGAAATTATAATAAATATCTGTTCCTACCACAAAGGTATGAAACTAGAAATGTGAAAATTAAGCAACACTTTCCTAAACAACCAAGGGTCAAAGGAGAAACCAAAAAAATATGTTGAGACAAATGAAGATGGAAACACAACATACCAAAACTTAGGAGATGCACCAAAAGCAGTTCTAAGGAGAAAGTTAAAAAATAAAAAATAAACCTCTACATTAAGAAAAATGATGGAATTGACCTCAGCAACATGGTGGAATAGGAGGCTCCTGACTAGCCCTCCTCCCGTGGATGCACCAAATAAACATTTAGAGATGGATAAATTCTCTCTGAGAAAAAGTCAGAAACTAGTTGCGAGATACCTGCACAATGGGCAACTGAGAAAATGTCCACATTGAAACAGGTAGGAAAAGTGGAGACACACTTACACACCACCCACTCCTGAGCACAAAGCCTTAAAGTGTAAAGGAAGGTCCAACTCCCAGCTTCTTCCTGAACAGTGAAGGGTTTGTGCATATAGTGCCCCAACATTTGAGGTTGCTACTTGAGGGTTTGGCTCTTGTATTACCTAGCTCAGGGAGCGGCAGGGACTTAGCACTCAAGAGTTTCCCTGGAGCAACTGGGCGTGGTGGTTCATGCCTGTAATCCCAGCACTTTGCGGGGCTGAGGTGGGTGGATCACCTGAGGTTGGGAGTTCAAGACCAGCCTGGCCAACATGGTGAAACTCCATCTCTACTAAAAATATAAAAATTAGCCGGGCGTGGTGGCTCATACCTGTAGCCCCAGCTACTCAGGAGGCTGAGGCACGAGAATCGCTTGAACCCGGAGACAGAGGTTGCAGTGAGCAGAGATCACACCACTGCACTCCAGTCTGGGTGACAGAGGGAGACTCCATCTCAAACCAAAAAAAAAAAGAAAAAAAAAAGACTTTCCCTGGAGCACTGAAACAAAGAGGCACTTTAAGTAGACACATGAATGACTCTGGTAACCATGGCCCCCCAGGATCAGTCCAGCTTTCAGCTTCTCTCTGCAAGAGGTTTGTCCAAAACACGTTTTCATCTGCTGCCTAAGTTTCTGGATTATACCTTGCCTGCATGTTGGAGACTATGGGACAGATTAAGAACAGACCTCAAGACCGAACAAGATGGAGGACTCTTTCCAATCCTTCTCTCCTGGCTCCCTCCAGCCATAAAACCAGGTTTGCAGATTTTCCCTGGAAAGAGTTTGCGCAAACTCTGCAGCTTTTGCTCAGGGGTCTGGTTCCTAAATCACTTCACTTGGGGGTGGCAGGGACTTGGCATTCATGAGTTCTCCTGGAACAACGAGAATAAAAAGGTCATTATAAATGGGCACATAAAAACTTCCAGTGACAGTAGTCCTTGGAATAAGTTCAGCTTCCTGTTTTTCCCTGGAAGGAGTTCGTCTGCACTTTTCTAAATGCCTCCTGAAGGTCTTGATTCTAACTAGCCTGCAGATCTGGAACTGACAAGGCAGATAAACAATAGACCTCCCCAAGCCTGGACACTTCCTCAGCCTTCTCTACCAGCTTACTACAGCCGAAAATTCAGATCTTCAGATCCTCCATGGAAGGAGATTGTGAGACCTCTGCAAACCTTTACAGGAAGGTCATTATATTATAATAAAAGGGTCAATTCAACAGGAAGTTATAAAAATCATTAATATATGTGCACCACACATCAGAGCACCTAATTATATAAAGCAAATATTGACAGATATGAAAAGGTAAATTGACAGCAATATGATAATCGTAGGAGACTGACTTCAATATCCCACTTTGGATACAATAGTAGGTAGAAAATCTAGACAAAAAATTAATAAAGAAACAGGAAGCATGAATAACACTATACACCAAATAAACTTAACAGACATATACAAAATTTTCACCCAACAGCAGAAGAATACACATTCTTCTCAAGCACACATGCAACATTCTCCAGGATAGATCACGTGTTAGGTCACAAATAATGTCTTAACAGACTTCCCCTTTTCCTATTTGTCCTGAGAATACTCTCTGGTGGTGCTTGCGGCTGCAGTGTTTACCCAGAGATAACTTTGCCACAAAATATCTTGCTTTTATTATTATTTTCTCATCGCTGTAGTATATCAACTTTGGAAACAAAAGATATCATTCTATTTATGGCATTCTGTTTTTAGTAGTGGTATTTCCATTTACAAAATATAGTAATTCTCGATCACTGAAAATGTCAAATCCTAGAAACCGTAGCATTCCTATGTGGATGTTAACATCATTCTTGAACAGTTGTTGATCAAAGATTCATTTGATGTATCCTATTTTTCTAAAATAGATTATTCTGATGATTCAGATGATTCTGATGTTAGTTCTGTTTAGAAATAACTCCAAGAATAGTTTTTATATTTTATTTTGACATTGAAAATCAGTCAGATTTGCTTCAGTCTCAAAGAGCATGTTTATGTAAAATTAAATGAGCGCTGGAAGTGACCTGCACTTTTTTTTTTCTAAATGGGAAAAGGGTTAAGAGGATTGAAATTATATCAAATGTCTTAGTCTGTTTCATGCTACTATAACAGAATGCCTGAGACTGGGTAATTTATAAAGAACAGAAATTTATTTTCTCACAGTCTGGATCTGGGAAGTCCAAGATAAAGGCACCAGTATATGGTAAGGGTGTTCTTTCCATGCTATTCCATGGTGAAAGGCAGAAAGAAAAGAGACTACACACATGGGCCAGGCATGGTGGCTCATACCTGTAATCTCAGCACTTTCGGAGGCCAAGATGGGTGGATCCCTTGAGTTCAGGTGTTTGAGGCCAGCCTGGGCAACATGGGGAAACCCTGTCTCTTCAAAAAATATAAAAATTAGCCAGGCATGGTGGCACCCACCTGTAGTCTCAGCTACTTGGGGGGCTGAGACAGGAGGATCACTTGAGTCCAGGAGGTTGAAGGTGCAGTAGCCAAGATCACACCACTGCACTTCAACCTGGGTGACAGAGCAAGACCTTGTCTCAAAAAATAAATAAATAAAATAAAATAAATTAAAAAAAGAGTACACACAGTCATGTGTGAGAGAGACAGAGAGAAAAAGAGAGAAAAAGGAGGACTGAATTCATCCTCACATAAGGAACTCGTTTCCATGCTAACAGCTTTAATCCATTCATGACAGTGGAGTCCTCATGACCTAATTACCTTTCGTTAGGCCCCACCTCCCAACACTGTTGCATTGGGGATTAAGTTTCTAACACATGCTTCTTGAGGGACACATTCAAACCGTAGCACCAAGTACTTTTCTGACCAAAATGGTATAAAACTGGAAATCAATAATAGCAAGAAATAAGATAATTCACAAATATGTGGAGACTAAGTAACACGTGCTTAAACAACTACTGATTCAGAGCGGAAATAAAAGGGAATTGAAATATCTAGTGGTGAACAAAAGTGAAAACATACATATCAAAACTCAAAGTATGCCATGAAAGCAGTGATAAGAGGGAAGTTTATGGAGATAAATGCCTACATTTAAAAAGAGAAAGATATCAAAATGACAACGTAACATTACACCCCAAAGAACTAAAAAAAAAATTAGCAGAAGGAAATGACAAAGATCAAAACAGAAACAAACCAAATAGAGAATGGAAAAGCTATAGAAAAATGAACAAAACTGGGTTGTTTTTTAAAAAACTAAAATCAACAAACACTTACCAAGACTAATAAAGAAAAAATAGACAAGACATAAATAAATAAAATCAGAAATGAAAGTGGAGACATTATCTCCACTAGTAATGTATCAGATATAAAAAGAATCATAAGGGACTATTATAAACATCTGTATACCAACCAATTGGATAGCTTAGGGAAAATATAAAAATTCCAGTACACATTCAACATGGTACTGGAAGTCCTAGTTAGAGTAATCAAACAAGAGAAAAAAATTAAAGGCATTCAAATTGGAAAAGAAGTCAAATTATCCCCATTCTTTGATTATATAACCTTATATCTAGAAAAACCTGAAGACTCCACCAAAGAAACTCTTAGATTTGATAAATGAATTCAGTAGTTTCAGAATACAAAATCAATATACAAAAATCAGCAGCATTTCTATACACCAATAACGATCAAGCTGATAATCAAATCAAGAAGGCAATCCCATTTCCAATAGGTACAAAAAATAATAAAATACTAGGAACATACATAACTGAGGAGGTGAAAGATCTCTAGAAGGAAAACTACAAAACACTGATGACAGCAATTGTAGCTGACATAAACAAATGGAAAAAATCCCATGCTTGTGAATTAGAAAAATTTATAGAGGCAAAATGACCAAACTGCCCAAAGCGACCTACAGACTCAATGCAATTCCTATCAAACTACCAATGTCATTTTTCACAGAATTAGAAGAAACAATACTAAAACTCATATGAAACCAAAAAGAGTCAAAGTAATCAAAGCAATCCTAAGCAAAAAGAACAAAGCTGGGCACATCACATTGCCTGACTTCAAATTATACCATAAGGCTAAGGTAACCAAAACAGCATGGTACTGGTATGAAAATAAACACACAGATCAATGGAACAGAATAGAGAGCTCAGAAATAAAACCACATGTTATAACCAACTGATCTTTGACAAAGTTGGCAAGAAAATACACTGAGGAAAGGACACCCTATTCAATAAATGGTGCTGGGAAAATAGATTGCCATATACACAAAAATGAAACTGGACCCCTACTTATCTATCTATCTATCAATCACTATATGCAAAAATCAACTCAAGATGGATTAAAGACTTAATGTAAGAATTAAAACTATTCACTCAGTGCTCAATGGCGCCCAGGCTGGAGTGCAGTGGTGTGATCTCAGCTCGCTACAACCTCCACCTCCCAGCCGCCTGCCTTGGCCTCCCAAAGTGCCGAGATTGCAGCCTCTGCCCGGCCGCCACCCCGTCTGGGAAGTGAGGAGCGTCTCTGCCTGGCTGCCCATCGTCTGGGATGTGAGGAGCCCCTCTGCCTGGCTGCCCAGTCTGGAAAGTGAGGAGCGTCTCTGCCCGGCCGCCATCCCATCTGGGAAGTGAGGAGCGCCTCTTCCCGGCCGCCATCCCATCTAGGAAGTGAGGAGCGTCTCTGCCCGGCCGCCCATCGTCTGGGATGTGGGGAGCGCCTCTGCCCCGCCGCCCCATCTGGGATGTGAGGAGCGCCTCTGCCCGGCCGCCACCCTGTCTGGGAGGTGAGGAGCGTCTCTGCCCGGCCGCCCCGTCTGAGAAGTGAGGAGACCCTCCGCCCGGCAGCCGCCCCGTATGAGAAGTGAGGAGCCTCTCCGCCCGGCAGCCACCCCACCTGGGAAGTGAGGAGCATCTCCGCCCGGCAGCCACCCCGTCTGGGAGGGAGGTGGGGGGGTCAGCCCCCCACCCGGCCAGCCGCCCCGTCTGGGAGGGAGGTGGGGGGGTCAGCCCCCCGCCCGGCCAGCTGCCCCATCCGGGAGGTGAGGGGCGCCTCTGCCCGGCCGCCCCTACTGGGAAGTGAGGAGCCCCTCTGCCCGGCCAGCCACCCCGTCCGGCCAGCCACCCCGTCCGGGAGGTGAGGGGCGCCTCTGCCCGGCCGCCCCTGCTGGGAGGTGAGGAGCCCCTCTGCCCGGCCACCACCCCGTCTGGGAGGTGTGCCCAACAGCTCATTGAGAGCGGGCCAGGATGACAATGGCGGCTTTGTGGAATGGAGGGGAGGGGGGGGGGGAAGGTGGGGAAAAGATTGAGGAATCGGATGGTTGCCGTGTCTGTGTAGAGGGAGGTGGACATGGGAGACTTTTCATTTTGTTCTGTACTAAGAAAAATTCTTCTGCCTTGGGATCCTGTTGATCTGTGACCTTACCCCCGACCCTGTGCTCTATGAAACATGTGCTGTGTCCACTCAGAGTTAAAAGGATTAAGGGCGGTGCAAGATGTGCTTTGTTAAACAGATGCTTGAAGGCAGCATGCTCATTAAGAGTCATCACCACTCCCTAATCTCAAGTACCCAGGGACACAAACGCTGCGGAAGGCTGCAGGGTCCTCTGCCTAGGAAAACCAGAGACCTTTGTTCACTTGTTTATCTGCTGACCTTCCCTCCACTATTGTCCTTTGACCCTGCCAAATCCCCCTCTGTGAGAAACACCCAAGAATGATCAATAAAAAAAAAATAAAAAACAAAGAATTAAAACTATAAAAATACTAGAAGAAAAACTGGGGAAAATTCTTCCAGACATTGATCTAAGCAAAGAATTCATGACTAACAGCTCAAAAGCACAGGCAAGGCTGGGTGTGGTGGCTCACAACTGTAATCCCAGCACTTTGGGAGGCTGAGGTGGGTGGATCACCTGAGGTCAGGAGTTCAAGACTAGCCTGGCCAACATGGCGAAACCCAGTCTCTACTAAAAATACAAAAATTAGCTGGGCATGGTGGCACTTGCCTGTAATCCCAGCTACGTGGGAGGGAATTGCTTGAACCTGGGAGGTGGAGGTTCCAGTGAGCCAAGATCATGCAGCTGCACTCCAGCCTCGGCGACAGAGTGAAACTCTGTCAAACAAACAAACAAACAAACAAACAAACAAAAAAAACCACACACAAAAAACCATAAGTAACAAAAAGAAAAACACACAAACTGAACTTAATTAAACTAAAAGCTTCTGCACTGCAAAATTATCAACAGAGTGAAGAGACAACTTGAATAATGGGAGGAAATACTTATGTTTCAGGGGACTAATATCCAGAATTTACAAGGAACTCAAACAATCCAACAAAAAAATAATAAATAGTCCTGTTTAAAAGTGGAAAAAGGCTGGGCATGGTGGCTCATGCCTGTAATCCTAGCACTTTGGGAGCCTGGGGCGGGTGGATCACCTGAGGTCAGGAGTTTGAGACCAGCCTGAACAACATGGAGAAACCCCGTCTCTATGAAAAATGCAAAAATTAGCCAGGCGTAGTGGCGCATGCCTATAATCCCAGCTACTCAGGAGGCTGAGGCAGGAGAATCGCCTGAATCTGGGAGGTGGTTGCAGTGAGCCAAGATTATGCCAATGTACTCCAGGCTGGGCAACAAGAGCAAAACTCTATCTCGGGGAAAAAAAAAAAGTGGAAAAAGGACATGAATAGACATTTTTCAAAAGAAGATATTCAGATGGCCAGCAGACATATGAAAAAATGCTTAACATTACTGATCATCAGAGAAATGCGAGTTAAAACCACAATGAGAAATCATCTTACACTAGCCAGAATAGCTATCATTAAAAAGACAAGCCGGGCATGGTGACTCAACGCCTGTAATCTCAGCACTTTCGGGGGCTGACGCAGGCAGATCACGAGGTCCGGAGATCGAGACCATCCTGGCTAACACGGTGAAACCCCGTCTCTAATAAAAATAAAAAAAATTAGCCAGGCATGGTGGCACGCACCTGTAGTCCCAACTACTCAGGAGGCTGAGGCAGAAGAATTGCTTGAACCTGGAAGGTGGAGGTTGCAGTGAGCTGAGATTGTGCCACTGCACTCCAGCCTGGGTGACAGAGTGAGACTCCATCTCAAAAAAAACAAAAAAAAAAAGACAAAAAATAACAGCTGTTGGTGAGGATATAGAGAAAAAAGAACCCTTACACACCGTTAGTGGGAATGTAAATTAGTACAACCTCTGTGGAAAACAGTATGGAGATTTCTCAAAGAACTAAAAATAGAACTACAATTCAATCCAGCAATCCCACTACCTCGTATCTACGTAAAAGAAAATAAATTGTTATATCAAAAAGATACCTGCCCTTATATGTTTATTGCAGCACTATTCACAATAGCAAAGATATGGAATCAACCTAAGTGGCCATCAATAGATGACTGGATAAAGAAAATGTCACACATACACACACCATGGAATACTACTCGTGGAAGACAAAAAATTAATAAAGAAATGGGAAACTTGAATAACACTATACACCAAATAAACTTAACAGACATATACAAAACTTTTCACCCAACAGCAGAAGAATATATATTCTTCTTAAGCATACATGCCACATTCTGCAGCACAGTCTGGCAAGAGACACCTCCACCAGGTGGGACAGGGAAGTGAACACTGGACCCTCCCTTGGACCCCAGCACCAGCCCTTTACCCGACCCCAGTGAAACCCAGCACCAAGAAGGCCCCCATGACCCCAAAGTCCAGGCTGGCATCAGCAGACTGAGCTGCCAGGTCCACCAAGGCACTGGGTTGGATTCTGCATCCTCAAGCTCCAGGCCTTCCTGGAAGGCTTGGTCTCCAGGCCAGCCCCACCACCAGGCCAGCCCCAGTGGCCATGGGCCTCAGGCCTGCCCTAGCACAGGCCAACCTCTACAAACCCAGGCTCTCTGCCTCTCCTCACATTCTCAGGCTCCAGGCTAGCCTCACAGACTGTCTCTGGGCCTTCCCCAGTATCAGGCCAGCCCCAATTGACCCAGACTTTGAGCCACTCCCAGCACTAGGCTTCAATCTGCCCCAGCACCAGGCTGGCTCCACAGCCCTACATCATCAGGCCAGTACCCATGGACCAGCCTCCCGGACTACTCCAGGGTCCAGCCAAGCCCAGAGCCAGGTTCACCCCTTCAGCCCCAGGCTTCAGCCTGCCCCAGCCCTAAGTTGGCACCCTGTCATCACGCACCAACCTGGCATCCATGGACACAGGCTCCAGGACTGCCTCCATGGCCCCATGACCCAGGCCACCCCTCGAAGACCTAGCCTCCAGGCCAGCACTGCATACCCAGCTTCCAGACTATCCCCTATGGACCAGGCTCCAGGCCAGTATCCACAATCCCAGGCTCCAGACACACCCCTGCAAACCCAGGCTCTATGCCTGCCCCAGCACCAGGCTAGCCTTAGGCTTCAGTCTAGTCCCACGAACTTCAGACTCCAGTGAACCCAGGATCCATGCTCACCCAAGTGAACTCCAGTTCCAGGTCAGTCACTGCAACCTGAGGCTCCAGGACTACCCCTGCAGACACAGGCTCCGGCTATCCCTGGTAGACCCAGGCCCCAGGACCCTGCAGACCTAGGGCCACCCCAGCACTAGACCAGCTCCTTTGTATTCAGGCTCCAGTCCTATCCCAGTTAATCCAGTTTCCAGATGGCTTCACTGAAGAATTCTACCAACATTTTAAAAACTAAACCTTCTCAAACTCTTCAAATAAATTAAAGAAGAAGGAATACTTTCAAATTCGTTTTATGAGGCTAGCATTACCCTGATGCCAAAGCCAGACAAGGATACTACAAGAAAAGAAAATTACAGGCCAATATCTCTGATGAACATAAATGCAAAAATCCTCAGCAAAATACTAGCAAACAAAATTCAACAGCACATTAAAAAGATTATTCACCATGATCACATGGAATTTGTCACAGAGATGCAAGGATGATTCAACACACACAAATCTATAAATGTAATACACACTACAGTAACAGAATGAAGGACAAAAACCATATGATCATCTCCATAGATGCATAAAAAGCATTTAACAAGGTTTAACATCCTTTATGATAAAAGCTCTCAACAAATTAGGTATAGAAGCAATGTACCTCAACACAATAAAAGTCATATATGACAAACCCATAGCTAATATCATACTTAATGGTGAAAAGTTAAAAGCTTTCCTTCTAGAAGCAGGAATGAAGAAAGAATGCTTACTCTTGCCACTTCCATTCAACATAGCACTGGAAGTTCTGGCCGGAGCAGTTAAGCAAGAGAAAGAGATAAACGGCATCCAAGTTAGAAAGGTAGAAGTGAAATTGTTGCTATTTGCAGATGACATGCTATTATACATAGAAAACCCTAAAGTCTCTACCAAAAAAACTGTTAGCTTTTTGAGATATATAATACCTTATTGTTGGCATCATACATCCTGTATGTTTCTACTACAAATAAATGATAAATGTGTGAGGCATGCTAGTTCATTTGATTTTATGAATAACACTGCATTCTACCCCGTAAGTAAGTACATTCATTATGTGTCCATTTAAGAAAGAATTTCAAGAAATCTGTCAGAACTAACAGGTAAATTCAGTAAAGCAGCAGGATACAAAATAAACATACAACAATCAGTAAAGTTCCACATTAACAATGAACTATCTCAGGGAAAAAAATCAGGAAAACTATCCCATTTATGATACTTAGCATTAAAAAAAATACTTAGAAACAAATATTACCCAGGAAGTGAAAGACTCATACATTGAAAACCATAAAACACTGATGAAAGAAATTAAAGAAGACACAAATAAATGGAAAGATATCCCATATTCATCATGGGTTGGAAGAATTAATATTGTTAAAATGTCTATGCCACCCAAAATGATCCACAGGCTCTATGCAATCCTTATCAAAACTCCAGTGACATGTTTTTTCACAGAAACAGAAAAAGCAATTCTAAATTTATATGGAGCCACAAAAGACCCTAAATAGTCAAGGCTATCTTGGGCAAAAAGAATAAAGTTGGAGGCCTCACACTACCTATTTCAAAATATACTACAAATCCATACTAATCAAAACAGTATTTTATAGGTATAAAAACAGACACATAGACCAATGAAACATAATAGATAGCCCAGAAATAAACCCACCCATTTATGGTCAATTGATTTTCAACACAGTTGCCAATAACGCACAGTGGGGAAAGAACAGTTTCTACAACAAATGCTGTCAGGAAAACTAGATATTCACATGCAGAAGAATGAAATTTCACTTTTTTTCACACCATCTGCAAAAATAAATTCAAAGTCGATCAAAGAGTTAAATGTAAGAACTAAAACTGTAAAACCACTAGAAGAAAACAAAGTAGAAAAGCTCCATGACATTGGTCTAAGCAATGGTTTTTTGGATATGAGCCTAAAAGCCCAAGCAAGAAAAGCAAAAATCAACAAATGGGATTACACCAAACTGTTTCTACATAGCAATGGCAACAATCAAAAGAGTGAAGAGACAACCTACGGAATAGGAGAAAATATTTGACAACGATACATCTGATGAGGGGATAATATCTACAATATGTAAGGAACTCAACAGCAGGCAAACAAATGACCCAGTTAAAGAATGGGCAAAGTATGGCTGGGCACGGTGATCCCAGGTGGCTCAAACCT
Organism: Homo sapiens; assembly: GCF_000001405.40. Taxonomy (NCBI): domain Eukaryota; kingdom Metazoa; phylum Chordata; class Mammalia; order Primates; family Hominidae; genus Homo; species Homo sapiens. Next base: position 31,842,356 of record NC_000016.10, read on the forward strand.
GTAATCCCAGCACTTTGGGAGTCTGAGGTGGGCAGATCAGGAGTTCGATACCAGCCTGGCCAACATGGTGACACCCCGGCTCTACTAAAAATACAAAAATTAGCCAGGCATTGTGGTGGGCACCTATAGTCCCAGCTACTCAGAAGGCTGAGCAGGAGAAATGCTTGAACCTGGGAGGCGGAGGTTGCAGTGAGTCAAGATTTTGCCACTGTGCTCCAGCCTGGGTGGCAAAGCGAGACTCCATCTAAAAAAAAAAAAAAAAAAAAAGAATGGACAAAGTACGAGAAAAGGCATTTCTCAAAAGAATATATACAAGGGGAAAGGGAGATAGATAGGGAGAGATTTGTTAAAGGATAGAACATATAGTGTTCTATAGCACTGTACAACGACTAGGGATAACAATAATATGCTGTGTAGTGCGGGGGTCTGTCCTGCAGACCCTGACCCAACGAAGAATGAATAACATACATTGACACAGATATTATGCTTGTCAGTCCAGCTGAGGGTCCGGGCCACTTACAGACTCCAAGGAGAGTCTGTAAAGAGTTGCAGCCACGGCCTCGACTCGCTGGCCCTGCCCGCATTTATTCAGCACACATTAAATGACAAAGGTCTCAAGTAAACACCACTAGAAGGTAATTACTGATAACAACCCACTGAGTAGAGAGCAATCAGGCTACTGACCCACTGAGTAGAGGGCAATCATGCACTCCCGGATGGTCAAAGGTTAGTCAGGACCACCCAAGTAAACAAACTATTTAGATGGATTCCTCTACATTCTTATGTTAATTACCCTTGCTATAGCTCAAAGAGGATTAGGCTGCCTTCAGCCATAACTCTATCCCGAGGCTTTTGCAAAAACCTTCTGGCCTTCCAAGAAGGTTTGTATTTATTTTACAATTTCTCCCACCATCCTGACTGAACCCCTACAATGTAGTTTCAAATAGCTAGAAGGAGGATATTGAATGCTTCCAACACAAAGAGATGATAAATGTTCAAGATGATGGATATGCTAATGATCCTGATCTGATCACTATTCATTGTATATATTGAAACATCACTATATGCCCCATAAATATGTATGGTTATTATATGTCAACTTAAAAAAAAAGAAGATATATAAATGGCCAACAAGTATATGAAAAATGCTTAACATCACTAATCATCAGAGAAATGCAAATCAAAACCACAGTGAGACATCATCTCACACCTGTTGAATAGCTATTATCAAAAAGACAAAAGAAAACAATTGTTGACAAGAATGTGGAGAACAAAGAACCCTTGTACACTGTTAGTGGGAATGTAAACTGGTGTAGCCATTACAGAAAACAGTATGAAGTTTCCTCAGAAAAATAAAAATAGAACTATCATCTGAATCATCAATCCTACTACTGAGTATATATCCAAAGGAAATGAAGTCAGTATGCCAAAGAGATCTCTGCATTCCATGTTCATTGCAGCACTATTCACAATAGCCAATATATGGAATCAACCTAAGTGTCCATTGACAGAAGAATGGATAAAGGAAAAGTGGGCTGGGCATGGTGGCTCACGCCTGTAATCCCAGCACTTTGGGAGGCAGAGCCAGGCAGATCACCCGAGGTCAGGAGTTCAAGATCAGTCTGGCCAACATGGCAAAAACCCTGTCTCTACTAAAAATACAAAAATTAGCAGGGCATGGTGGTGCCACCTGTAGTCCCAGCTACTCGGGAGGCTGAGGCAGGAGAAACACTTGAGCCTGGGAGGCGGAGGTTGCAGTGAGCTGAGATCGAGCCACTGCACTCCAGCCTGGCTGACAGAGCAAGACTCCATCTCAAAAAAAAAAAAAAAAGGGGTATGTATTAGTATATATACATGGTGGAATACTATTCAGCCTTTAAAAAGAAGGAAATCCTGTCATTTGCTACAATGTGGATGAACCTGGAAGACATGTTAAGTGAAATAAGCCCAGCTCAGAAAGAAACATTACATGATACTCATATGTGGAAGCTAAAATGTTAAACTCATAGAAGCAGAGAATAGAATGATGGTTACCAAGCAGTAAGTGGTAAGAAGATTGGGGAAATGTTGGTCAAATGATATAAAATTCTAGTTAGAATGGAGGAATAAGTTCAAGAAATCTAATATACATCATGGTGACTACAGATAACAACAATGTACTGGACTGCGTTCTTGAAAATTGCTGAGAGTAGATTTTAAGTATTCTTACACCAAAAGAAAAATGATATGTGAGGTACTGCGTATGTTAAGTAGCTTGATTTAACCACACCACAAAATATACATATTTCAAATACTATGTTGTACATTATAACTATATAAAAGTTCCTGACAATCATAAAAAATAAATTACCTAATTTTATTTTATTACTTTTTTTTATTAGAGATGGGGGTTTCACTGTGTCACCCAGGCTGGTGAGCAGTAGTGTGACTGTGGCTCACCACAGCCACTAATTCCTGGGCTCAAGTAATCCGCCTACCTCTACCTCCCGGAGTAGCTGGGACTGCAGGGGAACACCACTGCCCTGGCTAATTTTTTTTTTTTTTTTTTAAACAGAATCTTGCTCTGTTGCCAGGCTGGAGTGCAGTGGTGCGATCTTGGCTCACTGCAACCTCTGCCTCCTGGGTTCAAGGGATTCTCCTGCCACCATGCCCAGCTAATTTTTTTTTTTGTATTTTTAGTAGAGATGGGGTTTCACCATGTTGGCCAGGATGGTCTCAATCTCCTGACCTCGTGATCCTCCCGCTTCAGTCTCCCAAAGTGCTGGGATTACAGGCACGAGCCACCCAATTTTTGTATTTTTTGTAGAGATGGGGTTTCTCTGTGTTGCCCAGGCTGATCTCTTAGAACTCCTGGACTCTAGACCAGCATGGTGGTGCACACCTGAAGTCCCAGCTACTTGGGAGGCTGAGACAGGAGAATCACTTGAGCCTGGGAGGCAGGGGTTGCAGTGAGCTGAGATTACACCACTGCACTCCAGCCTGGGCAACAGAGCAAGACTCCATCTAAAAAGAAAAAAATTGCTGGGTTCAAGTGATCCTCCCACCTCCGCCTCCCAAGTCGCTGGGACCACAGGTTTGCACTACCACAGGTGGATAATTTTTGTATTTTTTGTAGAGACAGGGTTTCCCTATGTTGCCCAGGCTGGTCGCTTAAGACTCCTGGACTCAAGTGATCCTCCCGCCTCAGCCTCCCAGTGTACTGGAATTACAGGCATGAGCCACTGCATTATTAATATATAAATACATCAAACAAATGTATCGGGGATTCCAGTGGATTCTAAATGGAGTTGGACAGTTGGATGTGCCCGGAATACTGGTAGGCATGGGCCGCCCATTTGCATTTGTAGGAGAACCGAAAAATATCCAGAGGGCAAAACCCTTTAGGAGCTGCAAGAAGCAGGCTCTAGAGGAGAGTAAGGCAAGTGAGGCATCCAGGGCACATTTAAGGAGGCCCCACTCTCAGGAGCTGACCCTGCACTTTCATGAACCTGAGAGTGAGGGCTTTGTTAAAATTCCCACTGACTCCTCCTTTGTCTCACCAAGTCCCAGCCCTGGTAAGAAGCCAGACGTGTCCAGCTTGTTCCAGTGGTCGGAGCAGGGGTACAGAATTTTATCATAAGACCACGTTGTAGCTACTAACAGGAGTAAAAAGAAAGAATTTATACAATGATGTAGCAGGCATTTGTAATACAATGTGAGTATTTTGTTTTACAGATGAGGGGGTCTTGCTATGTTGCCCAGACTGGTCTTGAATGCCTGGCCTCAAGTGATCCTCTCACCTCAGCCTCCCAAAGTGCTGGGACTCAGGTGTGAGCAAATTGCTTGGTCTTGATGAGGGTGAGGGTCATGCTTAAAGTCCAGCTGAGAGTCATCGTGAGGATCAGAGTGGGGGTCAGTGTCAGAGTGAGGATGAGGAGGAATGTGAGACAAACATTCAGAGCCAGGGTCAGGGCGAGAGTCAGAGTCAGTTTCAGTGTCAGAGTTCATCTCAGGGTGAGAAAAACTTAGTTCCAGGGTTAGGCTGAGTGTCCAGTTCAGGCTCAGCATAAGTTTCAGATTCACAGTAGGTTCAAGGACATGGTGAAGGTATGGATAAGGGTCCTTGTAGAGTCAGGTGAGGTCAGGATCAGGGATACTGTAAGGGTCAAGTCAGGGTCAGTGGAAAGTAAGCAGCAGAGTCAGGGTCAGGCAAGGGTCAGATTTATGGTCATGATGAGGGTCGTGGTGACGTTAAGATTCCAGGCCAGGGGAGGGTCAAGTTGAGTGCCACCGCAAGGTTACCTTCAACGTTTGGGTCAGGATTAAGGGTGAGGCTAAAACTGAAGACCAAAGTGAGGGTCAGGGTCAAGTACAGAATCGGGGTCAGGGTAAGAACAAGATAGAGTGTGTAAGTGACAATCAGGATCAGAGTCAGGTGAGTGTCACAGTCTGACACAAGGTGAGAGTGAGAACAAGGTAAAGCTCAGGCGTGGAGGAGGGAGAGGTGTCAGAATGACAGCAAGGTCAGAGTCAAGGTGAGAGTGTATGCTTCAAGGTCAGGAGTCATGATTAAAGGCCAGGCACAGTGGCTCACACCTGTAGTCCTAGTGCTTTGGGAGGCTAAGGTGGGAGGCTTGCTGGAGGCCAGGAGTTCAAGACCAGCCTGGGCAACATAGAAACACAGCTGGCAACATCAGGGAAGGGAATTACCTTTCCTGGCTAAATAAGTTTCATGAAAATTATTTGTGAAATGTACAAATGGCAAGAGAATAATGTTAAGGTCCAGACACCTCTAAAAAACTGAAACGCATCTACTACTCTTTAGCAATTTAACTTAAGAGTATGGTGCATCTGGAAGTACAATACTCGCTGTGGACATTCATAATCTGAAGACATTTTATTCTTGGCTCAACTGAGGAAACACATGGGCATGAGAAATGTCACTGCAGAGGTAGGGGACAGAAACACACTGGAGGAATTTGATCCAAAATACTGTGCCAGAAATTTTTGGAAGCCTTAAAATCCTGGTTGGCAGTGGGTTTTTCTAACTACCAGAACTGAAAAGTTATGATTAAAATATAACACTTTCTTTTTCTAAAGACTTTAAGATCTTTTACCATTAAATCTCTGTGCCACACATTAATGAGAAGTTCACAATCATATGAATTGCACCAATTATTTTATTAGGAAGGAAATGGAGGGCATATCCTCTGTGCTCAGGAACTCTGATCAAGATTAATAAAGACCCATGCTCTCACACATCTTTCTCGTCTACCTGAAATGCAAGACACATTTTAAGGAAAACTCAAACTCCTCTAGTGAGCAGGGACAGAGAAGTTTTGTACTGATCAAGTTTTTTGAGGTTTTGATGCCCTTGTGAGCCACAGATAATTGACAATTTCTGTCATTATCATTTTATTCCTTTTGTTTTCAAGTGTCCTGATTGTGTCCTCTGTTTTCCATTTTAAAGACACATAGACACTAGAAGGCACTAACCTTATTGAATTTAGATAATGTTAACTTGTAAATTTCAACAGTTAACTTGAAACGAACTTGTCAGTTTTTGCAAATACATGTTTTACTGAGTTAACTATAATTGAAACCTTAAGGGAAAAAAGTAGGGATAGTGAATTTAGAGGATTCTTAAAATAATGTGTGAATGCTGTGTCATTCAAGTTTGCAAATCATTACTTTACAACATCCTTATCTAAATAGTCTTATATTATTGGAAATACACTAAGTACTTTCAACCAAAAAAACAGAGCATAATTAAAGAATTCTGAGTTAGTTCAGATTATTGTGCCTTAAAACATAAAACTTTCCATAAATGCATAAAAATAATTTATTGTTGTATTAATTTATTATGAGAAATAGTCAAGTAAAATTTCAATTCAAATATACTATAGAAAGTAAAAAGTTTTTTCTTCAAAGTTTCCCTTCTTGTTAAAGAATAAATCATAAGCATTAGAAATAACAGTTTCTTTTAAAGACTAACTTCCTTCAAGCCTCCTTACTTTGTGCTAATAACTCTTCGTTAAGCCCTATCCTATGTAGCTTTAGACATTCTCACAGGCACATAGTACATTCTATGTCTTCGTACCTTAACCAAGACATCTGTGCTGGACGTGCTCACTGGCATGTCCCAGCTCACAACCTATGCCCCTTCCTTAGTTGGGAACGTTATTAATTTTCTAAGTCCTTTTATAAGCAACTTCCTCTTTTCCTTTGTCTTTCCATTGCTTTTACCTATTTAGAAAAGTTTTAAGTTATTTGCCAATTGGGTTTTAGCTTAAATTGTGAGGTCTGGCTCCAGTCAATGAAGATAGGACACAGTAGCAGGGACAAGCTGCATAAAGGATAAAAATTGCTTCCCTCCTTTGTTCAGGTGTGCTCTTGCCATTGTTCCATCTGTGAGGAGCACCCTTTCTGCAGAAAGTAAAATTGCCTTGCTAAGAAAACTTTTTGTCTGAATGCTGATTTTTCCTTGCAGTACTGAGGAACAAGCATTCTGTTTCTAAATAAACATTTTACATGTAACAAAATGGTGGCCCATACATTCTCCTCTGGGGTCGGTCTCTAGTCCTCTCTCATGAGGAGGGGCCCCACTGCCTCATTGCGGTGGCCTTATGGGTAAGGAATCAAAACCCACCCAGCATGACAAATAAACCCAGACTCTCAGCAGTGCAGAAAGAAACCAGTTGGCAACCTGGAGTAAAGGATCCTTACATACCATGTAGACTGGGCGACCTTGTGCATGAGCCAAACAACGAAAACACTGGAGGAGCAGTTAAAGTATTTCCTTGGTGGTCAGAACTAAGGAAAAAAAGCCGTGGGGTGGTAAAGCATTCCTTGGTTAAAGCACACCAAGGTAAAAGAAATTGCAGGGGCGGTAAAGCATGCCTTAGTCAAGACAGAGGAAAGAAAAGCTGCGGGGCTGGGGGGCGGTGAAAAAATCCTTAGTTGGGTTGTCTTAGAGGTTAAAAAAAGGGGTGAAAAATCCCCATTGGGGGAGATTAAAGATCACACAAACCTCCGGTAGTAAACAAATATATTCAAAACTTCCCTTTCCCTTCTTCTTGGGGGAAGAAAAACGCTAAGCTCCACACCCACTGGCTGCTCCCTAGGGGAAGGGGAAAGAGAGGGGAAAATAGCAGCATGGGCAGCTGGCAGAGGCAGGGAAAGACCAGCAGACAGAGAAAGAGAAGGGCAGATACAAAAAGCAAAAATCTGTTGGCAAGTTCCAAAGTTTTCTAAAAGAGGTAAAAGGAAAAAGTCAGGGAATTCAGGAATGCAAAAAGAAAGAAGGCAAGGTCAGTACTTTAAAGGAGAAGGTAAAAATAAATGGTGTAAGGGCTGTGGATATAAAAGTAAGGAGGAAAAACAAGGGGACCCTCTGGCCCAGGGTTAATAACTCATGCAACTTATGGCAGGCATCTGCTGAGCCTCTAGGCTGACAGTGGCCCAGGGCACGGACTGCAGCCATGAAGATCCCACCCAACAAGTAAGTGTGAGAGAAAGAGGAAACAGGAGGTGACAGAGAGAAGGAGAAAACGCAAATGAAGGAGAGAGATAGAAGGAAAAAATAAGTAAAAAAAAAAAAAGACTGGAAAAAACAAAGATAAAAAAACACAAAAAATAAAACTAGGGAAAAAATAGTGTAAAAAAAGTCTAAAAGTTTATCTAAAAGTTAAGGCATGTCAAAAATTGTAAAAGTCCTAAAAAATTTTATAAAAGGGAATTTATGCAAAAAATTATATAATTTAAAAATAATTAAGCCTCCTAAATGTAAAACTATTAAAGAAGCAACTTGTGTGCAAGGTATATAAGGAAAGTAAAATATACTTTTAGAAAAAAATTATAAGAAAACATAAGAATGTGAATTTTTACCTACATTAACATTTTTTAAATAGATGCTAAAGAAAATTCAGAAGGAAAATAAATATTGCTAAACCAAAATTAAAAAAATGTTATCCAAACCCCTTATTAAAAAAATCTTGTTCCAACTGCATCAAAAAACCCACTGGGGCTCTCCAGCACAGGTTTAATACCAACAAGTTTCCACCTCCAGCGGCTCCTACAGAGGCTGCAGTGAGAGCCTGCGAGGGCGTGGGGGGGACAAACACTACAGGTGCAAGGGAGGGGGCCAAACAACTGTCAGACAGCACAGCCCAGCCCAGCCCAAGGCCAGGGGCTAGACAGTGGGGTCTCTGGCAGGAGCAAGGTCTGGGGGCAGTGCGGTAAGTCACAAGGACCCTCATCCCCACAAGGCCGCAATGCATGGTAGCAGTAAAGGCCGCAGGGAAGCCGGGACCTTAAGAGGGGCCAGGGCCACAGCATCCCCTAGGCTACATTGAACGGGAATGAAGCGGGAGGCGTCACCGTGGGGCTTCGGGCCCCAGGATATGCAAAGTTCTAACTTTCTGAGGGACCCCAAATTTTCCCTCAAAAACAACATAAGTAAAAATTAAAAAAGGAAATTTAAGTCAAAAACTACCTATAGGTTGCCTTACTTACATTCCACGGCTGATATCCGCACATTTAAAACAACAACAAAAAAATCAGTTTCTCAAAAATTACATACTTATTTTCCACTTTCCTTTTCCTCAAAACTAAAAGTCTTCTAGCACAGGTGCCACTCTTAAAATTTCCAGTAAACCAGCACCAGCCTGGAAACCATGTCCTTATCAAAGGATAAAAAGAAGAAAAACTCAAGCCAGCCTAAGAAAAACCCTACCTTGTGCTGCTAACCCACCAAGACTGCGGTTCCCACAGCAGAAGAGAATGAACACCACATACCCGAGTCAAAAAAGCGTCATCACCGTCAAAGTCATAGGCCGTTGTTCCAGGGTTAAGCCCTACCAAGTTAAAGCTATAAAAACGTAATCTATCTATCTTTTTTCTTTTCTTCCCTTTAACTACTTCCTATCTTATTAATATAACTAAATCTAACTCACCTCAAGTTACTACTTTTAATGCCTGTTTAGTTATCACTCCTCCCAGACACAAAAACAAGACCAAAGTCTCTACAGTAAAAATAAAAAACCTAAAGCAAACAATAACAATTAAAACAGGATATCAAAATGTAAATGGCTGGTTAAAATAAATTAAATATTTCATCTGCATCTAAATAAAAGTGACCGTTAAACACGTGTGCATGGTAGGCTAGAGGCCCAGGTTGTCCCCTTTCCACTCAAATAGTCCTCTAATCAACAAAACATGGACTACATGGTAGCTCCTTTTCAAAATCCTACAGCCTGAGATAATAAACTGTGTCAAACGCTCTCGCTACTATTTCCTAAAATGCAGTACCCTGCGGGTCAGCCCCCGAGGGCCATCTAGCCTCCATCTTCCAAGACCAATTTTACCTGGTGTCTCCAACAACAAGGGAAAAATTTAGTGTTCCTTGAAAACTTAATGCAGTGAAGTCAGGCACTTCCAAGAGCTGACCCATCAATCCCCCCTTATTCATCACCAAACAGGTATGTAATAATATTGTAGAAGACCTTTACTGAACACTCTGCCAAATAATTAAAGCAATATTTGTGCTCTAGTTCAATTGGCTATCCCTTTTACCGTGGCATTTCACCAACCAGAAAAACTTTTTCTTTTAAAAACTCAAGCAAAACAGCTAAACCAAAACATGTTAAAAAATTTTAAAGAAAAAAAGCTATAAAATCAAAAGGAAGGAATTGCAGAAAGTAAAAAGTTTCCTCTTCAAAGTTTCCATTCTTGTTACAGGATAAATAAGTGTTAGAAATAATAGTTTCTTTTAAAGACTAATTTCTTTCAAGCCTCCTTACTTTGTGCTAATAACTCTTTGTTTAAGCCCTATCCTATGTAGCTGTTAAACATGCTCACAGGCACATAGTACATTCTATGTCCTTGTGCCTTAACGGAAATACCTGTCCTGGATGTGCTCACAGGCATGTCCCAGCTCACAGCCTGTCACTTCCTTATTTAGGAATGTTATTACTTTTCTAAGTCCTTTCATAAACAACTTCCTCTTTTCATTTATCTTTCCATTGCTTTTACCTGTTTAAAAAATTTTAAGTTATTAGCCAATCAGGTTTTAATTTAAATTATGAAGTCTGTCTCCAGCCAATAAAAACAGGACACAAGAGCAGGGACAAGCTACATAAAAAATAAAAATTGCTTCCCTCCCTTGTTCAAATGTGCTCTTGCCATTGTTCCATCTGCAAGGAGCACCCTTTCTGCAGAAAGTAAAATTTCCTTGCTAAAAAAACCTTTTTGTCTAAATGCTAATTTTTCCTTACATGACCGAAAAACAAGCATTCTGTTTCTAAATAAACGTCTTACCTATAACATATACCATTACAAAATTACAAATATCCTTTCGAACATCTGTAAATTTATGTGCTCATGATATTAAAATTTATATTTTTATCTGAAAATAGTTATAATTCAGTGAGACACAAGAACAAAATTATGAGAGAGTTATCTACATCATTGAGAAAATCCTCCTGCCACTACCAACGTAAGTCGTGATCACTCACTTTTACTAAAGCTGAGAAACATCCATTTGCCCAGCGGAGTCCTGGAGTGAGTCTGTGTGTGTGGATGGTGGTCCCTGAGACTTGGTTATAAAGAAGGGATACTGTCAGCTCGTCTCCCTCCAGGCCCATAACTGTCATGTCACCTGTAGAAGCAGGACAGCCCTGGCCTCGAGATTATTGGAAAGGGGAGCAACAAAAGGAAAAACTGAACACATTTAATTCCTGGAAAAGATCAGTGTAGGACAGATGGGTTTCAAACTTTAACGTGTGCAAGCTTGTTTTCTTAGGTAATTTTGCCCAGGAGGGTTGTCTGGTCTCAGTTATTGCCAATAAAGTAGAAGCAATAACTATAGTTTCAAACTTTGTTTAATTTCTGTGTTGCTTTACCAAACATCCTTGCTAACTGAAGAAATTTCTGGGGGCCTTCACACATGGTCCCCAGTTGTCCCTACGTTTCAATATTACAGGTAGTCTATGTAAAACTTTTTTGGGAATGAAGAAAATGCCCCCTGCACCAGGCTTACATAGCGCTTACAGTGAAGTTGTTTCTACTTACAGGGATGTTTAACTACACAGTCAGCATGAGAGCATGTGGAATAAAATGATTAACACATTCTTAGCAACTGACAACTTTTATTTGCTTCTGAGACACCACCAACCACACCTATGTTATAACTAGTGCTAACTTTAACCTTGATCATGATTGCCACATTTGGAGTTACACTTTCTTAATCAAACATCATCTGATACTGAAGTGGTGACTTCTCATGCACTTAATCTATAGATTTTCCCCCAAGGCACCAGTTCTGAATATGTTTGAGTTCATGCTGGTGTACCTCTCATGTGCCATATCTGAGGCTCTAACAAATAAACTCTCCAGGCCGGGCACGGTGGCTCATGCCTGCAATCCCAGCCCTTTGGGAGGCCAAGGCAGGCGGATCACTTCAGGTCAGGAGTTTGAGACCAGCTGGCCAATACGGTGAAACCCCGTCTCTACTAAAAACACGGAAATTAGCCAGGCATCATGGCAGGCACCTGGAATCCCAGCTATTCAGGAAGCTGAGGCAGAAGAATCACTCAAACCCAGGAGGCAGAGGTTGCAGTGAGCTGAGATCGGGCCACTGCACTCTAGGCTGGGCAACAGAGCGAGATTCTGTCTCAAAAATTAAAATAAAATAAAATACAAAATAAACTTTCCATTCAGCTGCAGTCAGGACCACTTGATCCCCAGACTTCTACTGTCTTCAGTGACAATTCTCCCTGTCATCTTAAACCCAGCTGCCATCACTATGACGTTGGTGCTCAATCCAGTCAGTGTCCTTAGGTCTTGATTTATTTTCCTTCTCTGAAGCTTTTCAATTACTTCTTTATAAATTATTTTGTCTGATGCTCACAGAAAAAGCCTGCCTAATAAGAACCCTATACCCACAAAAACTAGCTATTAAAAATGAAGGTTAAATAAAAACATTTTATGTAAATAAAAACTGATACAATTTGTTGCTAGCCAACTGACCTTATGAAAAAATGGCAAAAGAAGTTTTTCAGGCTGAAAGCAAGTAAATCCAGACAATAATTTGAATGCATAAGAAAGACAAAGCACACACTAGCAAAACTAATTACATAATTATAAGACAGTGTAAGTGAATTTATTTATTTATTTATTTATTTGCACATGAATAAATTCTTTAGTGGCGATTTCTGAGATTTTGGTGCACCCATCTCCCAGGGGCCTAATAACAGCTCCAGAAGGCCTGCCATCACTGGTGCCCTAGCATGAGCTCCAGAGGTCTGGGACTTCCCCTGCCCTGCCCACAGCCTATGCTCATGTGCATCACTAGGAGGACTTGAGAACAGGCCCACCTCACCTGCCTCTCTCCCACCCTTAGTGGTCAAATATTCCACTTGTGGACCTGAGGACAGCATTGTACAGGTGGTAGCCTCTGGCATGAGTCCACCAGGGTCCTAAAAACAGGCCAAGAAAATGTGCAGCCAGCACTCAAGCATGCTGTCTAAAGGTCTAGGAATCTCCCATGCCATCCACCACTGCTGTCATCTGGGTACTCTTGGGGTCCTAAGGATGGGCCCACCCAGACAACCACCAGCATCCACACTCATGTGTCACCTAAGGCTCTAGGGACTGTCTGATTCAGCCCATTGCAGCCACCACAAACACTGTGAGTGCTGCCTGGAAGCCTGAAGTTGCCTCAACCCCACTACTCTCCTCATCCACACGGTACACACTGCTCAGAGGCCTGAGGACTTGCCCCATTTCCTAGCCCACTGCTGTTACTACAGACATCAGAGCAAGCCTCCTGAAGGCCTGAGAATCAACAGGCTTAGGCACACTAACACCAGTGCCCACATACACTACCCAGCAGCCCAAGGACAGACACCCTCAACCCTTTACTGCTGCCACTGTCACCATGGGGGCTGAAGGACTGGCCTATCTGGTGTTCCATTCCTACCAAAACCTCACCACAGCCTCAACTAGCAAACACAGCCTAAGCAAGGTTATACCTCATAATGAAGGAGAAATAAAGACGTTCCCAGACAAGCAAAAACTGAAGAAATTCATCACCACTAGACAAGCCCTGGAAGATTACCTAGACAGAAAATCAATAATGAAACATCAGATTTAAACTGTACTTTAGACCAGGGGTCCCCAACCGTCGGGTCACAGACCAATACCCACCCCTGGCTTGTTAGGAACCAGGAAGCTCAGCAGGAGGTGAGTGGCAGGTGAGCCAGTGAAGCTGAGCTCTACCTCCTGTCAGATCAGCAGCAGCATTAGATTGTCATAGGAGCTCAAACCCTATTGTGAACTGCACATGCCAGTGATCCAGGCTGTATGCTCCTTATGAGAATCTAATGATAAATGTAATGCACTTAAATTATCCTGAAATCATCCCCCTCCCCTAGTCCTAGGAAAAATTGTCTTCCACGAAACCAGTTCCTGGTGCCAAAAAGGTTAGGCACCGTTGCTTTAGACCAAAGGAACCTAACAGACATCTGCAGAACACTTGATCCAATGACTGCAAAACATACATTCTTCTCAGAAGCACATGGAACAGTCTTCAGGATAGACCCTCTGTTAGGCCAGAAAACGAGTCTTAACAAATGTTTAAAAATTGAAATCATATCAAGTATTTTCTCATACTACAGTGAAATAAAGCCAAAAATCAGTAGCAAAAGGAACTTTGAAAACTGTACAAATACATGAAAATTAAATGACATGCTCCAGAACAACCATTGGGTTAATACAGAAATCCAAACAAATATTTAAAAAATGAAGATGAAAACACAATATTTTGGAAACTATGAAATGCAGCAAAAGCAGTGTTGAGGGAAGTTTACAGCAGTAAATACCTACATCAAAAAAGTAGAAATATTTACAGTAAACAACCTAATGATACACCTCAAGAAACCAAAAAAGCAAGAACAAACTAAGCTCAACATAAGCATAAGGAATAATAAAAATCAGTCAAGGTGCAGTGGCTCATGCCTGTAGTCCAGCACTTTGGGAGACTGAGACAGCTGGATCACCTGAGGTCACGAGTTTGAGACCAGCCTGGCCAACGTGGTGAAACCTCTTCTCTACTAAAAAATACAAAAATTAGCCAGGTGTGGTGGAGTACACCTGTAATCCCAACTACTCAGGGGGCTGAGGCAGGAGAATTGCTTGAACCCAGGAGGCAGAGGCTGCAGTGAGCCGAGATGGCACCACTGCAGTCCAACCTGGGCAACAGAGTAAGACTCCGTCTTAAAACAAAACAAAACAAACAAACAAACAAAGAAATAATAAAAATCGGAGAAGTAAGCAAACTAGAAACTTAAAAAAATACAAAGGGCCAATGAAATAAAACTTTTTTTGAAAACATGAAACAACATTCATAAACCACTAGCTAGACAAAAAATAGAGAAAAGACCCAAATAAACAATGTCAGAAATGAAAAAGCAGACATTTCAACTGATACTGCAGAAAGAAGTATGAAAGATAATCAGAGACTCCTAAGAACAATTGCATGATAACAAACTGGAAAAATTAGAGAAAATATCTAAATTCCTGGACACATACAAACTATCACTATTGAATCAGGGAGAAATAGAAGACCCAAACAAACCAATAATGAGAAATGAGATTGATACAGTAATAAAATGTCTCTCTGCAAATAAAAGCTTGGGGCTTGATAACTTGACAGCTGAATTCTACCAAACTTATAAAGAAGAACTAATATCAATTTTTCTCAAAGTATTCAAAAAATAGAAGGGGGGGGAATTCTTTGTAACTCATTCTATGAAGCAAGCATTACCCTGATATGAAAACAATACAAGGATACAATGAAAACAGAAAGCTACAGTTTAATATGATGAATAAAGATGTTAAAATCTTCAACAAAATACTAGCAAACTGAATGCAACAGCACATCAAAAAGATAACATGCCACAATCAAGTAGGATTTATCCCAGGGATGGAAGGATGGATTTCCACACACAAACCCATAAACACAATACATCACATTAACAGAATGAAATACAAAAACCATACAATCATCTCAATAGATGCAGAAAGAGCATTTGACAAAATTTAACATCTTTTCATGATAGAAACGCTCAACAAACTAGGCCTACAGGAACATACCTCAACTTAATAAAGGCCATATATGACAAATCCACAGGTAACATTATACTAAATAAGGAAAAGCTTAAATCTTTTCTGCTAGGGACTAGAACTAAACAACGATGTTCATTTTCACTATTTCTATTCAACAAAGTACTGGAAGTCCTAGCCGAAGTAATCAGGCAAGAGAAAGAAATAAAAGGCATCTAAATAGGAAAAGTGAAAGTTTAATTGTTGCTTTGTGCAAATGACATGATCTTATATTTAGAAGAACATAAAGATGCCACCAAAAAACTATTAGATTTGATAAATATGATCAGCAAAGTTGCAGGACACAAAATCAACATACAGAAATCAGGAGCATTTCTACATAATAAGTAAGTGGCTGAAACAGAAGTCAAGGAAGCCATCTCATTTACAATAGCTACAAAATATTAAAATACCTAGTAATAAATTTAGCTGTGGTGGTGAAAGACTTCTACAAGGAGAACTAAAAAACACTGATGTAAGATACTGAAGAGTACATAAAAAAATGAAAGGACATTGCATGCCCATAGATTCCATGCCCATAATTTTTTTGTCTAGCTAGTGGTTTAGCCCATAGATCAGAAGAATTAATATTGTTAAAATGACCAAAGCAGTCTACAGATTCAATGCAATCACTATCAAAATGCCAACTTTTTCACACACAAAAGAAGTCTAAAATGTGTATGGAACCAACAAAGAGCCTGGAGTCAAAGCAATCCTGAGCAAAAGAACAAAGCTGAAGACATTGTACCACCTGACTTCAAAATATCATACAAGGTCAGAGCAACCCCAAAAGCATAGTGTTGGTATAAAAATAGACACAGAGACCAATAGAGCAGAATAGAGAATTCAGAAAAAAACCACATATTTACAAGTAACTGACTTTCAACAATGGCACTAAGAACATACGTTGGGAGAAGGATACCCTCTTCAATAAATGGTATTGAAAAAACTGGATAGCTATATGCATAAGCTATTCAATTCATTTGAAGCTAGACTTCTATCAGTATATATATATATATATATATATATATCAGTATATATATATACTGATAGAAGTCTAGCTTCAAATATATATATTTATATATATATATCTCAACTCAAAAAATATATATGATATATGATATATATATCATCTCAAAATAAAAGATTGAAACACAAACCCATAACTATAACACTACTAGAATAAAACATAAGAGAAACCCTCCTGAACATTGATCTAGCCAGATATTTTATGGCTAAGACCACAAAATCACAAGCAACAAACAAATACTAGAAAATGGGACCATATTGAACTACAGAGCTTCTGCACAGCAAAGGAAGCAATCAACAGTGATGAGACAATTTGTTGAATGGGAGAAAATATTTGCAAATTATTCATGTGACACTATCAGTTATATAACTAAAAGATAGGAAAACCTATGTGTACACAAAGGCTCCCTGCAGCACTATTCATGATAGCTGAATGGGTAAACAACCGAAATATCAACCAGTGAGAATAAGGAAAAACAATACACCATGGAACACTACATAGCCGTAAAAAAGAATGAGTTCATGTCCTTTGCAGGGACATAGATGAAGCTGGAAACCATCATCCTCAGCAAACTAACACAGGAACAGAAAACCAAACACCGTATGTTCTCACTCATAAGTGGGAATTGAGCAATGAGAACTCATGGACACAGGGAGGGGAACATCACACACCAGGGCCTGTCAGGGGGTTGGGGGCAAGAATAGGGAAAGCGTTAGAATAAATACTGTGGGAGGCAAGCCACCCAGGTGCCAAGGCAGGAGACCGAAGGCACAAGTTGTTCCAGTATAATAAAGAAAATAATTAGAATAAGAATAGTTATATTAGAAATAGAATATAGACATGATTATATATGAATATTATTAATCATTAGTTTGTAGCATTACTCTTTTATTAATAACTTCTGTCCTACAATTATAACTTAGAAAAACCAGTCCATACAGAGTCAGGAGCTGAAGGGACATGATGAGAAGAAGTGACCAGAAGGCGAGTGTGAGCCCTCTGTCACGCCTGCACAGGGCCACTAGAGGGCTCCTTGGTCTAGCGGTAACGCCAGTACCTGAGAAAGCACCTGTTACTTAGCAGACCTTGGTCTAGCGGTAGCGCCAGTGCCTGGGAAGGCAGGCAAACTTTACTTAGCAGACCGGGAAAGGGAGTCTCCCTTTCCCTGGGGGATTTAGAGAACACTCTGCTATACCACCTCTTGTGGAAGGCCTGACAGCAGTCAGGCCCTCCCGCAGCCATACGAAGGCCTAAACATCTCCCTGTGATGCTGTGCTTTAGCGGTCACGCTCCTGGTCCACTTTCATGTTCCGCTCTGTACACACGGCTCTGCCTTTTAGATAGCAGTAGCAGAATTAGTGAAAATATTAAAGTCTTTCCAAGAAATGCATAGAAGAAATAATGACATAAGCTGTCCCCTCTCTCTCTCCACCTTGGCTACCAAATAGGGAAGGGCCCCCTGTCTGGTGAACACATGACTCGCATGACCTTACCTATCATAGGGGATGACTCACACTTCTAACCCTGCCCCCTTTCCTTGTATACAATAAATAGCAGCGCGGCCAGGCATTCGGGGCCACTACTGGTCTCTGCGTCTTGGTGATAGTGCTCCCCCGGGCCCAGCTGTCTTTTCTTCTATTTCTTTGTCTCATATCTTTATTTCTGTGATCTCTTGTCTCCACACACAAAGAGAAAACTCACAGGTCCTGTAGGGCTGGACCCTACAAAATACATAATGCATGCAGGGCTTAAAACCTAGATGACGGGTGGATAGGTGCAGCCAACCACCATGGCACATGTATGCCTATGTAACAAACCTGCACACTCTGCACATGTATCCCAGAACTTAAAGTAAAATAAAAACCATACATATATATGTTTTTACAATGAAATATATTCAGCAATCAAAACTGAGGCACGTAATGACACATGGTACAAGAGGAGTAAACTTTTCAAAAAGCTAAGAAGAAAGCAGAAGCCGGAGACCTTATACTGTAGAATTCCAATCATAAGACATGTCCAGAAAAGGCAAATCTCTAGAGACAGAATATAAACTAATGGTGTCTAGGGCTGGAAGAAAATGAAGAGTGACTACAAATAGCACAAAGTCTTTTTAGAGATGAACAAAAATAAATTCGACTGAGATTATAATTGCATAACTCAGCAAATACACTATGAGGCATGCAATATATACTTAAAATATGACATTGTGGCTCATCAGGCTGTGTTCTGAGCACAGGACTCCAGCGAGGTGCCTAAAGTCCCATAAATATATTCCAGGAGTCCAGAGAGCAGTGGCTGTTTTATTTATAGTATTTTTGAGTATAGCATTTTTAGTGTGTGATCAAGATATTACGTTATATACAGAAATTATCATAGTTGAAAATCTTACCATTTTTCCTTAAAGCATCAAATACAATTTATAAAACACAAAAGGGAAAGAAAGCCTATGGTGCTGTCTGCATTTCATCCTGGCATAGGTGAAACTCTAGCCTCTCATTTGGCTTTTGGTGGCATACGTGGGCAGGCAGCCATGGTTTTTCAGTGGTTTTGGCTGTAGTAGGGCAGTCACTGGATAAAAGTTTTCTGGTTTTATTTTTTTGCCTTTGCCTATTGGTGTATCTGAGTTGCCAGTTTCTTTAGCTCCAAGACTACAGTATATGGGCAAAGAAACCCGTGTTTCACCCCACTCTGTTATCACATCTTTCTTCGGTTCACGAACAGTATGCTTGCTTTCTTCCACCTTTTAGAGCTTTCTCCATTTGGTTTCATGTATAATGTCCAGGGATTTTAGTTGTACTTATTGGGAAGAATAGAGACATGTATGTCTAGTCTGTCTTCCCCAGAACTGAAATGCTTGGTTGTGAATGGATTAAACTGAGCTATCTCTAATTTGCCCATTATCCAAGCAGAAATATCAAGTTACTGATATTAGTTCCCATCTGAGGCTCTACTCCAGGTGGTGGCATCCCTTCCTGGGCACTGGGGCCTTGGCTGAGGCAGCAGGGAGAGATGCTGCCACTCAGGTCTTCAGCTCCCCTCTAGCATAGTGATGTCACTACCTGTGGTGGGGAATATGATTAACAACAAAGTCTCTTGCCAACTCAGGAAATCTCTCCGGAAAGATAGAAGAGAAAGAAAACAGTTTCATTGAAGAATCATTAAACGGCATTGTGATGCACAAAACAGATAATAACCTAGCACATTGCAAGAAAGAAGGAAATCTCACCCTTGTGCATAGCCAGGCAGCTACAACCAGTGCATGCGTGTTCCCGAGATAAACAGTAACCAGTCCTCAGGGAAGGGACTTGACAGCACTGTTTTTACATGTCCCTCAAGGGTACCCACTGTGTTCACTAATCACATTTATGACAAGAAAAGACCAGTGTCTCATAGTTTATGGCAGGAGTAGGTTAGTAAGTTAGAGCCAGGCACTGGCGGAAGCTGGGCTCCTACCCTCTCATGGGAACTTGCTCCCTTAATGATTCCATTTTAGAGAGATGGCTCCCAGGCCCTTGAGAAAGACAGTCCTGGTTGGAAGTTGGTAAGCGGCTTACTTAACTTTTGGAGACTTCCATACGTCACAAGGGGACAGAGAAGAAACTCATAGGGACAAGTTTTCTTTTAAAAATGCTCTGAAAGAAAAAGGCAGGGTTCCTTTTTCCTCTTTCACTGGGACAAATTTGTTTAATTGGTGATTACCCTTGTATCTGCCAATGGTTCAGTGACCCCCCATCTTCTACTCTCCAGTCTTACCTCAGTTCAGCCACTCCCTCCTGCTCTCTGGTACTCAGCCCTGTGCCTTCCAGCCACCTTTCTCCTTATATCATCAATCCTGTTTCCTAAACTCAGGGATTTCCATGCTCTGTCGGGATCCTGCCTCACTGCACTGCCTCCTGGACGCTCTCTGCAGGCTCTGAGTTGGGGCAGCCAGGGGGTCCCCTCCCTTGGATTCAGCCTCCAGGCCACTGTCCTGTGCCCCTATCAGATACTTTCTAGCATCTGGACACATTTAGGTCACATAGTGGATCTGGCTTTCTACTTGTTTGATGCTGGAGGGAGTCTGGATCTTGTTCTTTCACATACATAGAAGGCAAAGCTCAAAACTGATTTTGAAATTCTTTGTTATTAATTTTGGACTGAGATAAATTCTCTATTACTTTATAGTGACACATATATCGTAGCTCAAAGTTTAGTAGTTAGAATTTTAGATTATTATTTTCAGTACTGTGATTTCCCGTATTTAATCAACTTATAGGAAAGGCATGATAAAGAGATTATCTCATGTTTGAATACCCTTTTCTTTAATTTTTGGATTAGCTCTCTTCCCCCACCAACTCGCAATCTTTCTGCTCTAACCACAGGCACTTTTGGCAGCCATGAATTCTTATTCTGGGCAACAGGAGTGGCTCCACAGATGATGAGTCTATGGCCTGTTATACATGGAGCTCTTGCAAGCAAGTCCTGGTGACCACAAGGTGACCCAAGGCCCCTTCTCAGGCCAGATCGCTATGCCTGAAACAAAGGAAGAACCCTTCAGGGGAAGGAATATTTAGCCTGAAAATTCTTTTGTTCACTCACTTTTCAGGTGTCTTTATCCATTATTGAGCATCATAAATATCCAGATGCACAGATGCTTCCTGATATGTCCATGAGTTTAAAGATTGGACATTACTTCGCCCAGCAATCCTCGTTTTCAAACTTGCCAAGTAAGGTTTTATCATCTCCCACCAACAGAAACAAGGTCATGCTTAGGCCTTGGTGGCATAGAGGGAGGGTCTCTGAAAGTCACTCAAATATACACTCTGAGTAGTTTCAAGGTGTATTCACTTTTCTCTGTCCCTTGTAGGCCAGTCCTTGGAGAGACTAGGAAATCCAGAGTTTCCTACAAGAATGGGGATTCCTTGGAAGAGAGTTTCACCTTGAATCAAGAAAGAGGAATCACATACTTTCAAAGGAAATTTCTCATGATCTCAAGATCTCAAGAACCAGGGGCAGAAGGAAAAGCTGGGCTGACACAATGGTGGTGGTCCTGTCTCCATTCAAAAAGCTACCACTGCCTCTAGACCCTCTCAGGATGGCAACATTTCCTGATTCCAATCCTAAAATAGGCAAAGTTGGGAGGATGCAAACTTCTCCATTCTGTGTCAGACATGTCTTAGGGAAAACCCAAATATGAATAACCAAAGAAAAGTATGAGAAAAAAATTGAAAATCTATTCTAGGCTATTCACAGTGTTTTGCTGGTATCCTGGGATCCACATGCATTTCAAGAAGACTGAAGTGTGCCAGGCCTGCAGGACAATGAAGAGTGAATGTCTTAGTCCTAGACTATGGCCTGTCCATTCAGGTTCATGATACAGAATTGTCTTTAAAAGATGACTTGCCAGAGTCAGACATCAATGAAGAGTACTACATGCAGAATATAGACAAGCAATTGTGGACTCTGATGGAACATGGTAAGTTGGCCTGCTGGAGAGAGTCACATATACCAGTGACACGCTGCTCAAACTGGCGCAGACCACATGCTACTACCAAAGGAATACGCACATTTGCTCCTTCTGAGTGAAAGGAGAATGTGAGGGAGAAGAGGAGGGTCCATACAGACATGAGAAGCCTACAGATCCAGACGATCCCCTTGCTGATAAGAATATTAAAGACTGAATCCAATATTATGGAATCAATGACCCCGGAGCAGATAAGCCTCTAAAGCAGGCTTCACCATACCTTGTCTGGATCCACCAGAGGACAAGGTTATCACCACACTCTGTGTTGGTGATCTCGGTGATGCCATTACTGAGACAGATCTAAATAATCATTTCTAATTATTTGACGATCTGAATGATCACTGTTGTGCAGACAGTAGAGTGCTTTCCATCCAGGTTTCCACAGGGCAGGCTGCAGAAGTGGCTGCTGAGAAATCCTTTAATAAGTTGATTGTCAAGGGCTGCAGACTCGGTAGAAAACGGAGAGGATCCCAAGCAGCCAGAGGGAAAGAAAAAGGACAGAACCACAGGTTGGGATCCAGCTAACGCCTATTCCAGCACTGCCAGGAACAGGAACTCTTCCTCCTCCTGCAGCAGCAGCAGCAGATGTATCTGCCAACCACAGCAACATACCCCCACGTGCTCCTCCAGCTGTGGTGAGCATTGCCTGGCCACCAGCCCCTGGCATGTCCTGCTGCTCCCCCCAGGATTTCAGCCACCCATGTTCCATCCAATGGGACCATTGCCTTCCTTTTGAGAGGACTCTAGGATCAATCCATTGTGTTGGATCCTGTGTTGGACTCCAGGATCAATCCATCTCAGGACCCCCAGAGGATGGGAGCTTGTTCTGGAAATCACAGCAGCCCCTGTCATATTTTCACCACCCTGTGGTTCTATGGAAGAAGCATCACTTTAAAATCTCAATTAATGAACATTGGAGGAAATATTTTTTTCTTTCTTTGTGGTTCCCAGTGCACCTGAATGTGGTCACATATGGGCATGCTTTTTCATATGGATTCAAAGGATCAATGGAGCTCAAATAAGCTGTCATTAAAACATCTGTTTACTATGACTGTAACATGACTAATAAAACCTACTGCCTGTTCCTCTCACCTCTATGGGGGATGAGTGGCTGAGTGAGTTACAGAATGTCCAATGGAGTTAGCAGTCCAATCATATAATCATTTTGTCTCTTTT
The DNA here is from genome assembly GCF_000001405.40 of Homo sapiens. Lineage (NCBI taxonomy): Eukaryota > Metazoa > Chordata > Mammalia > Primates > Hominidae > Homo > Homo sapiens. The sequence continues at coordinate 31,865,209 of NC_000016.10, forward strand.
TATGACTGTGGAAATAGACCTGAGGGGAAAAAAAACCTTTTGAACATGTTTGTGTCCATGGGGTATTTTCCATTTTATTACCTTAAAAAAGGATCACTGGTACTAATTGTTGTAGTGGTGTGTGTGATTTAACTCTTGTGAAGCCACACCCTCAGAAAAACAGGTAGAAACCACTTCCCATCACAGCCCAGATCTTTTCTTTCCTGTCTTTTCCTCATGTATGACCAAAGAAATCTGAGTAGTAGTTTTACTTCCATATACACCAAAAAAAAAAAAAAAAAAAGACAAAATAGAATGTCTTTTTACTTCTATCAGCCAGATGAAAACAGACTTCTTGGAGCATTCTATCATGAAATTAGAAATCATTTTTATTTACATGAAAATTATGGAAACAATTTTCATTAGGTTTGATGAATTTCCCTAAGCTCGAAAGCTAAACACAAGCATTTCCTGACATATCATCAAGAAGAGAAATAGCCTGAAACACATTTGAAAAACACATTAGTATAGAACCCATGCACCCCTCCAGAGTCTATCTTAAGAAGAGCTCCTCAGTCACACACTAGTCCTCTGCCCCAGGCCCCAAGTCGTCCATGAAGCTCTCCTCATTATCTCAGGGGAAAAAGTTCCCTGGGCATTGGACCCTCTGGGGGTCAGCTTCCCAGCCCTGGTGGTGCATCAGAGCCCCCTGGGGGCTTCAGGCCTGCTGATGCCTGGGCCCTAAGCTGGGTCACCCCATCAGAATCTCTGGGATGGGACCTCACAGGATGGTGAAACCCTCTGTAGGGAGTTCTAATCTGCACCTTGCTGTGAATCCCACTTACTGAAGTCCTCGCCTCCCTGTGGTACATTAAGATGAGGAAAGACAAAGGTCACCCCTGCCCTTAGAGCAGCTCATGACAAAGAGAATTCTGTTCTTCTAAGGCTATGGATGTCAACCCAGGCTGCATGTGAATATTACACAGGGAGATTTTCACAAACGCGATGGCCTGCTCCAATAGAACGTGTTTCTTAGAACTGTTTCTCCGCATTTCTTGGGATGAGTTTATCAAAACCATTTTACTTCTTTGTAGATGCCAGTTTGACACATCTTTCTCTTGAACAAGTTTTGTCATTAATATATACACACTCCCACCTTATTTTTCACTTTTCGAACTCAGAGAGATATAGAAAAAATAAATCGAGGCCAGGCGCAGTAGCTCATGCCTGTAATCCCAGCACCTTGGGAGGCCGAGGCAGGCGGATCATGAGGTCAGGAGATCCAGCCCATCCTGGCTAACACAGTGAAACCTCGTATCTACTAAAAATACAAAAACTTAGCCAGGCGTGGTGACGGGTGCCTGTAGTCCCAGCTACTCGGGAGGCTGAAGCAGGAGAATGGCATGAACCCGGGAGACGGAGCTTGCAGTGGGCCGAGATCACGCCACTGCACTCCAGCCTAGGAGACAGAGCAAGACTCCGTCTCAAAAAAGAAAAAATAAATCAGCCGAAGTGTATTTCCTTTTCCTCACTCAACAATCAATACAGAATACTTCTGTGACCTCTGGTCACCAAAATTTATGGAGATTTCTCTATATCAACAGCCAATTCTGCAGCAGACACTGGCTGGGTGTTGTATAATTCAACTGGATTCTGACAACGTCTACCTGGAGCTTCAGGGCCCTCTCTTGGTGTGGGCACCCTACCTTCCAGGAACTGCCATGTATCCAGCTATCCAGAAGCTCTAGGAACCCCTTCATTTTGGGCTTTCCTGCAAGCTTCACTAAATAAGCATGATTGATTAAATCATTGGTTATTGGTGATTAACTTAACTTTCAGCCTCTCTGCCTCCTCAGAGGTTGCGGTGGGGCTAAGAAATGGTCCTATTAGAGTGAAATTGTATCTGCAGGCAAAAGACTGCAACATCCAGGTGATGCTTCTACATGTGAAGAGAGGATACCTGCTCCCAGGCTGCAGCACTGATCTGTGGTGCAAGAATTCTGCTGGCTTCATTTTCTGATTCTCCCCTGTTCCTCTCTGTTAAGTTTCACCACAAGCTCCACAGGCATCCCAGCCCTTCTCCTCCTTTGTCTGTGTTTTGGCTGCAGCTCTCTCAGTTGCTCTCCCCACCCCATGTCATCTCACATGGCACGTTATCATTCTGATGAGTAGTTTGAAATTATGCTAATACCATAAGAAACCGTTTTCAATGGGAGAATTCGAGGTCATTTAAAGACTTTAAATAAACCATTCTGACCACTTAAATGAGAATAGAAGAGAGTAATGTCTGTAATCCCAGGCCTGTTAGAATGTCTCTTATCAAAAAAACCAATGAAGGCAAGTGTTGGCAAGAATGTGGAGAAAAGGAAACCCTTGTACCCTATTGGTGGGAATGTAAAGTAGTACAGCCATTCTAAAAATGGTATGGAAGTTCTTCAAAAACCTAGAAATAAAAGTATCCCATGTAAAGAAAATGTGGTGCATATACACCATGGAATACTATGAAGCCATAAAAAGGAATGAGATCATGTCCTTTGCAGGGACATGGAAGGAGTTGGAAGCCATTATTTTCAGCAAACTAACACAGGAACAGAAAACCAAATACTGCATATTCTTGCATCTAAGTGGGAGCTGAACGATGAAAACATATGGACACATGGTGGGGAACAACACACACTGGGGCCTGTTGGGGGATGGGGGAGGGAGAGCATCAGGGAGAATAGCTAATGCATGCTGGGCTTAATACCTATGTGATGTGTTTATCTGTGCAGCAAACTACCATGGCACATGTTTACCTATGTAACAAACCTGCACATGCCCCACACGCACCCTGGAAGTTAAAGTAAAATTGAAGAAAAAAAACTATCCTATGATCCAGCAATTCCACTTTTGGGTATATATCCAAAAGAATTCAAATTAGGCTATTAAAGAGGGATCTGCCCTCCTGTGTTTATTTTGGCGTTATTGACAATAGTCAAGATATAGAAGAAATTTAAGTGTCCTTCAACAGATGAATGAATAAAGATGTGTATATACACAATGGAGTACTATTTAGCCTTTATAAAGAAGGAAATTATGTCATTTGTGATAACTTGGATTGAACTAGAGGGTATTATGCTAAGTTAAATAAACCAGGAACAGGAAGACATATACTGTATGATCTCACCTAGCTGTGGAATTAAAAATATTGATCTCACAGAAACAAAGAATAGAGACTAGAAAGGTAGTTACCAGAGGCTGTGTCAGGGGGAAGGGTGGGATAGGGAAAAAGAAGTAATTTATGGAAGGATACGAAGCTTTAGTTAGACTGGAGGAATAAGCGACCTATTGCACTGCACGGTGAGCACAGTTAATAATGTATTGTACATTTCAAAATTGCAAAATTAAATTTTTAATGTTCTCACTACAAAAAAAGATAAATTGGTGAGTGGATGGATACGTTAATTAGCTTGATGGAATCGTTCCATAATGTATACGTATATCAAAATGATCACATTGTATCCCATAAATACATAAAATTATTATTTGTCAGTAAAAAAGAAAAGACCGTCAGCCTGCTCTGGTTCTAGTGATATTATCTTTGATCTTCTGCCGCCACCTGGTGGCCAACTTCAGAGTGAGGAAGAAAGCAGAGGGGTGAGAAATGAAGTGACCACTTTGCCTCTGGAGCCCAAATGAGGACTTAGCTCCCGGATGTGGGTGGGAATGTATTCTTTCACAGAATTCTCCCAAATTAGGGCCTAGCCCCCAACAAAACCTTTGGCATCCTCCACGAAGTCCCCCACTCACGGCAATTGGTCTGCTGTGTGGCTGCTCTCAAAGGAGCTGAGACTGAAACCTGAGGTTGAAGAGCCACCTACTAGGTGGGAGGATTCTGGATTCCACAGGACTAAGCATTTCCTTTAGTTCAAGCAGGCAACGTTTCTCGTACTCAGTGGCAAACACACCACAGTACACACACATGCACATACGCATGCACCACAAGCACCATTTTAATCTATTTGCATGTATTTCATCCCAGGAGTGATTAGTCCTGTCCCCGATTCAATCTGGGTAATTTTTTTTTCTTCTCATGGTAATGCATGGAAATAGAGTTTCTCAGGTGTCTTTAGTGAGAGTACACACCCTGTTATTTTTTTTCTTATTTTTTTGGAATGCTGTTGCCAATTGGATTGATGTGCTGGTAGCAGGTTTCATCCAATCATTGCATGAAAGCACAGATACACCACCCACAGATGAATTAGGACTTTGTTATAGAATATATTTTTTCTTTTTAAAATAAAGCCTGTAGTCAAGTTTCTTTCTTCTTCCTTTTTTCTTCATTGTGAGGAAAGAATGTACTATGTTTCCATGAAGCGGAACTTCCATTTTGCTTCCCATAGTCTATTTGTCATCTTCCTCTCTCTCCTGTCACACCCCCTCCAGCTTGTCATGTGGCACAGTCCTTTTCTGAGCTCATGCACTTCTCAGCTTACCCTGACAATGGCAGTCATGAACACGTGAGTCAACCACTTCTAGCCTGTTGTTTTTTCCTTCAAAGCATAAGGAGGATGTCTCATTTCCTTCCTCTCAGGTTTTGTCAGCAGATAGAGCTTTACTGTAGTTTGCAGTTGCATGAGATGTGTTGCCCTCTATCCAGGGTGCAATGTGGCTTGGTATCACCCATGGACTGACCCCTTCTTGGGTTAATTTACCTATATAACTTTTCTGGAAGGGTGTGACCCTGGCAGCCTACGGAGACCCTGGGAATATCTTCCAGAGGGCCCTGGACCAGGGATGTCTGCCTGGGTGTGAGACAGACAACCTCTCACCCTCCATGTACCTCCTGGGTCAGGGCATGGAAATCTCACAGGCACCCTGCTCCAGGCAGAAGAGGAGGGGGCAGCCTTAGAGGGTGTGGGCAGTTCCCTGGCTCCTGGGGGGACTTCAAACTTATTGCAGACGGAAACCCCTTCTTCCTCATTTTCAGTCCAACCAACACACTTGGTGGCTAGAGAAACTTTACTTCCTGTTTTTATTTATATATTAAATGTTTTCTTTTCATTTTACACAAGATGTGTATTTAAACAACCAGATCCTGGATTTGAAGAAGAACATATCTGGAATCCGTTCTGTTCTTTTAATTGTCACTTAGTCCTGTGTGAGGACAGATTTGTTCTATGTGTAACCGCTACATTTAAAAAGTTATAAAATTGTTCTTAGCGTTACAATGATATATTTTTAAAAATAAAATTTTCTAATTGAACAATGTATGCAAAGGTTATTCCCCCTTTTTTTTTCCTGCCCCCAACAAACCTAAAGGATCACTATATTTTTTATACTGTTGTTGTTAAAGTCCTGGAATATAGAGATAAACAGTGAGTGAGCAGTCCCTGGTGGAGAAAGAGAGTCTTTTTCACAGAAACAGTGTTTTCCCTCAGCTGTCTTCATTGGAAATCACTCAACACCAATGACTCAATGGCCATTGGAAATCAATGATCGTTGTTCATTCAGTACAAACAAACAAGCAAACAAAAATTATCAATATGTTTGTACAGCTACGCCCGATAATTTATGTACAATAAAGGAATGAGGAACAGGAAAGTGAAGAAGAGAGAAAGGGATGCTGGACCAGTAGATGTGATGGAAACATATTGCAATTTTCTACGTGAGAATGTCTGCTTGGTCTGTAGAAACAGAGTTCTGGAGTAAAGCAGTGAGTATGTTCTCAGTAGACCCTCCTGTCTGCTTCTGGAACACATCAACTGAATCTTTGTCCTCCATTTCCAGTTCTGCAGATGTGTCTGTTTCACTGATTGGCCCCAGTCAAAATGGAATCTGATCTGTGTCATGTAGAAACTCTGCCTTTCACCAAAGGCTTTCACTCATTCACTAAGTGGTGTGCACCTCTTCAACATCAACTGCATCCTGGGACCATCCTACCTGCCACCTTCAAATTCTGCCATAGCGGAGCCTGAAGGCTCTTCAGCTGCAGCTTCACCAAAGAAGTCCAGAGTGTGCACCAAACTAGTGAGCCAGCAGCTCCCGATGCCGCAGGTGAAGGAGGCAGCAGAGCCTTACTCGCTGTTTTTATCACCATCCCTCCAGCAACAGCAGCAGCAGCAGCATCCACAACTACTATTTCTAATTGTGGTAATAATGATGATCACACTTAGAATAATGATAAATAACAGTAGTTGTAATTGCTGACATGTTTAGTTTATATATAGATTTATTATTTGTAATGTTCTATAATTTACTTTTAGTAATATACACATTAATTGTGTCATAAATATCAGGACCTCAAAACACCCCACCTAATGAGTGATTCTCACATATGGACCCATGGCTGCCCACCTGCTAGCGTGGGTCCTCTCACCACTCCACCCCCAGAGCTTCGATCTGTCTGGTCAACATTCTGGGACAATGAAGTAGTTAAGTCATATGGTCTGACTGTGGTCTTGGCAAATAGCTTGACTTGTTAGAAATCAAAGGCTGACTTTAAGACGTACTCAGCTGTTTGGCTAAATTGTGGCAGAAAAAAATGTCTTCTCAGCAGATATACCTTTGTATCTCTTGCTTTCAGAGTAAAAGATTGTTTCAGTCACAGTAGTTTGAGTTAATCTGTATTGAAAATCATCAACAGCTTACAAATACTGAAAGGGGACAAAAATAATTTGCAGACACATTGAGTCCATTATAAGTGCTTTCAAATCTCTCCTATAAGAAATGAAAAATAGAATGTTAGGCCTTGATTTCTTAAACTCAGCCTTCAGCCATTTTCCCAAATTATTCTACATGTTTCCAAGACATTTCAGAAGCATTCTCTGGTGGGGATTATTTCCAATTGTGAAGAGTACTAGAAGGATGAGAATCAAAAGGAATCTTTCTTCTATCGCAAAAGAGTCAATCTCCAGGATTTCAAAGGCCTAGGGAAGCTGCTTGAGTTGTGAGGTCCATGGAGGTGCATGGGCTTTGGAGTCAGGCAGAGTTGATCCTGAGTTCCAGCCCAGCCCCTTAGTAGGCCCTAAGGACTCCCGTGGTGCTGTCACAAGCAGTGCTGCCTTTGGGAGCCCCTAACCTCCTGTCTTTTCTCCCTTCAGTGTGGGAAAGGGGTTTGGTCAGCCAGTGGTGTCAGCAGCCCTGTCCCACACCCGTTGTCTACACCTAATCTGGTGGCAGGGAGGCCACAGAGTGCAGCGACTAGAACTGGGTGAGAGGGTGAGAGGCAGCCATGCCCCAGGCCAAGACAAGTGCATGGAATCCTGACTGTCAGCAATCAGGGATGTTTCTGCTTTGGGGAGGGAAGCATTTGTTCCACACGTCTCACTGAATAAGGCACAGAGCCTGATCTGTCCCAAGTGGGAGTTTAACCAAGCTAGATGGCGGCCGAGGGCCCTGGCCCAGTTTGACACCCACCTCCTCTCCCACCTTCTACTCAGCCAGAAGACTAGGAGAATCTACTCAGCCGGAAGACTACGAGGTGCTGCAGCGCCACTAGCTCCAAGACTCCAGAAAAACAGGAATAGGGCATTCTGGCAGGTCAAAGCAGACAGAATACTTGAGCTCAGGAGTTGGCGAACTGACTATTAACCTGTAGCCCCAGTTACTTGGGAGGCTAAGGTGGGAGGATCGCTTGAGCTCAGGAGATGGAGACCAGCCTGGGCAACATGGTGAAACCTCATCTCTACAAAAAATACAAAAATCAGCCGGGCATGGTGGCATGTGCCTGTAGTCCCAGCTACTCAGGAGGCTGAGGTGGGAAGATTGCTTGAGCCCCGGAGGCTGCAGTGAGCCATGACTGCACCACTGCACCAGCCTGGGCAATAGAGTGAGACCCTGTCTCAAAACAAAAGCAAAAACCAGAGGTAGGGCTGAGGAGTCCGTGGCCACAGAGCCTGAGCCAGCACGGCCCAGAGGAACTGAGCTCCCAGCCCTGTCGCTGCCAAGGACCCTTCTTCCCTGAGCTTGAAGGGATTGAGAAGGAGAGACAGACGGACAGTCAGCGGCCCCGTTACCAGTGATGCAGACTCCAGGAGATGCGGGCAGAGTTGTAGATTAGAAGAATAGGCCAGCCCCTCTTCCACGTTCCACCACGGCCCGCAACATCCTCCTGGGACCCCAGCCTGCATGCCCCTATAAGATGCTTTTGCACTGGTTCAGTCTATGTATCATGCGAGGGCCTAATTGAAAACACGTGAATGAAGTGTACGGCCTTCTGTTCCCAGCTGAGGGGCCCCCTCCCACGGTGGCGTTAGCAGTGGGGTACAGTGCGGTAAGAGAGGTGCTAAGGGACGGGATGAGGGTCTTTCTTGCTTTAAAGGTGTCTAAATATACTTCTTCTTAAACTTAATTAGCTAATAAGATGTCTTATACAAGCAGAACCAGGTAAGGGAAAGAGCAAGTGTATTTCAAGTCGCAGCTCACCCCTTAATTAGCTGTAATACCCGCAGCAGGCGGCCCCACCTCAATGAGCCAGTCTCCCTTTCAAAAAAAAAAAAAAAAAAGGCACTAATAATGAGGGGGCGGGGCATGGAGCTTTATCCAATCAGGGGCGCTGGAGTGGAAACCGTCCAATCAGGAGTGAAGCCGGAGAGCAGGGGCGGCTTCCGGGATTTGGCGGGGGCCTTCGTCGGCTCCAGTTAGAGCTCGGGTCTCCTCGCCACAGCTCCGAGTCTTTCGTTCTGGGAGGCCCAGGCGGCTTCGCGTTCTGAGAATAAACAGAACCTCTGTTGCTCTGCGACTTGCAGGCACTGGGAGATTCGTAGCTAAGACGCCAGGGCATCCCGGAAGCTGGGAAATGGTGAGTGTGCGGGGTCGGGGGTCCCCAGAGGGAGGGAGGGCGGTGGTCGGAAGCGGCGGGAACCCGCTGTAGGGGCACCCGGGCCTCCCCGCAGTCAGCCTCGGGGTCTGGGCCCCGAGTCCCAACTGGTGCAGCTCGGCCCTCGGTCCCCTCCGCTGCAAGATGGCGGCCAGGCCGGCAGCCGGGACCCCGCGTGTCCTGTCCCATCCCGACCCCGCAGAGCGACCTCGTCCCTGGCCGGAGCCCTCTCTGGGCAGCTCCGCGTCGCAGCCCCGCGTCTCCCCCAGATTGTGCGGTGAGGACGGGAGCGTCTCAGGGGAGACCCAGGTTCGGTGTGTGGGAAGAAACCGTGCCCTGTGGGGTCCTCAGTCACTACTCCTCTTAAGAATTAAAGGGAGTCACTGTTAAAACGTTGAAGAATTTGAGCAAATAGCGATTTGTGACATGGGAAGCCTGCAGTCCTGGTTTGTGGTTCGGAGATCCCCAGAGGGGCTTGAAGGAAAGGTTTTTATAAGGTGCATGAGGAAGCAGACCAAATTAACCGATGGGTTACAGTTTGTAGTTGCCTTATTTAGACTATGCAGGTGGAGGTGAATTGGAGCTTTGTGGTTCGTTAAGTCTGAATTTTGTTTTCCCCTAAAGTTGTAATTTACAAGAAAAGCATTTGAGTTTGGTTTTGGTTTTTCTCCCTAGAAACCTGGGGCACTATAACCACTTCCGTATAATCGCCTGCTCATTAATCATCTTAACACTGCCCAGGGGAACTGGTTTTCCCCCTGCGCTTTCCTAACGTGTAGCACGCAGAGTCTCAAGTCCACCACTGTGTTCCCCCAGTCTAACTGGGCTTGCAATAAAATATTAAATTTCCAGTTCCTTCCCGACATTTCCAAAGGCCAACTTCCCCTCTCCAGTTCACATTCTTAACTATTGGTCATTTATTGTACATTTCAGACAGTATTTTACTCATTAATCATGATTTCACAGAGCAGTGGATGACACTTTTTTAAAGATTTGTGTTTTTTTGGCATACATTTCACGTGAGAGGAAAGCAGAGAATAAAAAATCCCTGACACTCCACTGCAAAAAAAACTGTGCCTCTTTTTCATTCATCTTCCCCAGGCACAGACACGTTATCGGAAAGAATGTCTTTTGACTTGAGGTTTTGCTTTGGAAACTTTACAGGGCCCTGTATAGCCACCCTCTATCCAGTCTTTTCCTGTTCCTGAATTTCAGAACTGTCTGGGATGACTCAAGATGCCCACAGTGGCCATGTCTCCTGGAGTGTTTAGTGACTGTCAGCCCCAGGTCACCTCCTGTTAGAGGACCGCCCAAGGTATGGAAATGTAGTCCCTCAGGGGAGCAGCTGGATGCCCTGGGGCTGAGAGAAATCTCCTGGGACACCCTTAACCTAAAAAGATAACCCCTTGGGACATAAGGATTTTATTTCTTCAAAGCTAGTTTTCATCCCTTGGAGACACATTGCTGGTCAGCCAATCGTTTGCTGGTATTGAGGGGAAACAGTCACAAATGATTCCTGCCCCCTAGATTCATTCAGATTTGTGAAGGGAGAAAAACTCCCAAAGGACCAAAAAACAAAAACCCCACCCCAGTGAGGTGGTGCAAACTCGGCTGCGGTGTCCATGGGGCACAGTGCAGGATCTGGGAGGATGGTCCCTGAGCATTTTAATGAGCAGTATTGGGGTAGGAGAATGTCTCAAATGATACCGTGACCTGACTTGACACTTGAGCCAGATATGTCTGTATTCCAACAGCATTACCACTCCCTGAGTTTGCTGCCTTAGATTGTTCATTTATTTCTACTTCAGTTTTTCAGTTAGTGTAAATTTCATCAGTAGAGCTTGAAAGATAAAAAACATTTCCAAGGCCATGAAAGGTGGATTTCAGAAAATTAAAATATCAAGTCATACTTCATTGTTAAAAATTCTTACTATCTTTTTTTTCAGCAGAATGAGTGTAGTAAGTTTCTCAGGTTTGTTCTTTTTTTGGGAGTAATTTAAAACAGAATCTCAGGGCTCACCTTTTGGAAATGCTGCCAGGGAAAAGAAACAGAGAAAATCTTTCTTTCATTATTGGCTGTAGAAAGTGAATACATTTTCACAACAACGTGTGGTAAATTGGTGAATTACATAGTTTCATCAAAACATCAGTTTCTTTTTTTTGTAGGGTGAAGAAGTTATGACAGTGGATATCTTTGTTCTTTATCCTCTTGTCTGGATGTTGAGTTTATTTTTTATTTTTTGTTTTTGGAGACAGGATCTCTCCTCTGTCACCCAGACTGAAGTGCAGTGGTGTGATCACAGCTCACTCAACCTCCTGGGCTCAAGTGATCCTCCCACCTCAGCCTTCCAAGTAGATGGGACTTACAGGGGTGCTGCGCCATGGCTGGCTATTTTGTTTTTTCTTTTTGTAAAGATGTGGGTCTCACTGTGTTGCCCCCAGAGTGGTCTCAAACTCCTGGGCTCAAGTGATCCTCCCGCCTTGGCCTCCCAAAGTGCTGGGATAACAGGCATGAGCCACCATGCCTGGCCTTGGATGTATGGCTTTAATGCTGAACGTAGCACTGGCTAGAATTGTTTATATATGATTATTTACTAAATGATCTGTTATCATGGAAATAAGTAAGTGGCCTATTTATTGTCTGAAAGGGATAGATACTTTAGTGTTTTCTGTTGAGGTATAAATTATAAAGGCGTTTCACTTTCCTTTATTCTATAAACACTGTTTGAGTAGTTTTGCTTTCTTCCAACACTGGGCATTCTCATTGAATACTAATTGAATAACCCTGACTGGGAAGCAGAAGCCTGAGCTCAGAGAGTGCAAACTAACCTGGTCTTGAGCCTGCAAGAAGAGGTCACTGAAGCCCAGTTAGTTCTTCCAGGGGAGTTTCCCCTGCAGGTTTCCCAGCCTGCTCACCCCATCCATGGAAGGAGCCCTTTATACTGAGAAGCTACAGAGCCCTGGAAAGCTGAAAGCTGAAAATCCACAGAAAGAGGCATTTGGGGTTGGGATGGAAGGAGGGTTGGGAGGCTCTTTCTGAGGGTAGAAATTGTGATTGTCCTGATTTTGGTTTTTCTTCCCAGAAACCCAGGGCACTACAACCACTTCCATATAGTCGCCTACTCATTAATCATTTTAACACTCCCCCCACCCGACAACTGGTTTTCCCCCTGTGTTTTCCTAATGTGTGGCACGCAGAGTCTCAAATCTACCACTGTGTTCCCCCAGACTGAGGCTTGCAGTAAAATATTAAGTTTCCAGTTCCTTCCCCACATTTTATTTGATTTTGTCAAATAAAACAAATTCAGGTTTAGGTAAGAAGTTCCTTAATTCTAAAGGAGTATTGCAATAGGGGGAAAGCAACAGCTGTAAGATCTTTGTGGATCTCAAAGGTTAGGCAGACAAAGACTTTCTTTCACAGGGAGGAGCAAACAAGCTCAGAAGGTAGGAGGGGAAGGGCAGGATTAAGGTGCCAAAATCAGATTCGAGATCAGAGAATGTTTCACTCTGATGTCAGCCTGTTCTTAGGAGGGGCTTAGGGAGGGGTTGAATGTTGACCAGGCTGTGAGTGTGTCAAAGTCCAGCAACCTGGAGAAAAATACAAAGTTTTGTTAAGTAGTTTATTCTGAACACTGAAGACAGAGCTGTTCAGCTGAGTCAGAAGGGGAATTTGGAGAGTCTGTGGCTTTGTGATGACTAAATCAGGGAGCATCATCGAAGTCATAATAGGGTTGTTTTTTGCAGTAGGCTGTTCTTGGAAAACACAAAAGATGGGGGATTTCTTTAATCACAGCTATTTACCAGGTTACTGTTCCTATTTTTTCCCACTACTTTTTTTTTTGCCCTGTATGTATTTATCTCATTTGGCTGTTCTGAACTATATCCTTATGATAACCTGATAAACATAAGTAAAGTGATTTGCTGAGTTATTTGAGTAGATCTTTGAAATGATTGAACTTAAGGATAGGGTTATGGGTGCCCTCGATTTACAGGCAGTAGCTTGGAAGTATAGATAGGGCCCCAGGCATTGTGACTGGCATCTGAAGTGGGGGCAGTGTTGTGGGACTGAGCCGAGAACTTGTGGGGCCTGCGCTGACTCTGCGTGGTGTCAGAATTAAGTTTTTGGCACCCAGTTGATGTTGGAGGATTGGTTGGTGTTCAGCAAACTCTACACATTTGATGTCAGAAGACAGACCTCACAGAGGCCTGGGCTGGAGAGAGACTCCCAAGTGTCTGTGGGAAGAGAGGCTGTGTTCTGCACACAGGCTGCCCCACTGTGCATTGTCCTTTGATTCCAGGTCTCCTGCTAGGGTGAGAAGGGACTGAACACTGAGAGGAAAGGAGTTCTGAGAAGAGACCCCCTCCCCGACCCAGCTGCCACCACATGATTCCCACCCACTCCTGAACATACCAACTAGGCATTGACATGTCCCCGTCCATCCCAGGAGAAGGCTTGACTGTCAGGAATTGCACCCACAGCACCTTTGCTTCCGGTTTCCTGCCAAAAACCCACACAAGTGCCTGAGGACTCCTGGCTTGTTGTAATCCCAGACACTGAATCCGTAGCAGCAGCCTAGTTTCTCCATCAACCTAGGCTTGTGGACCATCCAATCATAATCTCATCTGCCTGCGTGGACCCAGGGATATGTCAGAGCATAGTCCCACCTGGGCCAGTATCTGTAGCACAAACCAGTCCTTCCACCAACTTGGTACTGCCCCCTGCTCATGGCTCAATAGCACCTTCCTCTCTTCTGCCTTTTACTTCCCCACAAGCCCCTTCTTTATGTGTACACGGTGTTCCCAAGGTCACCCCACAGGTGCCTGAATCCAGCACCTATTGGAACTCAGATGTCTGTGAGCTCAAGACCATGGCGCTAGATCTGGCTGTTGTAAGAGCAAATACAAATTAGAAATACAAGACTTAATCCTTCTTGAAAATAAGGAAAGAAATTTTTCTTTTTTTTTTTCTTAAAGCATTTACTTTGGAAAACTTTCATATGTAAATTATTTTTCTGTTTTACAACCTGTCTAAATCACTCTTAACAGCTAAATAGGCCATTTGTCAGTCTTTTTGACTCAGTACTGCCTTTCTCTAGGAACTGGGAATCATTGATATAAAATGTAAATAGCAAAGAAGATAGATCCATATCCTACAGTTTCTCTAGGAGGGCAGGCACCTGGCTCCAAGTTGCAAATCTGCCTGTCATAAAGACATGAAGTTTATTTTTCCTTTGACTATAGCCAATTAAAAAACACAGATGGCCTCCCAATTCCCAGGTGAATTTAGGATGAACTCTCTCTGACAAATGGTGCTGTCAGGTCTTCTATTGAGGACTAATTATGGTGACTTTTCACCAGTGGGTATTTTTCTAATCTCTTAGCAGGTTGCCTATCATTCCTTTACATTCTGGGCTAATTATGTCATAAAACAGTTTTCTTTCTTTTCTACCACTATGGATAGTTTTTCTGGGGTTGGAGATGATTTTATGATTTTCTTCTTCATTATATTTTTCAAACATTGCCCAGAATTACTACACAGAATATAAACCTGTACGATGCCTGTAAGACTTCACTCCAGTGGGTCCTTTCCCTCTTTGATTTCTGTTCACAACCCACATTTGTGCAGCAAAGTGCCCATTGCCCCGAAAATCTGCAGGCAGAATGGTCTTTCTGCTTACTTGGGATCTTCAGTCGCTTCTAGAATAGTTTGACTAGATTTCTATAAAAATAAGTTTACAGGGCATCAGTTAGCCATTCCAGCTCTGTCTTTCCATGCCCCTGGCATCTTCAGACCTGAAACTGATTCAGAGACCATGGGGGCTGGAAACCAACCAGGCACACACATACATTGAGCAGGCCGGAGAATCTCAACATTCCCTTCATCCTCTTGCCCAAATGCCCATGAATGTGCAGAAGGTGCATGCCACTTCCCTGCGCCACCAGCACCTAAATCTGCAGCTGTGAATTCTGAACCCAGGTCCTGAGGTTCTCCAGGATGTGTGAGAGCAGCCTTCCTGAAGGGCTGTCTCCTCTAGTTTTCTTCACAGCAATACACAAGAATTGCAGAGCCAGGTTGATTCCACCTGGGGTCTGCACATAAAGGCTGGTCTCCACCTGGGATCCACAAGACAGGGCCAGACTTTGGACTCAGGATATATAGAAAATCCAGGGGACATTTTCTGCATTGTGAGAGATCAACATGGACTTTGTAAAGCCCTACTTTTGGAGTGAGGCCCTCAGAGTTTTCAAGACCTTGTCCAGTGAGCTACAGCAGTTCTGTGAGTGGTTCCTTTTTATAAACAGAATCTCGTGGCAGAATCTGTAAGTGTAAAGCAGCACCTTAGCAGAGGGAGGGTGGGGCCACCACTGTCCAGAGCCATGAGTAAAGCTATGCCTACCTGTGAGCTGTGTTACTGGAGTAGGGTAATCTTGTCCTTTCTTGTACCCAAGAGTCAGCTGATCAGGTATAGGTAATAACATATCTGGATCCTGGATCTGTGGCCCTACTATGACAACTCAATTTTCTATTCTGGTTCCACAAGGACAACTTGAGTCTTTCCTGCCTGAATCACTATTGGGTTTTCATCACACAGTTACCAGGGACTCTCTTACCAGCACCTAGGGGACACTTGGTTATATATCCTGTGCAGGCAGGGGACAGGCTGACAACGGGCTAATCTTGCTTCCGTCTCAGAGGGAGAAGAATGAGTCATCAGGGTTTGTTTCTTTTTTAACAGAAGGAATCTCCTTATTTGGTATCCAAGTGGGAGTTGCTCCAGTTTTCTAATGTGTGGGTGAAATACAAGGAGGAGTTCTGGAGACTCATACTGATAGGTAAACCAATTGCTTCCATTTCATATGGCCACTAGGAAAACAGATGCAGCAGCCATAGTCCCTACCATCCAGGAACTTTCAGTCTAAAGCAGACGGATAATGGTTGAATTCAACATCATGTGGTCAGGAGCAAGAATGGAGGTGTACAGGGAACTTGGGCTTGATTTGGGACACTGCCCTTATGTTGACGTTGTGAATTCTGATGTCACCACCCGAAGGGCCACCCGTGGACAAAAGAGTTGTTATTATAATTATTATTTATATTGATTTTTTCTTGTTAAAGATAATTATGTAGCTACTAATATAATTTTCGTAGAAAGCCCTACATGTTTTGGTTAAATTGCTTGTTGCATGTTACAAAATAGGATGAAGCTTAAACTATTTAAACAAGGCAAACCATGGGAGTCAAGTTCTTGTTGGTCAGGCTTAGGAAAGACAGCTGAAAATAAAGCAGCAATGTAGAGATGAGAAGCCTAGCCCAGCCCCTGCCCCAGCTCTGCCCAAATCCAGCCTCTTCTGAGCCTGGTCCAGGTCTGTCCCTACCCTGGAGCCTCCCCTCACAGAACTGACTAGAGGAGATCAGATTTCTGGGTGGCCGCTGCTGCCATCTCTTCAGAGGTGGTGCTCACAATTTCCCCAAACCCAAAAGCAGGTAAATGGGAGCACAGGACTCACTTTTTCAAAATTATTTGAAAATTAAATTTTTTTCTTATTGAAACCAGTACCTTTAGAAACATTCCACCTGGCAACATCTTTTTCATTTCTGCAGATCCAGTAGTTGCTTCACAAGTTGTCACAAAGTCAGTATAAAGATATAAAGAGAATAATGAGAAATTCTTTTTCTTCTTCTTTTTTTTTTTTTTTTTTTTGAGACCGAATCTCACTCTGTTGCCTAGGCTGGAATAGTGTCATCTCGGCTCACACAACTTCTGCCTTCCCGGTTCAGATGATTCTCCTGCCTCAGCCTCCCGAGTAGCTGGGATTATAGGTGTGCCACCATGCACAGCTGATTTTTGTATTTTTAGTAGAGACAGGGTTTCACAATGTTGACCAGGCTGATCTTGAACTCCTGACCTCAAGTGATAACACCCATCTTGGCTTCCCAAAGTGCTGGGATTACAGGCGTGAGCCACCGTGCCCAGTGGAGAAATTCTTGTGAACTAAACTTGACTCCTTCCTTTCTGTATCCCTCCCATCTGTCTATAGTTAGCTTTTATAGTGATAGGGAAACAAGAAGAAATAGAAAGGCTGAGCCATTATCTAAATCCTGCTGGGAATTATGGGATACTTAGGACCCATATCCCAGGGGTTTATATGGCTTAACTCACACCATGTGATGTTCCCAGCACAGTACATACTGTGAGCACATAGTACAAGCTCAATAAACACTGCTTTAATGCATGTATCCGTGCTGTTTTCCAAATGCTGACTTAGACATAACTGTCTTCTCCAGTCTCTGTATCTGTAGACTTTAAATGGCTGGCAAAGGGTGTGATCTTTCAGGACAGTGGTTGGTGGTCCTCACTGTGAACGAAAAGTATTTTTGTTGTGATTAGAGTATTGGGCGTAAGGGACTCTGTGCTGTGTCTGCTTCCTCTAGCTGAGTGCTATTGATAATGGGTCTAGGAGGAGCAACATCAGCATTGACAGGGGACTTGTTAAAGAAGCCAGTTCATGGAAACTTTCCAAACCTGCAGAATCACATTACTTAGAGGGGGCCCAGAATACCAAATGATATGTATGCGTATTGAACCTTGAGAGGCAATGCTTAGCTAAGTGATTCTCAGCCCAGGCTTCTAAGTAGGGTCACATAACCAGTTTGAAGATCTATGGTCACCTGTATCTTCCCCCACAGATTGTTTTTTTATGATTATATTAAGATTATGATTTACTGTTCCCCTCCGCCCATATCACAGCAATGATTATGGGCCCATCTGTGCATTAGCACTGGTACCAATTTGTCTTATTACAGACGATGCT
Source organism: Homo sapiens (assembly GCF_000001405.40). Classification (NCBI taxonomy): domain Eukaryota; kingdom Metazoa; phylum Chordata; class Mammalia; order Primates; family Hominidae; genus Homo; species Homo sapiens. The sequence continues at coordinate 31,882,802 of NC_000016.10, forward strand.
AACTTCATTCACTTGGTGCAGGTGCTCTCTGTCAGATTCCTTCGCTATAAAGTTAATCATTTTTCTCTTTGTAATGAGTATCTAGGAGGGAGGATTTACTGAGTGATGTCTATAAACCATCACATTTAATCCAGAGACTCCCATTTCTTTTTGGTTTCCCTTTGCTTGTAGCTTTCTTTGCAGAGTAAAGGCTCTCACATTTGTTGACAGGAGATAACAGCTTTTAAGACTGGAAGTTCTGAAGCAGGTCTCAGTTCTGTAGGTTTCCATTTTATTTCATCTCATGTCACAAGCATATGCTTATTTATTCTCTATATTTTCAGAGAAAGAACAAGAATTAACATATAACAAATATGTCTATTGTCTTAAAATTCTAAAATATATAATAGCACATAGAATAAACATAACAAAAACTTGAAAAAAAATACCAGACTCAGAAACAAGAGCCTTTACTTTATTTCATTGTATGTATTGGTCTTTATAAAGGCATCACAAAAAAGGCATCACCCACAAAGAGTTTTATAGTTTTTATACAATTTAAAATATTTTTAAATTTTATTTACACAGAAATATTATCTTACTTTTAGTGTGTATATAGTTACCATTATGTGCACATATGCACATAAAATGAAAGCATTATTCGATCACTATTGTGTGGCTGCTTTCTTGTTTTCGTTACTCAGTTACGAAATCTTCTCTGAACATTCTGTTAAGGTTGTCTCTGTATATTGGCCGGTATGTCCCTTTGAGATAAATTCTAAATCAGATAAACTGAGGCAAAATACAAACTACTATGTAGCAAATATTTGGAAAATAATTTTTATATAAGAGGAAGAATATAATTTTTCTCAGATTATTTATTGGGTTTTATATATGTAAACAACTTTTAGGATGATATCTGATATATTGTGCATGTTCAAAAAGGATTACTACCATTCTAGCTGTTATAACTTGTAAATTTCATAAAACTCTCAGTTTCACATCATGCCTGAATTCTTTCCTCAGTGTTCGACCTCTCTGCTATTCAAAAGTGGCTTTGGGGCCTGAAGCATTAACACTACTGGTGAACTTGTTAGACATGCAGATACTCAGCCAGCCATGGTGGCTCATGCCTGTAGCCTTAGCTACTCAGGAGGCTGAAACAGGAGGATCGCCTGAGCCCAGGAGGTTGAGGCTGCAGTGAGCCAAGATTCAACCACTGCACTCCAGCCTGGGTGGCAGAGCGAGACCCTGTGTCAAAATTAAAAATTAAAAAATATGGAAATGCAGAAACTCAAAATCTAGATCTCCTGAATCAGACTCTGCCTTTGAAGAAGATCTCCAGTTTATTGTTGTATACTATACAATTTGAGAAGTATGCCTCTAAGTCACCATGACTTTTGCACCTGAGAATTATACACAGCTGATTCTGGATGATGTAAATATAGCACCCAAAAATGTATATTCCTGTGTTGATGCCTTAGTTTTATATTTTACATTTGATATAAATATCTACACTAGTTTTGTGGATTTTATGTTATTTTCTTTCCACAGAGTTTGAGACTACATTAGAAAATATTACTGTGTTAAAAATGATCTTACTGAATAATTCAGGTCACTCATATATGTCAGAACCAATAACTGTCATTTCATCTTGGGACAAATGAAGAACTCTGCCATGGCCACATGGTCAGTGTATTCTTTATTTTTATTTCAGGGACTGTTGACATTCAGGGATGTGGCCGTAGAATTCTCTTTGGAGGAGTGGGAACACCTGGAACCAGCTCAGAAGAATTTGTATCAGGATGTGATGTTAGAAAACTACAGAAACCTGGTCTCTCTGGGTGAGGATAACTTGCCTTCGGAATATCTAATAACTAAGAGTTTTATTTTCTTTTCAGAATGTCCCTTGGGATCTTGTGCTTTGTATGAGTTAGTTTTAGATTCTTGTTTTCAGGAAAAAAATAGGGGTTTTGTTGAAGTAGAAAAAATTTCATAATGTTTGATTTTGACATTCGCCTTTTTATTTGAGGTGATGTACAAGTTTCACTCTAGTCGTGATTCTAGAAATTGGTTGACATAAACTATTGTTGCTTACACTTTAAAATCCAATTTTTTTTGTTTGTTTTTGATTCAGTCAGATTTGCAGAAGCTCAGGATCCCCAGATTTAAAATGCTTCCTAAATATTCTAAAGAAGCTGGTAGGAAACAATATTTTGAGAAATACTTTTCAAGAATCTTCTATAATGTCTTATTTTTTCTACTGAGCACAGTACTAAGTTAGAAATTAATCCTGTCCTGTGGGGCCAAAAAAAAGTATAAAAATAAAAAATAAAAAGAACCCTCATTAAGAGTCATGTGAATTTTTCCAATAAAACAGGTCTTGTTGTCTCTAAGCCGGACCTGATCACCTTTTTGGAACAAAGGAAAGAGCCTTGGAATGTGAAGAGTGAGGAGACAGTAGCCATCCAGCCAGGTAGGTGGGAGCGAATGAAGTAGATGACATGGGCGAGAGGTCCAGAAGTCAAGAAAGAACCAGACCTTGAAGTGTGGATTGGGAAGTTCTCCAGTGGAAATGATTTTTGAGACACCTGGCTTTATTTCTTTCCCTTGCTGTCAAAGAGGGACATCTTCTGTCCCATGCTCTTGAATTATCTGATGATTCTCCTTCCTCTTCTGTGATCCGCCATCATATTCACAGTGACAGCCAAAGTGCTCCCCTTGGCCTGTGAGGGCCTGCTTGATCTGACTGTTCTTCCATTGATTTGGGGGCTCTGGGAAAGTCTGTGCATGTTTCTACCTCTATGTGAAACCACTTCTAAAGTTCTGGTTTTGCCTCATGTCAGAAGTGTGTGAGGAGAGTGATGGACAGTGGAATTTTTTTCAGAAGTCTCAGGAATTCTGTGGATAGATGTCACATATTTTCTGATACATTAATTTTTAATCGTATTGTGGTTTCCAAGGTGATCCTATAGAAATTAAGATGCAGTAATTTTATGAAAATACAAGGCATCTTCCCAAATCTAAGAAAATCTAATCTTATGTTTCACTTCAACTTCTCATTTTTTCTCACCTGAACTAAGATGAGAAATTTAAACTCTATAGGCACAAATTCCACAAATGTAAAATAGTTTAATGTGTATTACTTATTATATAGACTTCTTATCTAAATTTTTGTCTATGGGGAGCTTAGAACATTGTCCAGTATATAATAAACTCTAAACTGTTGCCTTGTATCTTAATAACTATCATTCTATAATTTTGTCTGGTTCAGTATGAAGCTTACTGAGAATGTGTCCTTTAGTTCCTTTTTTTTCTTTCTAGACATATGATTCTTTCCACAATATAAATATTATCTATTTAAAGGTTACATCTTGATGATTTGATATACATACACATTGTGTAATGACTAACACAGCAAAGTTAATTACCACATCAGTCATCTCACATTAGATGCCAATTTTTGTGTGTGTGGTGAGAACTCTTAAGATGTACACTGTTAACAAATCTCAAGTATACTGTAGTGCAGGGGTCTATAGTACTGGTCTGTGGCCTGTGAGGAATCCGATCACACAGCAGGAGGTGTGACCATTGGGCCAGCAAGCATTACTGCCTGATCGCTGCCTCCTCTCAGATCAGCAGCAGCATTTGATTCTCATAGGAGTGTGAACCCTTTTGTGAACTGTGCATGCAAAAGATCTAGGTTGTGTGCTTTTTATGAGAATCTATCTAATGCCTGATGATCTGAGGTAAAACAGCTTCATCCCAAAACCACCCCCGACTCGACCTCCATCCATGGAAAAATTGTTTTCCATAAAACTGGTCCCTGCTGCTGAAAAGGTTGGGTACTGCTACTGTAGAGTATCATTAACTATATTTACAATGCTGTACATTAGATATTCAGAATTTATCTTGTAAATGAAAGTTTGTACTTGTTACCATAATGTCTACCTTGTTTATTCATCCATGTTGTCAGAAATTGCAGTACCTTCTTCATTATGTCTGAATAATATTCTATATATTGTGAATAATTGGCTATGAACATAGGGGTACAGATATATCTTTGACATATGATTTTATTTCCTTTGGTTATACAATTAGAAGTAGCATTGAAGGTTCATATAATACTATTTTTAATTTTTTTTGAGGTGCCTTCGTGCCATTTTTCATAATGGCTGAATCAATTTACATTTCCACTGACAGTGTACAAGGGTTTTCTTTTCTCCACACTCTGACTCTTAATATTTCTTGACTCTGACAGCAGTCATTCTAACAAGTGTGAATATTTATTTATTGACTCTTTGACAGCAGTTATACTAACAAGTGTGAGATGATATCTTATTATGGTTTTACTTGCATTTTCCTGATGAATAATAACATTGAGAACCTTTTTATAAACTTGTTTGCCACTTCCATGTCATATTTTGAGAAATGTCTACTTGAGTCCTTTGCAAATTTTTGTCAGATTTACTTTTTTTTTTTTTTTTGCTATCGAATTGTGTGAGATTCTTAATATTTTGGATATAAAACTCTTATCAGATCTATTTTCTCCCAGTCCCTGGGTCGCTTTTTCATGTTCTGTGTTTGCTGTGCATACACTTTTTTGTTTCATTTAATGCTACTTGTTTTTATTTTTTGCTTTTTGTTGCTTGTGATTTTTTGATGTGATAGCCAGAAAAATTATTGCCAAGGCCAGTGTCAAAGAGATTTTTCCTTATGCTTTGTTCTAGAAGTTATACAGTTTCTGGTTTTGCATTTAAGTGTTAATTCTTTTGAGTTAATTTTTGTACATAGTATAAGTAAATTTTATTCTTTTGCAGATGACTACTTTCTTTCAGCATTATTTGTTGAAGAGACTATACTTCCCCTTTGTGTATCTTGGTGCCCTTGTCAAAGTAATAGTTGACTGTATGCACATGGGTTTCTTTCTGGTTTTTGTATTCTATTCCATTGGTCTATGTGTCTGTTTTTACGTCAGTACCATACTCTTGATTAGTATAGCTGTGTAATAGTTTGAAATGAAGAAGTGTGATGCCTCTAGCTTTATTCTTCTTTTTCAAGATTGCATGGGCTATTTGGAGTTATTTGTGATTCCATTGAAGTTTTATAATTTTTTCTATTTCTGTGAAAAATGCCATTAAAATGTCAATACAGATTTCATTGGATCTGTGAATCATTTTGTGAAGTATGGACATTTTAGCAATATTTTTTCCAATCCATGAAGAAGGGATATTTTTCCATTTGTGTCTTTTTCAATTACTTTCATCAGTGTTTTATAGATTTTACTGGACAGATCTTTCACTTCTTTTGTTAAATGAAGTTATAAAATTTAAAAAAAATTTTTGATACTATTATAAATCAGATTTTTTTGTAACTTTTTTCTCAGTTTATTGTTAGTATATGGAAATGCTACTAATTTTTGTATATTTTTGTGGCCTCAACTTTACTGAATGGATATATTAGCTCTATTTTTTGTTTGTTTGGTATAGTCTTTATGGTTTTCTGTATCTTCAAATCACTTCATCTGTAAACAGTGAGAATTTTACTTCTTTATTCCTGATTTGAATGCCTTTTTGTTTCTTTTTCTTACCTAATTGTTCTGGCTTGATTTCTCACTACTATGTTGAATAGAAGTGTTGAGATTGGGCACCTCTGTCTTGTTTCTGATACTAGAGGAAACTTTCAGCATTTCACTGTTTACTCTGTTGAGATGGATACTTTTGTATGTATGTTGTTTGGAGTTTTTATTATGAAAATGTATTTACTTCTGTTATAGGCTTTTAATAAATTTTTTGAGAGGATTATATGATTTTCATCTTTTTGTTATTGTGGTATATCATTTAAATTGTGTATGTTAAAACATTCTTGCATCTCAGGGATAAATCCTACTTGATAATGATGTCTGATCCTTTTAATGTGTTTTTGAATTTGGTATCTAGTATTTTGTTGAGAATTTTTGCTTGTATCTTTATAAGGAATATTGTTTTGTTACTTTTTTGTAGTGTCCTTATCTGGCTTCAGTATGAGATGTTGGTGGTCTCATAAAATGAGTTTGAAAGTGCTTTTTTCTTTCAGTTTTTTGGAAGAGTTTGAAAAGTGTTGACATTGCTTTTTTAAATGCTTGATACAGTTTACCCATGAAGTCATTTGGTCATGGGATTTTTTTTAAATTGGAAGATTTCTGAGTATTTCTGTCTTCTTTCTCATTATTAGTCTTTTGGGTATTTCTGTTTCTTCACAGTGTGGTGTTCTTTCTAAGAATCAATTTCTTCTAAGTTATCTTTTTTTGTTATGTAATTGTTCATAATAGTTTCTTATTTTTTTTCTTTCTGTGATATCAGCTGGAATGACTGCTTTTTCATTAATAGCTTTTTGAGTCCTCTCTCTTTTTTTTTCCCTTGGATAATCTAGGAAAAGTTTGTTCATTTTGTTTTTTTTTAATGACTCAGTTTTTTGATATTTTTTATTTTTCTAGTCTCTCTCTCTCTTTGCTCTAATTTTTATTATTTCCATAATTATGCCAACACTGGGATTATTTTGTTCTTCTTGATCAAGCTCCTTGAGGATTACAGTTAGATTGCTTATTTGAGATCTTTGTTTTCCTTATTGTAGAACTTTATCATTTTATACTTCTGTCTTAGAACTGCTTTTGTTACATCTCAGAAGTTTTGGTTTCTTGTGTTTCCAATTTCATTTGTATCAAGACAATTTTTTATTTCCCTTTTGATTTCATGGTTGTTCAGAAGCATGTTGTTTAATGTCAACACTGTATTAGTCTATTCTATAAAGAAAAGAGATTTAATTGGTCTACAGTTCTGCAGTCTGTACAGAAGCATGGCACCAGCATCTGCTTGGCTTCTGGCGAGGGCCTCAGTAAGTTTGCAATCAGGGGAATTGGTAAAGGTAGAACAGGCAGTCACATGGCAAGAGCAGGAGCACCAGACTAAGTTGGGAGGTGCTACACACTTTTAAACAACCAGATCTCATAACATCTCACTATCAAGGACAGCACCAAAGAATTCTTGAGGGATCTGCCCCTATTATTCAGACACCCCATATTAGGTTCCACCTTCAAGAATGGGGATTACTTTTCAACATGAGTTTTGTGGTGGGAGACTAAACATCCACACTGTATCACACACATTTGTGAGCTTTCTAGTTTTCCTCCTGCTGTTGATTTTCTAGTTTTACACCATTATGATAAAAAACTTGATATAATTTTAATCCTAAATTTAAAAAGACTTGTTTTCTATTTTTGGTTTAACATATGATCTATCCTGGAGAATATTCCATGTATTCTTGAGAAGAATGTGTATTCTCATACTGTTTGATAAAATATTGTCTATTTAGTTTATGGTGTTATACAGGTGAACTCTTTTTTTTTATTAGTTTTCTCTCTAAATATTCCATGCTTTGTTGTAAATAGGACATTGAAGTTCCCTGTTATTGCATTTCGTTTTCTCACCACAGGTATGTTAATGTTTGCTTTATATATTTGGGTGCTCCAGTGTTGGGTGCATACATAGTTTTAGTTTCTATATCCTCTTAACAAATTAACTTCTTTATCATCATGTAGTGAACTCCTTTCCTCTTGTGACAGATTTTTGCATGGAAGTCTGTTTTGTCTAATATAACCAACAACCACTCCTGATTTTTGGTTGTTGTTTGCATGCACTGTGGTTTCTATTCTTTAAGTTTATGTTTGTCCTTAAATCAAAAGTGAGTCTCTTGTAAGCAGCATACTGTTAGTTTAAAAAAATTCATTTAGCCACTCTGTGTTTATTCTAGTCTGTTTTGTTTTCTATAATAGAATACCACAGATTGGCTAATTTATAAACAGGGGTAGTTTATTTGGCTCATGATTCCAGGAGCTTGGAAGGCAAAGAAAACGACATTGTTATCTGGTGAAGGCCTTTTTGCTGCATAGTAACATGGCCAAAGGCCTGAGGGAGAAGAGAGCTCCCTTTTATAACAGACTCACTTTTGTGATAACTAACACACTCCCATAAGGACATTAATTCATGAGGGCAGAGTCCCAATGGCCTAACCACTTCTTAAAGATCCCACCTCTTAATTCCATCACAATGGCTATTAAATTTTATCCTAAATTTTGGAGGTGACATTCAGTCTATACCAGTATCTGTTTATTGGATAATTTAATCTCTTTATATGTAAAGTAATTATTGATACATAAGGATTTACTATTACAGTTTTATTGTTTTCTGTTTTATAGTTTCTTTTTTTCTCATGCTGTCTTCTGTTAATTTTTGGATTTGTTTTTGTTGTTTTTATGTTTTGATGGCTTTTTCCATTTGTGTATCTACTACAGTTTTTTCCTAGAGGTTATCAGGAGACTTAGATAAAATATCTTATATTTGTAACAGTCTAGTTTAAGATGATAACAATTTAACATCTATCCATAGAAAAAAACTCCACAGTTTTTCTCCCTTTCACACATTTTATTACTGTATATGTTATACTTTATAACTTTTTATACTGTGTATTCATTAACAAATTATTGTAGGTATACTTATTTTAATGCTTTTATTTTGTAGCTTTTATACTAGAGTTAAAAGTGATTTGTACACTAACGTTATGGTATTAGTGTATTCTGAATTTCACTATGTATTTACCATTTCCAGTGACATTTATACTTTTAATTTTTTGTGTGTTTTTCATTAGCATTTGATATGGTTTGGCTGTGTCCCCACCCAAATCTCATCTTGAATTGTAGCTTCCACAATTCCCACATGCTGTGGGAGGGACCCAATGGGAGGTAATTGAATGATGGGGCGGGTCTTTCCTGTGCTATTCTTGTGATAGTGAATAAGTCTCACGAGATCTGATGGTTTTATAAAGGAGAGTTTCCCTGCACAGGCTCTCTTCTCTTGTCTGCTGCCATGTGAGATGTGCCTTTCACCTTCCACCATGATTGTGAGGCCTCCTCAGCCATGTGGAACTGTGAGTCCACTAAACCTCTTTCTTTTATAAATTGCCCAGTCTTGGCTGTGTCTTTATCAGCAGTTATGAAAACGGAGTAATACAGTAAATTGGTACCAGTAGAGTGAGGTGCTGCTGAAAAGATAGATACCTGAAAATATGGAAGCAACTTTGGAACTGGGTAGCAGGCAGAGATTAGAACAGTTTGGAGGGCTCAGAAGAAGACAGGAAAATGTGGGAAAGTTTGGAACTCCCTAGAGACTTGTTGAATGGTTTTGACCAAAATGCTGATAATGATACGGACAACAAAATCCAGGCTGAGGTGGTCTTGGATGGTGTATTAGTCTGTCCTCACACTGCTGATAAAGACATACCCAAGACTGGGTAATTTACAAAAGAAAGAGGTTTAATGGACTTACAGTTCCACGTGGCTGGGGAGGCCTCACAATCACAGTGGAAGGCGAGGAGGAGCAAGTCACATCTTACATGGATGGCAGCAGGCAAAAAGAGAGGGAGCTTGTGCAGATAAACTCCCCTTTATAAAACCATCAGATCTCCTGAGACTTATTCATTGTCACAAGATTAGCACAGGAAAGACCTGCCCCCATGATTCAGTTACCTCCGACCAGGTCCCTCCCACAACACATGGGAATTGAAGATAAGATTTGGGTGGGGACACAGCCAAACCATATCATTCCGCCCCTGGCCTCTCCCAAATCTCATGTCCTCACATTTCAAAACACAATCATGCCTTCCCAATAGTCCCCCAAAGTCCTAACTAATTTCAGCATTAACTCAAATGTCCACAGTCCAGAGTCTCATCTGAGACAAGGCAAGTCCCTTCTGCCTGTGAGCCTGTAAAATCAAAAGCAAGTTGGTTACTTCCTAGATACATTGGGGGTGCAGGCATTGGGTAGCCATTTCAAATGGGAGAAATTGGCCAAAACAAAGGGGCTATAAGCCCCATGCAAGTCCAAAATCCAGCAGGGCAGTCAAATCTTAAAGCTCCAAGATGATCTCCTTTGACTCCATGTCTCACATCCAGGTCATGCTGATGCAAGAGGTGGGCTCTTACAGCCTTGGGCAGCTCTGCCCCTGTGGCTTTGCAGGGTATAGCCACCCTCCTGGCCGCTTTTACTGGCTGGCATTGAGTGTCTGCAGCTTTTTCAGGTGTCCAGTGCAAGCTGTCAGTGTATCTACTATTCTGGGGTCTGGAGGACAGTGGCCCTCTTCTCACAGCTCCACTAGGCTGTGCCCAAGTAGGGACTCTGTGTGGGGGCTCCAATTCCACATTTCCCTTCTGCACTGCCCTAGCAGAGGTTCTCCCTGCCCCTGCAGCAAACTTCTGCCTGGGCATCCAGGCATTTCTGTGTATCCTCTGAAATCTAAACGGGGGTTCCCAAACCCCAATCCTCGACTTCTGTACACTCACAGGCTCAACACCACGTGAAAGCTGCCAAGGCTTGGGGCTTGCACCCTCTGAAGCCACAGCCTGAGCTCTGTATTGGCCCCTTTCAGCCACTGCTGGAGCCGCTGGGATGCAGGGCACCAAGTCCCTAGGCTGCAGGCAGCATGGGGACCCTGGGCCTGACCCAGGAAACCACCTTTTCCTCCTATGCCTCTGGGCCTGTGATGGGAGGGGCTGCCATGAAGACTTCTGACATGCCCTGGAGACATTTTCCCCATTATCTTGGTGATTAACATTCGGCTCTTCATTACTTATGGAAATATCTGCAGCTGGCCTGAATTTCTTCTCAGAAAATGGGATTTTCTTTTCTATCGCATTGTTAGGCTGCAAATTTTCTGAACTTTTATGGTTTGCTTCCCTTATAAAACTGAATACCTTTAGCAGCACCCAAGTCACCTAGGTTACAGAGCTGCTTTAAGATTCACAATGAGACTAATGTTAGCAGTCATGCCTTTATGGGCACAGATGTGTGTGCCTTCAGGGATGTCTCAGGTTAAGCATAACTGCTCCTGAACTGTGGCTGCATGCAGCTGGAGCCAGGTTACAGTGCCACTTCAGGTCCACATTCAGATAATTGTTGATGGTCCTATATATAGAACCACAGATAGATTTTTTTCCCTGAGAATCTCTGTGTGGGCAGGACTTTTTTTCCAGACCATGGGTGAGAGGTGAAGAAGGTGGGTTTTGCCTGATTCATGTGTCACAGACAGGACCAAATTCTGCATGTATGTCACCTAAGACTTAGGTGGGTATAAGTTGTCCTCTGTTCTTGGCAGATGGTCCTAGTGACAGGACAAAGGCCAAGTGGGTTATAGCTAAGTCTACAGTGGGATGTGGCAAGTTTTTTTCTGTAGCCAGGACCATGATCAGCAAGCCTGCCACTTGGCCAAGGGCAATGTCTAAGGTCGACCAGCAAGGTCACATTTTTCAAAAGTAGTGATTCTCTCTTCATGTCTTCCTTTTGGGCCATGGCTTTATGGACATCTTCTTGCAATTTGGAGTTCATTTCTTCAAATTTGATGAAATCTTTTCTAGATTTGAGGAAAATCTTTCAGATCCTCTTCCAGCTCTGTCACATGACTGGAGAGGGCAGCCAGGTGCTCTTTCATTTGGCTGTGCTCCCTTGACTGTTTATGATTTCTTGGACCACACTTACTTTAGCAAGGTCTTCCTTATAGCTTGAAGAACCATCAGAAGATCTCTTTCCGTTCATGTTTGATGTATTTTCTTGTTCATGGTTTATGTTAAGCACTCCACCTGTTAGTGTTTTTTTTTTCTGACTATTCTGTTGTTTAAGAATCATTAGCTCTTTGTGTGTGACACCTAATTCTTCTTCTAACAAACTACATCTTTCAAGTGCTGCTCATAATCGCGCTCTCACCTTTTCATCCAGAGCTTTGTGCTGTTCAGATAATGACTTCAGTGCTTTCAGCACTTCAGCTTCGCTGGACATGCCTGCTGGAGACTGCACTTGTTTCTTCATCACTGTCATCCTGAGATACCGCTCATGCCTGGAGACAGGGCATTCCAAATGCTCTAATAGTAGCCTGGTGGTGTTCCTTTCTGCTTTCATTTTTCAGCAGTTTCTTCTTTCCTTTCAAGGAGCTGTTCCCTGCATACATTGACTTCTTTAGTAAGTGCCGTGAACTCCTGTGGAGGTGGAGTGTTGAGCTGTCTCTGCAAGGAATCTCTTTCATGACCAACCTCGTGTGATTTCCCCTGGGTTAGTGCCAGCATTTCTGGAATCTCAGTGTGTTAAGAAGACAGCCTCTTTCTTCTAGCATGCAGACCATCAATTGTTCAAAATATGAAACTGCGTCTGGCTGTGAAGGGGAGCCGGACCCATGGCTCCCACTTCCTCCCAGGGGGCCTTCTGCTTTGCTGATGGCCGACATCACCTCTCATATCATCTTGCTTGCCATGGGAGCTGATGAGGAGGCTCTGCAGTGTCTAGCAGGTGGGTGTGAGCTCTGGGTGAGCTCGGGAGCTGACGAAGGCAGCCTGCGGCCAGACATTGGTAGACAAAGTATTTGCTTTTCTACATATGGCTTATTTCACTTAACATGAGATTCTCCAAGTCCATCCATGTTGTTTCAAATGACAGGATTTTATTCTTTTTTAATGGCCGAAAAGTATTTAATAGTATGTACGTACAGCACATTTTCATTATTTATCTGCTGCTATACACTTGAATTGGTTTTATATCTTGGCTATTATAAATAGTGCTGCAATAAACATGGGAATGCAGATATCTTTGTCAAACTCTGATTTCCTTTCTTTGGGGATATATACCCAGTAGTGGAATTGCTGGATCGTATGGTACCTCTATGTTTGATGATTTTTTGAGGAATCTTCATACCATTTTCTATAGTGGCTATACTAATTTATAATTCCACCAACAGTGTTTATACATTCCTATTCTTCACCTCCTCACCAACACATTTTTGTTATTATGTTTTGTCTTTTTGATTATACCCATTGAAACTGGAGTGAGGGGGTCCCACTGGGTTTGGATTTGCATTTCCTGTCTGATTAATGATTTTGAGCATTTTTTATGTACCTGTTGGCCATTTGTATTTCTTCTTTTGAGAATGTCTAGTAAGGTCTTCCACACATTTTAAAATTCGGTTATATGTTTGTATTATCTTGAAATCTTAAAGCTTCTTATATGATCTAGATATTAACACCTTTTCATATGTATAGTTTGCAAATATTTTCTCACATTGTTTAGGTTGTCTTTTCACTCAGTATTTTCATTTTGTATTTAAACTCTTTTTAGTAGGATATAATTATATTTGCTTTTTCTTTTGTTATCTGTGCTTTTCAAGTCTTTATTTTTAAGAAACAGGGTCTCACTCTGTCACCCAGGTTAGAGTGAAGTAGCATGATCATAGCTCACTGCAGGCTTGATTTCCTGGGCTCAAGTGATGCTCCTGTCTCATCCACTTGAGTAGGCTCACTATAGACACGTGCCACCACACCCAGCTAGTTTAAAACATTTTTTTTTAGGGACAGGATCTCACTATGTAGCCCAGGATGCCCTCGATTCCTGACCTCAAATGATTCTCCCACCTTGGCGTCCCAAAGCATTGGGATTACAGGCATGAGCGAGCCACTGCAACTGGCCATGCTTTTGAAGTCTTATTTGAAAAATATTTTCCAAGTCTGTACTAAAGCATTTGCCCTATGCAAATGCCCTATGCAAACTATGAAATAGTTTGGGCTGATTACACTTAATTCTTTAATCCAGTTTGACTTGATTTTTTTGGTATATGGTGAGTGGTAGCAGTGTAGTCTCATTCTTCTGCATATGGATATTCAATTTTTCCTGCATCATTTATTGAGGAAACTGTCTTTTCCCCAAAGTGTATTCTTGGCACATTTGAAAATCAGTTTGCTTTAGATGCATGAATGCATTTTTTGGCTCAGCAGGCATATTGGTCTATATGTCTGTTTGGTGCCAGTACAATACTGTTTAGTTTACTGTAGCTTTGTCGTAAATTTTGACGTAAGGTATTGTATTGTCTCCGGATTTATTCTTTTTGCTCAGGATTGTTTTGGCTATTCAGGGTCCCTTGTGGTTCCATATAAATTTAGAATTTTTTTTTCTATTTCTGTGAAGAATGCTGGTGACTTTTTGATCAGAGTTGCATTAAATTCATAGATCATTTGGGGTAGTATGGCCATTTTAATTATATCTTTTCAATCTATGAACACAAGATATCTTTTCATTTATTCACATATATTTTATTTTTTCATCCATGCTTTGTAGTTTTAATGTAGGAATATTTCATCTTCTTAGTTACGTTCATTGCTAGGTATCTTAATTTTAGTACTTAGTAGTAGATGTCTTTTACATCTAAATTGGAAACGAGGAAGTTAAATGGTTCCTGTTAGAGACAAAAAGATCTTACATTTACAAAACCTGAACACAACACCAAACACCAAAAAAACAAAACAAAACAAAACAAAAAAAACCCAGAAACAACAAAACTGTTAGGAGTAATAAATTCATTAAAGTTGCAGGATATAAAATTTCATAATTCCATTCACAATAGCTACAAAAAGAAAGTCAGTTCATTTAAAGTTCATGTTTGTATATGGTACAAAGTGAGGTCCAACTTTATTCTTTCCCATGCAAATTTCTAGTATTTCTAACATTCTTTGGTGAGGAGACTGTTCTTTCCTCATTGTGTGTTCTTAGAACCCTTGTTGAAGATAAATTTACTATATACATGAGGATTTATGGGCTCTCTAATCTTTACATCATCTATAATACTTGTCTGTCTTTGAGTACCACACTGTTTTGATTACTATAGCTTTGTAATATGTTTTAAAATCAGAAAGTAGATGTCTCCTTTTTTTCCCCCCAAGATTGTTTGGCTATTTCTGATTTCTTGAAATTCCATAGATATTTTAGAATATTTTAATACTTCTGCAAAGAGATCTATTGATATTTTGATAGAGAGTACATTGAATCTGTAAATCACCTTGGATAGTATTGACATCTTAAGAATATTGAGTCTTCAAACTCTTAAACAAGTTTGTGTGTTTGAGACTGTTTAATTTCTACATATTTGTAGACCTGCCAGTTTTCTTTTCATTTTTAACTTAAAGCTATTCTGTTGTAGTCAAAAATAATACTTTGTGTGATTTCCATCTGTTTAAATTTGTTAAGACATTTTATGGCTTAAAAAGTTGTCTATCTGGAATAATGTACCATATGTGATTAAAGACATTGTGTATTTTGCTGTTGTTGGGTGACAAGTTATGTATATATGTTAAGTCTAATTGTCTTTAGTGTTCAAGTCTTCTGTTTCCTTATTGATCTTCTTTCTGTTTTTGGTTTTGTTCGTTTTTGCATTACTGAAAGTGGAGTATGGAAGTCTTCTACTATTATTGTGCTGCTAGCTACTTGCTTCAATTCTGTGAAAGGTCACAATGTATATATGGGAGCTGTGACATTAGGTGCATATATGCTAATGCTTGTTATAGCTTTCTGGTCAGTGGACACTATTATTATTATTATATAATGCCCTTTCTTGTATTTTGTGACAGTTTTTGATGTAATGTATATTTTGTCTGATAGTATTTTACTTTGCATTTAATTTCTTTTTTCCATGCTTTCATGTTCAGCCCATGTGTGTTTTTGTATCTAAAGTGGGTCTTTTATTGAAAGCATAGAGTCGGATCTTGTTTATTGAATTTCAGCCAAATTTTGTCTTGTGAATGATTTAATTTTTTTTATGTACAAAGTAATTACTGAAAGGGAATGACATTGCTTTTTGTTTTTTATTTTAGATTTTGTAGCTTTTTTGTTTCTGTTTTCCTCTTGCTGTCTTCCTTGGTGTTTTATTGATTTTTTTTTATAGTGGCATATTTTGATTCCTTTCTCATTTCTTTTTGTGTATCTACTATAGGTATTTTTGTGGTTACCATAGATATTACACAAAACATCTTAAAATTATTAACAATTTGTATTAACCTGATAACTTTAGTAGCATACAAAAATCCTGCCTCTCTATGTCCCCTTATTGTATTTTATTGAGGTCACAAATTATATGCTTTTTATTGTGAATCCATTAACACAGATTTACGGTTATTTTTAAGTGTTGTCTTTTCACACACATAGGCTCAAAATAAAGGGATGGTGGAAGATCTGCCAAGCAGATGGAAAGCAAAAAAAGCAGGGGTTGCAATCCTGGTCTCTGATAAAACAGACTTTAAACCAACAAAGGTCAAAAGAGACAAGGCCATTACATAATGGTAAAGGGATCAATTCCGCAAGAAGAGCTAACTATCCTAAATATATATACACCCAATACAGGAGCACCCAGATTCATAAAGCAAGTTCTTAGAGACCTACAAAGAGACTTAGACTCACACACAATAATAATGGGAGACTTTAACACCCCACTGTCAATATTAGATCAAGGAGACAGAAAATTAACAAGGATATCTAGGACTTGAAGTCAGCTCTGGACCAAGCAGACCTAATAGACATCTACAGAACTCTCCAACCCAAGTCAACAGAATATACATTCTTCTTAGCACCACATTGCACTTATTCTAAAATTGACCACATAATTGGAAGTAAAACACTCTTCAGCAAATGTAAAAGAACAGAAATCACAACAAACTGTCTCTCAGACCACAGTGCAATCAAATTAGAACTCAGGGTTAAGACTCTCACTCAAAACTGCACAACTACATGGAAACTGAACAACCTGCTCCTGAATGACTACTGGGTAAATAACCAAATGAAGGCAGAAATAAAGATGTTCTTTGAAACCAATGAGAACAAAGACACAACATACCAGAATCTCTGGGACACATTTAAAGCAGTGTGTAGGTGGAAATTTATAGCACTAAATGCCCACAAGAGAAAGCAGGAGAGATCTAAAAGCGACACCCTAACATCACGATTAAAAGAACTAGAGAAGCAAGAGGAAAAAATCTTAAAATTACATAGTGAAAGGAAAATGTGAGAGATGTGCCTAACTGTGGTGTTTAGGAACAGGAAGTCTGCATACCTGTATGTATTTCAAAGTTAACAGGCTCTCTAATGCCTAGTTATTGGTTATACAGATTGCATAATGCCACTCAATATTTTTATTTAAAATACTTTATAAGCATATTATAAATGATATACTCATATGAGTGTATTTTCTAATAACCTAGATTGTAATATAAAACAAAAATGAATCAAGAAGTAAATTGCAATTAGGACTTCTTAATTACCTTTTTAGAAATTAATCTAGCTGCCAGTTGCATTTTAATTGAACCCTTGGTGTCATCCATATATATATACACACACACACACATACACACACACAATGTGTTTATTTATATATATATATAAACTGTGTGTGTAGTGTATTCATTTCCACAAGATACTGAAAATTTTGTGTCATCTTTGTATCCTATATTTCCATGTAATTAGTAATAATACAGAATTGTATCAGGTAAATTAAAAAAAAAAGAGAGCCATACAGTCACACACACGAGAAAGTGTTTGTCTTTTCAAATGTATAGCAGAATTAAAAGTATTCTATATACTATTATTACAATAATACCGAATACTTTATTTGTGTATATTATTACCTTAACCAGAAAACTTTATACTGTTACATGATTTTGTGTTCCTCCCTACCATCATGTTATTTTTCAATATAAAGAACTGACTCCTTTAGCATTTCTTGTATGACAGGTCTAATGGATATAAATTCATTTAGCTTTTATTAAGAATTCTTTATTTCTTTATTTTTTTTCCTGAAACGGAGTCTCGCTCTGCCACCCAGGCTGGAGTGTGGTGGCGAGATCTTGGCTCACTGCAGGCTCCGCCTCCTGGGTTCACGCCATTCTCCTGCCTCAGCCTCTTGAGTAGCTGGGACTACAGGTGCCTGCCACCACGCCCAGCTATTTTTTTGTATTTTTAGTAGAGATGGGGTTTCACTGCATTAGCTAGGATGGTCTTGATCTCCTGACCTCGTGATCCACCCGTCTTGGCCTCCCAAAGTGCTGGGATTACAAGCATGAGTCACTGTGCCCGGCCCCAAGAATTCTTTCTTTTTTTTTTTTTTTTTAATTTTTAACTTATTTTTATTTTTTTATTTATTTTATTATTATATTTTAAGTTTTAGGGTACATGTGCACAACGTGCAGATTTGTTACATTTGTATACATGTGCCATGTTGGTGTGCTGCACCCATTAACTCGTCATTTAGCATTAGGTATATCTTCTAATGCTATCCCTCTCCTCTCCCCCCACCCCACAACGGGCCCCAGTGTGTGATGTTCCCCTTCCTGTGTCCATGTGTTCTCTTTGTTCAATTCCCACCTATGAGTGAGAACATGCGGTGTTTCGTTTTTTGTCCTTGGGATGGTTTGCTGAGAATGATGGTTTCCAGCTTCATCCATGTCCCTACAAAGGACATGAACTCATCATTTTTTATGGCTGCATAGTATTCCATGGTGTATATGTGCCACATTTTCTTAATCCAGTCTATCATTGTTGGACATTTGGGTTGGTTCCAAGTCTTTGCTATTGTGAATACTGCCACAATAAACATACATGTGCATGTGTCTTTAGAGCAGCATGATTTATAATCCTTTGGGTATATACCCAGTAATGGGATGGCTGGGTCAAATGGTATTTCTAGTTCTAGATCCCTGAGGAATCGCCACACCAACTTTCACAATGGTTGAACTAGTTTACAGTCCCACCAACAGTGTAAAAGTGTTCCTATTTCTCCACATCCTCTCCAGCACTTGTTTCCTGACTTTTTAATGATCGCCATTCTAACTGGTGTGAGATGGTATCTCATTGTGGTTTTGATTTGCATTTCTCTGATGGCCAGTGATGATGAGCATTTTTTCATGTGTCTTTTGGCTGCATAAATGTCTTCTTTTGAGAAGTGTCTGTTCATATCCTTCACCCACTTTTTGATGGGGTTGTTTTTTTCTTGTAAATTTGTTTGAGTTCATTGTAGATTCTGGATATTAGCCCTTTGTCAGATGAGTAGGTTGCAAAAATTTTCTCCCATTCTGTAGGTTGCCTGTTCACTCTGATGGTGGTTTCCTTTGCTGTGCAGAAGCTCTTTCATTTAATTAGATCCCATTTGTCAATTTTGGCTTTTGTTGCCATTGCTTTTGGTGTTTTAGACAGGAAGTCCTTGCCCATGCCTATGTCCTGAATGGTATTACCTAGGTTTTCTTCTAGGGTTCTTAAGTTTTAGGTCTAATATGTAAGTTTTTAATCCATCTTGAATTAATTTTTGTATAAGGTGTAAGGAAGGGATCCATTTTCAGCTTTCTCCATATGGCTAGCCAGTTTTCCCAGCACCATTTATTAAATAGGGAATCCTTTCCCCATTGCTTGTTTTTGTCAGGTTTGTCAAAGATCGGATGGTTGTAGATATGCGGCATTATTTCTGAGGGCTCTGTTCTGTTCCACTGGTCTATATCTCTGTTTTTGTACCAGTACCGTGCTGTTTTGGTTACTGTAGCCTTGTAGTATAGTTTGAAGTCAGGTAGCATGATGCCTCCAGCTTTGTTCTTTTGGCTTAGGATTGTCTTGGTGATGCAGGCTCTTATTTGGTTCCATATGATCTTTAAAGTAGTTTTTTCCAATTCTGTGAAGAAAGTCATTGGTAGCTTGATGGGGATGGCATTGAATCTGTAAATTACCTTGGGCAGTATGGCCATTTTCACAATATTGATTCTTCCTACCCATGAGCATGGAATGTTCTTCCATTTGTTTGTATACTCTTATTTCATTGAGCAGTGGTTTGTAGTTCTCCTTGAAGAGGTCCTTCACATCCCTTGTAAGTTGGATTCCTAGGTATTTTATTCTCTTTGAAGCAATTGTGAATGGGAGTTCACTCATGATTTGGCTCTCTGTTTGTCTGTTATTGGTGTATAAAAATGCTTGTGATTTTTGCACATTGATTTTGTATCCTGAGACTTTGCTGAAGTTGCTTATCAGCTTAAGGAGATTTTGGGCTGAGACGATGGGGTTTTCTAGATATACAGTCATGTCATCTGCAAACAGGGATAACTTGACTTCCTCTTTTCCTAATTGAATACCCTTTATTTCCTTCTCCTGCCTGATTGCCCTGGCCAGAACTTCCAACACTATGTTGAATAGGAGTGGTGAGAGAGGGCATCCCTGTCTTGTGCCAGTTTTCAAAGGGAATGCTTCCAGTTTTTGTCCATTCAGTGTGATATTGGCTGTGGGTTTGTCATAGATAGCTCTTATCTATGACGTCCCATGAATACCTAATGTATTGAGAGTTTTTAGCATGAAGCGTTGTTGAATTTTGTCAAAGGCCTTTTCTGCATCTATTGAGATAATCATGTGGTTTTTGTCTTTGGTTCTGTTTATATGCTGGATTATGTTTCTTGAATTTCGTATTTTGAACCAGCCTTGCATCCCAGGGATGAAGTCCACTTGATCATGGTGGATAAGGTTTTTGATGTGTTGCTGGATTCGGTTTACCAGTATTTTATTGAGGATTTTTGCATCAATGTTCATCAAGGATATTGGTCTAAAATTCTCTTTTTTTGTTGTGTGTCTGCCAGGCTTTGGTCTCAGGATGATGCTGGCCTGATAAAATGAGTTAGGGAGGGATTCCCTCTTTTTCTATTGATTGGAATAGTTTCAGAAGGAACGGTAGCAGCTCCTCCTTGTACCTCTGGTAGAATTCAGCTGTGAATCCATCTGGTCCTGGACTTTTTTGGTTGGTAAGCTATTAATTATTGCCTCAATTTCAGAGCCTGTTATTGGTCTGTTTAGAGACTCAACTTCTTCCTGGTTTAGTCTTGGGAGAGTGTATGTGTTGAGGAACTTATCGATTTCTTCTAGATTTTCTAGTTTATTTGCGTAGAGGTGTTTATAGTATTCTCTGATGGTAGTTTGTATTTCTGTGGGATCGGTGGTGATATCCCCTTTGTCATTTTTTATTGCATCTATTTGATTCTTCTCTCTTTTCTTCTTTATTAGTCTTGCTATGGGTCTATGAATTTTGTTGATCCTTTCAAAAACCAGCTCCTGGATTCATTGATTTTTTGAAGGGTTTTTTGTTTCTCTGTTTCCTTCAGTTCTGCTCTGATCTTAGTTATTTCTTGCCTTCTGCTAGCTTTTGAATGTGTTTGCTCTTGCTTCTCTAGTTCTTTTAATTGTGATGTTAGGGTGTCAATTTTAGATCTTTCCTGCTTTCTCTTGTGGGCATTTAGTGCTATAAATTTCCCTCTGCACACTGCTTTGAATGTGTCCCAGAGATTCTGGTATGTTGTGCCTTTGTTCTTGTTGGTTTCAAAGAACGTCTTTATTTATGTCTTCATTTCGTTATGTATCCAGTAGTCATTCAGGAGCAGGTTGTTCAGTTTCCATGTAGTTGAGCAGTTTTGAGTGAGTTTCTTAATCCTGAGTTCTAGTTGGATTGCACTGTGGTGTGAGAGACAGTTTGTTATCATTTCTGTTCTTTTACATTTGCTGAGGAGTGCTTTACTTCCAACTATGTGGTCAATTTTGGAATAGGTGTGGTGTGGTGCTGAAAAGAATGTATATTCTGTTGATTTGGGGTGGAGAGTTCTGTAGATGTCTATTAGGTCCGCTTGGTGCAGAGCTGAGTTCAATTCCTGGATATCCTTGTTAACTTTCTGTCCTGTTGATCTGTCTAATGTTGACAATGGGTTGTTAAATCTCCCATTATTATTGTGTGGGAGTCTAAGTCTCTTTGTAGGACACTACGGACTTGCTTTATGAATCTGGGTGCTCCTGTATGGGGTACATATATATTTAGGATAGTTAGCTCTTCTTGTTGAATTGATCCCTTTACCATTATGTAATGGCCTTCTTTCTCTCTTTGGATCTTTGTTGGTTTAAAATCTGTTTTATCAGAGACTAGGATTGCAACCCTGCCTTTTTTTGTTTTCCATTTGCTTGGTAGATCTTCCTCCGTCCCTTTATTTTGAGCCTATATGTGTCTCTGCACATGAGATGGGTTTCCTGAATACAGCACACTGATGGGTCTTGACTCTTTATCCAATTTGCCAGTCTGTGTCTTTTAATTGGAGCATTTAGCCCGTTTACATTTAAGGTTAATATTCTTATGTGTGAATTTGATCCTGTCATTATGATGTTAGCTGGTTATTTTGCTCATTAGTTGATGTAGTTTCTTTCTAGCCTTGATGGTCTTTACAGTTTGGCATGTTTTTGCAGTGGCTGGTACCGGTTGTTCCTTTCCATGTTTAGTGCTTCCTTCAGGAGCTCTTGTAGGGCAGGCCTGGTGGTGACAAAATCTCTCAGCATTTGCTTGTCTGTAAAGGATTTTATTTCTCCTTCACTTATGAAGCTTAGTTTGGCTGGATATGAAATTCTGGGTTGAAAATTCTTTTCTTTAAGAATGTTGAATATTGGCCCCCACTCTCTTCTGGCTTGTAGAGTTTCTGCCAAGAGATCAGCTGTTAGTCTGATGGGCTTCCCTTTGTGGGTAACCTGACCTTTCTCTCTGGCTGCCCTTAACATTTTTTCCTTCCTTTCAACTTTGGTGAATCTGACAATTATATGTCTTGGAGTTGCTCTTCTTGAGGAGTATCTTTGTGGCATTCTCTATATTTCCTGAATTTGAATGTTTGCCTGCCTTGCTGGATTGGGGAAGTTCTCCTGGATAATATCCTGCAGAGTGTTTTCCAACTTGGTTCCATTCTCCTCGTCACTTTCAGGTACACCAATGAGACGTAGATTTGGTCTTTTCACATAATCCCATATTTCTTGGAGGCTTTGTTCGTTTCTTTTTATTCTTTTTTCTCTAAACTTCTCTTTTCGCTTCATTTCATTCATTTCATCTTCCATCACTGGTACCCTTTCTTCCAGTTGATCGAATCGGCTACTGAGGCTTGTGCATTCGTCACGTAGTTCGTGTGCCTTGGTTTTCAGCTCCATCAGGTCCTTTAAGGACTTCTCTGCATTGGTTATTCTAGTTAGCCATTCGTCTAATTTTTTTTCAAGGTTTTTAACTTCTTTGCCATGGGTTCGAACTTCCTCGTTTAGCTCAGAGTAGTTTGATTGTCTGACGCCTTCTTCTCTCACCTCGTCAAAGTCATTCTCCGTCCAGCTTTGTTCCATTGATTTTGAGGAGCTGCGTTCCTTTGGAGGAGGAGAGGCACTCTGATTTTTAGAGTTTCCAGTGTTTCTGCTGTTTTTTCCCCATCTTTGTGGTTTTATGTACCTTTGGTCTTTGATGATGGTGACGTACAGATGGGTTTTTGGTGTGGTTGTCCTTTCCGTTTGTTAGTTTTCCTTCTAACAGTCAGGAACCTCAGCTGCAGGTCTGTTTGAGTTTGCTGGAGGTCCACTCCAGACCCTGTATGTCTGAGTATCAGCAGTGGTGGCTGCTGAACAGCGGATATTGGTGAACCGCAAATGCTGCTGCCTGATCATTCCTCTGGAAGTTTTGTCTCAGAGGAGTACCCGGCCGTGTGAGGTGTCAGTCAGCTCCTACTGGGGGGTGCCTCCCAGATAGGCTAGTCAGGGACCCACTTGAGGAGGCAGTCTGCCCATTCTCAGATCTCAAGCTGTGTGCTGGGAGAACCACTACTCTCTTCAAAGCTGACAGACAGGGACATTTAAGTCTGCAGATGTTACTGCTGCCTTTTATTTGTCTGTGTCCTGCCCCCAGAGGTGGAGTCTACGGAGGCAGGCAGGCCTCCTTGAGCTGTGGTGGGCTCCACCCAGTTGGAGCTTCCGGACCGCTTTGTTTACCTACTCAAGCCTGGGCAATGGTGGGCACCCTTCCCCCAGCCTTGCTGCCACCTTGCAGTTTGATCTCAAGACTGCTGTGCCAGCAATCAGTGAGACTCCGTGGGTGTAGGAACCTCCGAGCCAGGTGCGGGATATAATCTCCTGGTGTGCCGTTTGTTAAGCCTATTGGAAAAGCGCTGTATTAGGGTGGGAGTGACCCGATTTTCCAGGTGCCGTCTGTCACCCCTTTCTTTGACTAGGAGAGGGAATTCCCTGACCCATTGCACTTCCCAGGTGAGGCAGTGCCTCACCCTGCTTCGGCTCACGCACGGTGGGCTGCACCCACCGTCCTGCATCCACTGTCTGGCACTCCCCAGTGAGATGAACCCAGTGCCTCAGTTGGAAATGCAGAAATCACCCGTCTTCTGCGTGGCTCAGGCTGGGAGCTGTAGACTGGAGCTGTTCCTATTGGCCATCTTGGCTCCTCCCCCCAAAGTTCTTTTTTTCTAATTCATTTTTAAAGTATAGTTTGGGCAGATGTAGTGTTCATAGTAGGTAGTTGTTATTTTTTCATCACTTTCAATATATCATCCTGCCATCTTCTGGCTTGTGAGATTTTTTGCTGAGACATCTGTTGATCATTTTATAAGAGTGGCCTTGTATGTGCCAAGTCATCTTTTTCTTTCTGACTTCAAGATTCTCTTTGTCACTTTTGAATTTCTGATTATAATGTCTCATGTGAGTCTCTTTGTGTTGCTGCTAGAGTTGGTTGAACTTTAAATTTTAGGCCATTTTCTCCATCAAATTTGGAAAATTCTTAGTCATTATTACTTCAAATAAATTTTCTGCTCTTTTTCAGTTTAGAATTCTCATGAGTATGTTGGCCTACTTGATAGTATCCCATAGGTTTACTAGGCTCTTTTTTCCTTCATTTTTTAATCCTGTTTGCCTTCCTGACTTCAAAATTTCAAATGACCTGTTATCAAGTGTGCTGGGGATTTTTTACCTGCTACATCAGGTCTGCTGTAGACCTCATCTAGTGAATCTTTAAATTTAGTTTTTATTTTTACCTCCACACTTTGTGTTTTTATAGGTTTAATCTCTGTTCATTTTCATCATCCATTTTCTCTTTTAGTTTAGTTGTGTTCTCCTTTAGTTGTTTGAACATTTTTAATATAAATATTTTAGCCAGTTATGTGGCTCATGCCTGTTATCCCAGCTACTTTGGAGGTTGAAGTTGGAGGATCATTTGAGGCCAGGAGTTTGAGACCTGCCTGAGCAATATATTGAGACCCTGTGTCTATAAAAAATAATAAATATGGCTGGGCGCAGTGGCTCATGCCTATAATCCCAGCAATTTGGGAGGCCGAGGCGGGTGGATCACGAGGTCAGGAGATTGAGACCGTCCTGGCTAACATGATGAAACCCCGTCTCTACTAAAAATTGAAAAAAAAAAAAATTAGCCGGGTGTGGTGATGGGTGCTTGTAGTCCCAGCTACTCAGGAGGCTGAGGCAGGAGAATGGCCTGAACCCGGGAGGTGGAGCTTGCAGTGAACCAAGATAGCGCCACTGCACTGCAGCCTGGGTGACAACGCAAGACTCTGTCTCAAAAAAAAAAAATAATACTAATAATAAATACACTAGGTGTGATGATGCATGCCTGTAGTTTTAGGTACTCAGGAAGCTGAGGCAGGAGAATCAGTTAACTTCAGAAATTTATGCCTGCAGTGAGCGGTGATTGTGCCACTGCTCCCTAGTTTGGGTTTTTTTGAGAAATGTCCCTTCAAATCTTGTGCCCATTTTTGATTGGATTATTAGATTGTTTCTTAAAGAGTTGTTTGAGCTCCTTACATATTCTGATTATTGATCCTTTGTCAGATGCGTAGTTTGTGAATATTTTCTCCCATTCTGTGGGTTGTTTCTTCACTTTATTGAGTATTTCCTTTGTTGTCCAGGTGCTTTTTAACTTGACATGATCCCATATGTCCATTTTTGCTTTGTTTCCCTGTGCTTTAATACATTACTTAAGAAATTTTTACACCAACCATTGTCCTGGAGAGTTTCCCCAATGTTTTCTTGTAGTAGTTTCATAGTTTGAAATCTTAAAGTCCTTAATCCATTCTGATTTGATTTTTGTGTATGGTGAGAGATAGGGTCTAGTTTCTGTTTTTAATGAATAGCTTGTCTTCATATATATGGATATCCAGTTTTTTTTTAGCACTGGTTATTGAAAAAAAACTGTCCTTTCTCTAGTGTATGTTCTTAACATCTTTGTTAAAAACGAGTCCACTCAAGGTGTCTGGAGTTGTTTTTGGGTTCTCTATTCTGTTGCATTGGTCTGTGTGTCTGTTTTTATGCCAGTACCATACCATTTTGATTACTACAGCTCTTTAGTGTAATGTGAAATCAGATAATGTGACTCCTTAAGTTTTGTTCTTTTAGCTTAGGATAGCTTTGCTATTCTGAGTCTTTTGTGGTTCCATATATATTTTAGGATTGTTTTTTCTAATTCTGTGAAGAATGTCATTAGTATTTTCATAGGGATTGCATTGATTCTGTAGATTGTTTCGAGTAGTATGGATATTTTAACAATATTGATTCTTCCAATCCATTGACATGGGATATTTTTCGTGTGTGTGTGTGTGTGTGTGTGTGTCCTCTTCTATCTTCTATTTCTTTTCTTTTCTTTTTTTTTTTTTTTTTTTTTTTTTTGACGTATCTCCCTCTTGTCGCCCAGGCTGGAGTGCAGTAGCACGATCTCGGCTCGGCTCACTGCAACCTCCGCCTCCCGGGTTCAAGTGATTCTCCTGCCGCAGCCTCCCAAGTAGCTGGGACTCCAGGCATGCGCCACCGTGCCTGGCTAATTTTTTGTATTTTTAGTAGAGACGGAGTTTCACCATGTTGACTATGCTGGTCTCAAACTCCTGACCTCAAGTGATCTGCCCACCTCGGCCTCCTAGGGTGCTGGGATTACAGGTGTGAGCCACTGCACCCAGCCATCCTCTTCAATGTCTTTCATTCATGTTTTATAGTTTTCATTGTACAGATCTTTCACTTCTTTGGTTAAGTTAATGTCTAGGTATTTAATTTTATTTGTGGCTACTGTAAATGGAATTACTTTCTAATCTCTTTTTTCAGATTCTCTGTTGGCATATAGAAATGCTATTGATGTTTGTATGTTCATTTTATATCCTGCAACTTTATCAGTTCTTACTGTTTTTTGGTGGAGTCTTTAGATTTTTCTTAATATAAGACTGTACCATCTGCAAACAAGAATAATTTGACGACTTCCTTTCCAATTTGGATGCCATTTAGTTTTTTCTCGTTTTACTGCTGCTGTAGCTAGCACTTCCAGTACTATGTTGAATAACAGTGTTGAAAGTGGACATCCTTGTTATGTTCCAGATCTTAGAGAAAAGACTTTCAGATTTTTTTCCTCCATTCAGGATGATACTAGCTGTGGATCTGTCATATATGGTTTTTATTATTTTGAGGTATGTTCTTTCTATACCCAGCTTTTTGAGAGTTTTTATTATCAAAGGATGTTGAATTTTATTAAATCCTTTTTTCAGCAGCAGTTGAAATGATCATATGATTTTGTCCTTCATTCTGTTGATGTATCATACTGATTGATTGCATATGATGAACCATTCTTGCATCCCTGGGATAAATCCCACTTTGTCATAATGAACAATCTTTTAATGTGTTGTTGAATTCTGTTTGCTAACACTTTGTTATTTTTACATAAATATTTATTATAGATATTGGCGTACAGTTTTCATCTTTTGATGTATCTTTTTCTGATTTGGGTATTATGGTAATACTGGCCTCAAAGAATGAGTTGGGAAGTATTCCTTCCTCCTGTGTTTTGGAAGTTTTTGAGTAGAGCTGGTATTAGATCTTTAAATGTTGGGTAGAATTTAGTGGTGAAGCCATCAGGTCCTGGGCTTTTCTTTACTGGGAGACTTTTTATTATGGCTTTGAACTTGTTACTTCTTATTGGTCTGTTCATGTTTTGGATTTCTTCGTTGTTTAATCTTGGTAAGTTGTATATATCTGGGAACTTACCCATTTTTGTTAGATTTTCCAATTAGTTGGCATACAGTTGTTAATAATAGCCACTAATAATCTTTTGAATTTCTGCAGTGTCAGTTATAATGTCTCCTTTTTCATCTCTGGTTTTATGTGGGTCTTCTTTTTTTCTTAGTCAAGCTAAAGGTTTGTAAATTTTATTTATCTGCTTAAAAAAATCAACTTTTCATTTCATTGATTTTTTTTGTATTTTTTATTTGAATTTTATTTCTGCTGTGATGTTTATTATAATTTTTGTTTTGCTGTTTTTTCTTTAAGATCCAACATTAGGTTATATGATTTTTTTCTTTTTTGATGTAAGCACATATATCTATACATTTCTCAGTACTGCTTTTGCTGTATCCCATAGGTTTTGGTATGTGTTTTTTCATTATTTGTTTGAAGAAATTTTTCAATTTCGTTCTTAATTTCTTTACTGATCCAATTTTCATTGAGGAGCGTATTGTTTAATTTACATTTGTTTGTATAGTTTCCAAAATTCTTGTTACTGATTTCTAGTTATATTCCATTGTGGGCAGAGATGTTTGATATTATTTCACTTTTCTGAATGTTTTAAGACTTGTTTTGTAACCTAAAATGTTGTGTATCTGAAAATTATCTATGTGCTGAGAAGAATGTGTGTTCTGTAGCCATTAGATAAAATGTTCTGCAAATATTTATTAGGTATATTTGGTTTATAGCACAGATTAAGTCTGATGTTTCTTTCATGATTTTCTATCTGTAAGATCTGTACAATGCTGAAAGTGGTGTGTTGAAGTCTCAATTATTATTGTATTGGGGCCTCTCTCTTTAGCTCTAATACTCTATGTCTCAGTGCTTTAGTGTAGGGTGCATGGATATTTAAAATTGTTATATTCTCTGACTGAATTGATCCCTTTATCATAAAATGACATTTGTTCTGTCTTCACAGTTTTTATCTTGAAATATATTTTATCTGATGTAAGTATAGCTACTTTGGTTCTTTTTTTTTGTTTTCATTGGCATGGAACATTTTTCCATTCTTTTATTTTTCAGTCTATGTGTATCTTTATAGATGAAGTGTATTTCTTGTGGGCAGCAGATAATTGGGTCTTCCTTTTTCTTTTTTTCACCCATTCTATGTCATCTAATTGGAGTGTTTAGTGCATTTCCATTCAGCATTATTATTGATAAGTATGTGTTCACTCCTGCCATTTTGTTATTTGTTTTTGCATCTTCTCTTTCTTTTGTCCTTCCTTTCTGTCTTCATTTTAGTGAACATGATTTTTCTTGGTGGTATGATTTAATTTCTTGCTTTTTGGTTTCTGTGTCTGTTGTATGTTTTTTTATTTGAGGTTACCATGAAACTTACAAATACTATCTTATAACCTATTGTTTTAACTGCTGACAACTTCACACTGATTGCCTAAGTGAACAAATAAGCAATAAGAAAACTAGTAAAAACTCTACCTTTAACTTTGCTTCCCCATTTTTCAACTTTTTGTTGGTTCTCTTTATGTCTTATTGTACTGTCTTTGTCTTGAAACATTGTTGTAGTTGTATTGAGTCATCATTGAGTATTTCTACTTGAGTATTTTACACACCACAGTTACCATATTATAATACTCAGTTTTTCTCTGTGCTATTACCAATGAGTTCTGTACCTTCAGATGACTTCTTATTGTTCATTAACATTCTTTTCTTACAGATGGAAGAGAATGCCCCTTAGTATTACTTGTAGGACAGGTCTGGTTTTAATGAAATCTCTCAGTGTTTGTCTGGGAAGGTCATTTTTTTCTCCTTCATGGCTATGGAATATTTTCACGGGATAGACTATTCTAGTGTAAAAGCTTTGCTACTTCAGCACTTTAAATATGTCATGCTATTCTCTCCTGGCCTGTAAGATTTCCACTGAAAATCTGCTGCCAGACGTACTGGAGTTTCATTGTATGCTGTTTCTTTTTTCTTGCTGCTTTTAGGATCCTTTATTCTTAATTTTTGGGAGTTTGATTATTAAATGTCTTGAGGTAGTCGTCTTTGGGTTCAATCTGCTTTGTGTTCTGTAACCTGGTTGTACTTGGATATTGATATCTTTATAGATTTGGGAAGTTCTCTGATCGTATTCTTGAAACTTTCTACCCCTGTCTCTTTCTCTCTTTAAGGCTAACAACTCTTAGATTTGCCCTTTTCAGGGTGTTTTCTAAATCTTGTAGGCATACTTCATTCTTTTTTGTCTTCTCTACATATTTTCAAATTGCCTATGTTCAAGCTCAATAATTTTTTCTTTTGCCTGATCAGTTTTGCTATTAAGAGACTGATGCATTCTTCAGTATGCCAATTGCTTTTTTAACTTCAATTTCTGCTTGATTCCTTTTAATTATTTCAACCTCTTTGTTTGATTTATCTGATAGAATCTGAATTCCTTCTCTATTTTATCTTGAATTTGTTTCCTCAACACAACTATGTTGAATCATCTGTCTGAAAAGTTACTTATTTTGTTTCTCCAGGATTGGCCTCTTATGCCTTATTCAGTTTGTTAGGTGAGGCCATATTTTACTGGATGGTCTTAATGTGTAGATGTTCATCTGTGTCTTGGCATTGAAGAGTTAGGCATTTATTGTAGCCTTCGCAGTCTGGGCTTTGTGTCCACCCTTGTTGGGAAGGCTTTCCAGAATTTGAAGGTACTTGGATCTCAAACTCAATAACGTTGTTCTTGCAGACTCATAGAGGTACCATGTGGTTGGTCTTGGTTAAAATCGATGAATTATCTGGATTACCAAGCAGAGACTCTTGTTCTCTTCCCTTAGTTTCTTCCAGACGAATGGAATTTCTTTCTCTATGCTGAGCTACCTGGAGCTGGGGTGGGATGACATAAGCTTCCCTGTTGCCCCCACCACTGGGACTGTGCTAATTTAGACTTGAAGTGAGCACAGCACTGGGTGTCACCCAAGGCCCAGTGTAATTACTGCCTGGCTACCACCTAAGTTTACTCAAGACCTTAGGCCTCTACAATCAGCAGGTGGTAACCAGCCAGGTTTGTGTCTCCTCAGGGCAGTGAGTTCCCTTTGGCCCCAGGTAGGTTCAGAGATATTGTGTGGGAGCCAGGTATTGAAGTCAGAAGCCTTATTTATCTCGTGTTCTATTCTACTGCAGCTAAGCTGGCATTCAAATTACAAGACAACATCCTTACCACTCCTCCCTCCCCTTTCTGCAGGCAGAGGAGCCTCACAATGTGTCTGCCACCACCACCAGCCCACAGGGGTTTCCACTGGGCTATCACTGATGTTCACTCAACACCCAAGCACTCTTCAGTCAGCTTATGATGACTGCTTCCACAACTGGGACTTACTCTTTGGTGCAGGGCAGGTCCAGAAATGCTGACTCAGGGACCCTAAGAGTCTGCTTGGTGCTCTACCCCACTGTGGCCAAGCTGGTACCTCAGGTGCAAGACAGAATCCCATTTACTTTTTCCTCTGCTTTGCTCAAACAGAAGGTGTCTTTCACTATACCCACCACAGTGGGAAATGTTCTGGGTCACACCTGAAGCCAGCACATCTCGGAGTCCAATGTTCATGATGTGTTATTGGGGTACCACTGTAGGTTATTCAGAGACCAGCAGCTCCTAAGTCAGAAGGTGATGAATCCTGCCAGGTCTCTGCTGTGATAGGGCAGCACTGGGTTCATTGTAGTCCCCTAGTCACTGTGCTCTCCGTCTCCCAAATGAACAGATTTCTCCCCGCCATGCAGATGCTGCTGAGGGGCAAGGGCAAGGTGGCACAAGCACTCCCTTTCCTTCACTGTTGGTGTCTTAGTAGTTCACGTGCCACTTTATTGTAGTAAAGTTTGTATATCAATTGAGAAAACACGGCCTCAGGTTTTTCACTCAACTGTTGTTGTATTCTCAACTTAGCATAATTTTGTATATTAGATTTGTAAAATATATGTACCTGAATATAGTAATTGGAATTCTTAAAATTTTTATATCTTTCAGATGTGTTTTCGCATTATAACAAGGACCTGTTGACAGAGCACTGCACAGAAGCTTCATTCCAAAAAGTGATATCGAGGAGACATGGGAGCTGTGATCTTGAGAATTTACATTTAAGAAAAAGGTGGAAAAGGGAGGAGTGTGAAGGGCACAATGGATGTTATGATGAAAAGACTTTTAAATATGATCAATTTGATGAATCCTCTGTTGAAAGTTTGTTTCACCAGCAAATACTTTCTTCTTGTGCCAAAAGCTATAACTTTGATCAATATAGGAAGGTCTTTACTCATTCATCATTGCTTAATCAACAAGAGGAAATAGATATTTGGGGAAAACATCACATATATGATAAAACTTCAGTGTTATTTAGGCAGGTCTCTACTCTAAATAGTTACCGAAATGTTTTTATTGGAGAGAAAAATTATCATTGCAATAATTCTGAAAAAACCTTGAACCAAAGCTCAAGCCCTAAAAATCATCAGGAAAATTATTTTCTAGAAAAACAATACAAATGTAAAGAATTTGAGGAAGTCTTTCTTCAGAGTATGCATGGGCAAGAGAAACAAGAACAGTCTTACAAATGTAATAAATGTGTAGAAGTTTGTACCCAGTCATTAAAACATATTCAACATCAGACCATCCATATCAGAGAAAACTCATATAGCTATAACAAATATGATAAAGATCTTAGTCAGTCATCAAATCTTAGAAAGCAGATAATCCATAATGAAGAGAAACCATACAAATGTGAAAAATGTGGGGATAGCTTAAACCATAGTTTGCACCTTACTCAACATCAGATCATTCCTACCGAAGAGAAACCCTGTAAATGGAAAGAATGTGGCAAGGTCTTTAACCTTAACTGTAGTTTATACCTTACTAAACAGCAGCAAATTGATACTGGAGAAAACCTTTACAAATGTAAAGCATGTAGCAAATCTTTTACTCGTTCCTCCAATCTTATTGTGCATCAGAGAATTCACACTGGAGAGAAACCATACAAATGTAAAGAATGTGGCAAAGCCTTTCGCTGTAGTTCATACCTTACTAAACATAAGCGAATTCATACTGGAGAGAAACCTTATAAATGTAAAGAATGTGGAAAAGCTTTTAACCGTAGTTCATGCCTTACTCAACATCAGACAACTCATACAGGAGAAAAACTTTACAAATGTAAAGTATGTAGCAAATCTTATGCTCGTTCTTCAAATCTTATTATGCATCAGAGAGTTCATACTGGAGAGAAGCCTTATAAATGTAAAGAATGTGGCAAAGTCTTTAGCCGTAGTTCTTGCCTTACTCAACATCGGAAAATTCATACTGGAGAAAATCTTTACAAATGCAAAGTATGTGCTAAACCTTTTACTTGTTTCTCAAATCTTATTGTGCATGAGAGAATTCATACTGGAGAGAAACCCTATAAATGTAAAGAATGTGGCAAAGCCTTTCCTTATAGTTCACACCTTATTCGACATCATCGAATTCATACTGGAGAAAAACCATACAAATGTAAAGCATGTAGCAAATCTTTTAGTGACTCCTCAGGTCTTACTGTGCATCGGCGAACTCATACTGGAGAGAAACCCTATACATGTAAAGAATGTGGCAAAGCCTTTAGTTATAGTTCAGATGTTATTCAGCATCGGAGAATTCATACTGGCCAGAGACCCTACAAATGTGAAGAATGTGGCAAAGCCTTCAACTATAGGTCATACCTCACTACACATCAGAGAAGTCATACTGGAGAGAGACCCTACAAATGTGAAGAATGTGGCAAAGCCTTCAACTCTAGGTCATACCTCACTACACATCGGAGAAGACATACTGGAGAGAGACCCTACAAATGTGATGAATGTGGTAAAGCCTTCAGCTATAGGTCATACCTCACTACACATCGGAGAAGTCATAGTGGAGAGAGACCCTACAAATGTGAAGAATGTGGCAAAGCCTTTAACTCTAGGTCATACCTCATTGCACATCAGAGAAGTCATACTAGAGAAAAACTTTAAAAATGTAAAACATGGAGCAGATTTTTTACTTGTTACCCATGTCTTATTGTGCATCAGATAATTTATATGGGAGTGAAACCCTACAAATGTTAAGAATGTGGCATAACCTTTAACTATTTTCAAGCCTTACACAATAGCAGAGAATATAAACTGAAAAAATCCATACAAATATTAAAAATGTGGCAAATTATTTTAAACTGTGCTCAACCCTTACTCAAGATAATCCATACTAGAGAAACACTATAGATGTAAAAATGTGAAAAGTTTTATTCAAAATATCAAACTTATGAGTCACCTAGGGGTTCATAGAAAAAGGAAGTTTGCAGATGCAATAAATGTGAGGAAGTATTTAATAAAAAATGAAGTCTAAATGTGTCAGAGAATTTATGTGAGAAAGGACTAAAGCACAGACACTTTCAGCCTTTATACTAAATAAGAGTATTTTTTGTACAGAATAATCTAAAGGCAAAATAATTAGATAATTTATTTGCTTATATGTTTTAAAGTAGCAAGAACATTGATGTTTTGACAGGTATATTTCATAGATACTTCATTTGTATTTACAGTATTTGAGGTTTTTGGAAAGCAAATATTATTTATATAATTCAGCTTTCAAATCTGTTGCTGCTTTTCCTTAATCCGTGGTGTTCATGTGAAAATATGTGTTCTGTTTTTTTTTCTGCATCAGAACAATGTGAGGTCATTCTACGTTAATATCATTAATATCAGCATTTTTCATGGAAGTTTAATGCCAAATGTAAAACACATGAAAATTTTTAAAAATATGCTCTTTGTGTTTGAATAAAGTAGTAATGCATGTAAACATATACGTGTTTAGAGCTCTTTTCTATATTAAAGTAAGAGGGATATTCTGAATTTTTGAAATTACTTCAATTCCTCCATAAGTTTTTTTTTTTTTTTTTTTTTAAAAAGACTTCATTTAAAGCAGAGGTCCCCATTCCCAGGCTGTAGACCAGTTACTGGTCTGTGGCCTGTTAGAAACTGAGCTGCACCAGTAGGACATGAGTGGTGGGTGAGCAAGCATTACCACCTGAGCTCTGCCTCCTCTCAGATGAGTGGTGGCATTAGATTTTCATAAACCCTATTGTGAACTATGCATGTGAGGGATCTAGGTTGTGTGCTCCTTAGGAGACTCCAACTAATGCCTGATGACCTGAGGCAGAACATTTTCATCCCAAAACCATCTCTCTCCTTGCCAGTTTGTAGAAAAATTGTCTTCCATGAAACCAATCCCTGGTGCCAAAAAGGTTAGGACCACTGAGTTGAAGTACTAACATATCTTTAAAACAGAATAAAGTAGGAGTCTTTAGTATTATTTGATGTGATAGAATACATAGTGAAAAAGTTGAGTATTTGATGTGATGAGAATAACATCTTCACCTGTATCAGGGAAATGTGAAGATAATTCCTATCAACATTCACTAAATAATTAGCCTCACTTTAAAAAAACGTAGAAAACAGAACTGCAAGATTAGTATATTGGAAAAAAAGAATGCTTCTTGAGTACTTGTAACTGTATTTTGACCAGGAAGAATATAGTGGATTTTAAAATGCTGTAGACTATGGGTGAACTTAATTTCTTTTAATAAAATGAGTTGGTTTTTCATGTTTTAACACTGATGTACAATGAATGAAATGTTGTACTGACACCAGTGTTAAACTATTCCATCTTATCTAAGATTGTGGTTAACAGATGGAAATAATATACTATGGGTTAACAGTGAAATGTCTTCCCTAATATTCCTTTTGCTGGAGGACTTAAACTTTCAATAATTTGGAGAATAGTTTTCTCATAGTGACTATCTTAATAATGATTAGATAAGGCAGGTAAGATTGAAAGGCCACAACTTAGCAGCAAATGTTTTACATTCATTTGAGAGCCAGTTTGTAAGTAGTTCACCAAAAGATGTTGGGTTAAAGCAGTGGTTTGAATTAATTGCATAGCATTCATATAACAGAATACAACTCAGCCTAAAGCTCACACCCTATATGAATCTCATAGACCTCGTAAGTGAAAAAAGGTAGACATAAAATTGTGTTTTGTATATTTATGTATTGTATTATTTCAGGCAAAATAAACCTATGGTGAAATAAACACATTGATAGCCTCTGGCTGAGGAAGAAAAGATAGGTGCCTGGGACAAAACACGAGTGAATTTTCTGAAGATGATGAAAATGTTCTGTTTCTAAACTAGGTGAAGGTCGTAAGGGTTTATTTGTCAAAAATTTACAACTAGAGTTTGCGTCAGCCCATTGGTGCTGCAGAGTCTGTTTCCTTTGGGTTGGGACCTCATTCCTTTGAGTTGGGACTTCACCTCATTCAAGTCCTGGCAGAGTCACTAGAAGAGATGTGATGATCTTGTCCCAGACCCCAAGAGTGGGTTCTTGAATCTCACACAGGAAAGAATTCTTGGTGAGTTGCAGAGTGTAGTAAAGTTTATTAGAGACTACTCAGTTACAGAGTAGGGCATCCTCAGAAAGCAGGAAGAGGAATGCCTTGCAATGAGAAGAGATAGTTTATTGAAAGCTCCTCTGTTAGAGTAGGCCTTCCTCAGAAAGCAAGAGGAGAAATGCACCCATTTCAAATGGTTATATAGGTTATTAAGAATGGTATACTTTATTACAGAGGATTCTAATCAGCTTATGACAGGCTATTAGTATTGTTACTTTTCTATGTTACTATTGATTTCAGCAAGAATTTATGAGTACTATTTTTAAAGCAAAACATACTTAAACTAATAATGCTTTTTCTTAAAGTACTGGGACATTTTCTTAAGTTTTGAGTTCTTATTTAGTTGATTAACATCATTAACTCAGTGTTTCAACCATAAACATCTTGTGACCAAGAGTGCCCAGCCCCCTCGGAAAGTAATCCAGCAGGTTTGGCATTTTTTTTTTTTTTTTCTTGAGACAGAGTCTCGCTGAGTTGCCCAGGCTGGACTGCAGTGGTGCAATCTCGGCTCACTGCAATCACCGCCTCTTGGGCGTAAGCCATTCTCCTGCCTCAGCCTCCCGAGTAGCCGGGATTACAGGTGCCCGCCACCACACCCGGCTAATTTATATATTTTTAGTAGAGACAGGGTTTCACCATGTTGGCCAGGCTGTTTTTGAATCTCTGACCTCAGCTGATCTGCCCACTTCAGCCTCCCAAAGTGTTGGGATTACAGGTGCGAGCCACTGTGCCCGGCCATAGGTTTGGCTTTACCTGGCCTTTATTCAAGATAGGGCCTCTAGTTAGGATACTTCTGGCAGAATTAGCATGATTGTTATCTGAGAGTGGTCTATCACACTGCAGTGAGGAAGGGTGTTGAACAGCGACTAAGGTGTAATGGCTGCTCATTTGGCTACAGAGGTCCAGCTAGCAGCAAAAGTATAATGACTTGAGTAGGAATTACAGTTAGGAAAAGGATTTTTAAAGAGCTCTATAGTCCAAAGTTGACTTAATAAAAACTGATATTTACTCTACGTACATACACATATGCATGGTTTTAAGATCTCCTCTCTCTGTAAAAGTCAAATGAATTCTGTTTCTCCATTTACTTCTGTCTGTCCTTCCTCTTGCCACTCCAAATGCCACATGAGGGGAACGCCCCCCAAAAAAAGAATTCTAACAGAATTCTAGCCTAGAATCACAGAAAACAGAAAAGTTGTCACAGTCTCCTCCTCTTGGGAGGAAACTGCTTTTTCTCATGAGGCCCTCAGAGTTGTAAGCAGAGAGATCCCTCTCAGGTCTAACACTCTGCTCTTTCTTGTATTGCATTACTTGATCTCCTTGGCTTTGGGGGATACCAGAGATTACATTGTACTATGAGAGAACTTGACTAGGTGGATGTAATTGCTGGTGAGTCACTGGCAAGAGCTATGGTGTTAGAGGGCTGACAGCAGTCGCTTACAGTAAATGTTTATTACTCTAGGGAGTTGCTTATTTCTTTGGGTGTTTGGATAGAAAAAGTATGGTTTAGAATGTAGAGGCTACAGAAACAGCCCCCAAGCCACCCCACCGAGGGGTAAGACACCCATGTGGGATGCAGTAATCATAGTGTGTGCTGGCATAGGATTGCCTACCAACCTCAAATGAATGTCCCTCTACTGAGGTGCACTATGGAATCATTGAACTGCCCAGTCCTCTGGCATGGCATTTCTTTTGGGGGCTCAGAATTCAATGTAAAAATGGGATTCTTGATTTGGGAGAATCTAAGTGTTATGCCTTCCAGCTGCTCCTGCTTTGCACATATTTAAATATTAAGCCCTAAAAACTGCATGCTTCCTTTGCTTTATTTATTAAGTGGCTCCACCCTGAAGCCAGTAATCTAAAAAACACACTACGTTAAAAAGCCCATCTAGCCAACTAAATCAGTCTCCAAAATGTGCAACTTTCCGACATTTAGCTGGCTGTTTTGCTTCTCTTTGTTAAAACACACACACACACACACACACACACACACACACACACACACACACGAATACTTTTCTCCAGGACCTGGGAACAATGTATTTGAAATATAAATACGAAAAAAGATAGTACCCGATCTCACAATTTTGCAGTAAGATAGAAGCCTAATTTTATCAGGCACTTAATTCCAAGTTGCAAAACAATTTTCTGTCACAAAAGTTGGAAGTTTATTTTCCCCCCCGGTTTTTTTTTTGAGACGGAGTCTCGCCCTGTCGCCCAGACTGGAGAGCAGTGGCACAGTCTCGGCTCACTGCAAGCACCGCCTCCGGGGTTCACGCCATTCTCCTGCCTCAGCCTCCCGAGTGGCTGGGACTACAGGCACCTGCCACCACGCCCAGCTAATTTTTTGTATTTTTAGTAGAGACGGGGTTTCACCGTGTTAGCCAGGATGGTCTCAATCTCCTGACCTCGTGATCTGCCCGTCTCAGCCTCCCAAAGTGCTGGGATTACAGGCGTCAGCCACCGCGCCCGGCCTATTTTTCCTTTTAATAAAGCCAGTTATCAAACCTAGATCATCTTTCTAGTTACCAGGTGAATTTAGGATAAACTGTGCCAAATGGTGCTGTCAAATTTTCCTACTTGAGGGCTACTAATATTAATCTTGACAACACATATGTTTTATAACTCAAACCAGACTGTGATGTTTAAACACTACATGTTTTGCTTCTGATGCACATCACATTCTGGTTTGAGTTATAAAACAATTTTATCTCTCTTCTACCTTTGTGGGGAGGCATTCTAGGTTGGGAGGCAATGTTGTTTTAATTATATTTCCCAAGCACTGTTCAGAATTACAAGATCAAATATAAACATAAAAGGTACCGATCAGGTTTCATACTAGAAGGGACTTTGGCAGATACCCATCAAATTTTCTTTCAGGCTTTCTTCCCCCAAGCCACAATTGTTCAGTGAAGATCTTGCCTGCCCTCAAAATGTGAATGCAGTATGATCTTGCTGCCTATTTTGGGCTCTGCAGTTTCATCTGGGGCATAGTTAGAAAAGATTTGTAATAAAATAACCTCATAAAGTGGCAATCATCCGTTCCAGCCCTGTCTTTCAATGTACCTGGGGACTTTATAACAGAAATTGATTCAGAGAACATGGGGCCTGGTAGCACAGACATGTACCTGCGCATTGAGTTGGCCTCTTCCACTTCCCTGTCTCTCTGGGAACCTAAATCTGCACCACTAAATTTTGAATGCAGTATCTGGGGCTCTTCAGAATGCTCTATAGCAGCCTTCCTGGAAGGAATCTCTTTTCCTCTTGTCTCTTCTTGCTGTAAAACCCAAGAATACAGAACAGATGCGATCCCTCATAGAATTTGCACACAAGGGGAATTTGCCTCCCCGTGAGATTCATAAAACAGGGCCAGCCTTCAGTCTGAGGATTACAGAAAATCCAGGGCAGACCTTTCTTGTATCATGAGAGATCAATACAGACCCTATAAAGCAGGAGGATCACTCAGGTTGGGGCCTGTAGAATCTTTTATATCTTGTTCACCAACCTGCTGCCATTGTGTGAGGAGCTTCTGGTGGTCAATGCAGAATCTATAAGTGTAAACAAGCATTAACATCAAAACTACAACTTCCAGGGACACCAGAACCTGCCTTGTTTAGAATGTTAAATATATCTTTTCCAAAAAATTGATAATATTTGATTATCTAATCAAAATATTATAACTATACATTAAACCTTACATAGAAAGATGTTAAAATTCTGTTAAACTTTCTTGAATTTTGTTTAAATGATCTTAAAATTCTACACTTTGGAATACTGACTTCCATTCTTTAAAATCTGTGCTTTTCTAGGCAGTCTATCCTAAATGTTTGTATTTAAATAAAGTCTTTTAGATTCTAATCTTTCTGATGACTTTAGGTTGACGTAACTATAGTCACAATCTTGTGAAAGAAATCTCAAAAACATATTCCTCTTTTGGCTTTCTCATAAACGGTTTGGCCACAGAGTCAAGGAGAGAACATTGGAGTGTCTGAGAGCGTGGGTCTTGACTAATTTTAATCAGCGTTCCTGGGCACAGAGGACATACCCTCCATTTCATTCCTGATGTAATATTTGATGTAGTTCATGTTACTATAATCTTGTTACTGTGATCCACCAAAATATGAGGTTAAAAGACCTTTCAATCTTTTAGGAAGAAAAAGTGTTATATTTTCCTCATCTTTTTGGGTTTCGTGGTCAGAAACATGCACTGGCAGACAGGATTTTTAAAGTTTCCAATAATTTGTAGCTCAGGATTTGTGTCCAGTGTTTTTCTGTCTCCTACCTCTGCAGCTGCCTTCTCTGACTCATGTTTTTCTCACATGAGCTGAGAATAAAATGTCTTGAGATTGGGAGTGTCCATGACTTGCGATGCATCTTACTCTGTTTAATGAATAGTAGATGCATGTCTGTTTTTTGACGGCATCTAAAATATCATAATTATTATCTTGCCATTTGTGCATTTTACACAAATATTTAATAAAACTGTTATTAGCCAGGAAGGGCAATTCCCTTTTCTGATATTGCTAGCTGTGTTTCTTGGGTTGCCACTATTGCCACTGAATGAAAAAAACCTTTTCTTCACCTAACCAGGTAATCTGCAGTTCTCATAATCGCTTTGTGCTATTGATGAGCAGTCATATGTTTTTCAATGCTATTTATAAAGTACGGTAAAATCGATGAGGAATATGATGCTTTCGATTGTTATACTAATAAAACACAGGATATTTTGTGATATATAGCTATACTTAAATATGTCAGGAAGAATGCAAGTAACTATTAAAATAATATTGTTAATAAAATGATGTAGAATTCCAAATCCTGGCTCATGAATGTGATGTACAGCTGAGGCCAAACAGTGTCACCGGTGCCTGGAGATAGAGGAAGGTTTATTCAATGGGGCCAAAGTAAGAATGTAGGAGAGAAAATTTCTCAAATCCATCTGAAAAAACAAAGCAGCATCAGGGGATGTTTATTCAGCCAGAAGATAAGGAAGGGGGAGATTAAGGGAATTGAGGGGAAAAGTGTGTATTTCTTCAGTCTCAGATAACATCTTGGCCAACAAGACTTCTCGGTGTCAACAGCTGGTAACAATGTCCTTCAAGGCATGTATTTCTTCTGCAAAATGTTTCTGTGACCCTCCTGCTTGAAAAAGAAAATTATCTCTTCCTGCTTGACAACAGTATATCAACAATTTATAATTTTATTGTAGAAACAAGGGATGCTGGCTTTTGTGCAAGCAAGCAAAGGTTTAATTAGAAATTTCATTATTTCAGTCGCTAAAAATGCTGGGGTGCTGAAATCTCAAGGGGCTTGGTTATAATAATACAACACTAAACAATAGCTATTATTATAAAACTGAGGAAATAAGTCTTATAAAACTTTATTTTTGTCTAAGGTAACATTCTGTAATACAAAATAACATTGGTTTTGGAAATGGCTTCTTTCTTTGAAGTCATTTTTTTTTTCAGACATTTGATCTAAGCACATAGACTTTATGATTAGCTTTTAGTTCCTGGTTCACTTGATGATGTTTTTCCTGACATTTCCATGATTGCATGGAAGCTTTTGGGCTTGCAATATCATAAACAAGCTAAGATGAAAGTGAGAATAAGGAAGATGAACTTGTTCTGCATTATCCGTCTCTGAGAGTACCCAGGGGCTTCACCCTCAGCCTGAGGACAAACTGTCACTGTTCAGAGCAATCTGAGATGTGCATTCAAATACATATATTTGTATGGTATCAGATGGCACCCAATTCTCCTCCATGCTCCTTCCAATCTATATGACCTCTATGGATTTTTCTTCTTTTGCTTTTC
The DNA here is from genome assembly GCF_000001405.40 of Homo sapiens. Lineage (NCBI taxonomy): Eukaryota > Metazoa > Chordata > Mammalia > Primates > Hominidae > Homo > Homo sapiens. The sequence goes on from NC_000016.10 coordinate 31,924,771, forward strand.
TCCTAGGTCTGCATCATGTTTTCAGATCCTATGATTATTTCATGTTGGCGTTGATGGATTCAGCAAGTAAAACTACCAGACACACAGTTACATCTAAAAAGCAGAAAGACAACTACTAACTCTGTAGTATAAGTATTTGGATACTCTATATGTAATTCATTATCTGAAATTTATTTAACTGACTATCTTTTACTTTATTTGTTAACTCCAATCTGTGAGAAACATAGTCCTCTCTAGTCCAGGCTCAACACCAATGCCCTCCAGAGTCTCCTTGGAGAGGGAGGGCTCATGCTGATGTAGGAGAAACACTTTTTTATTAGTACATCAGAGTTATTTAGAGTGAAGAGCATACATTAGAGGTGATGAACTGGATATCCCATGTGGTAAGAGAAGAAAATATTAAAATTTTAATCTTTTCTATTATTTTTATCTCTTTTGGGTATATGAACTATCATATAAGAGGATAAAAATAAAATAATTCAGATATAAAGTTATTAAATAATTTCATGAATATTAGCATTTTATGTCCAAATATTGTTTTACTTGTATGGGTTTGTGAACCTTAAGATGTGGAGACCATTGAGCCTTTAAGGCAATATTCTTCTGGCAATTCTCTGGCTTCTTATTGTTAGCAGACTTCTGAATGATTCTACTCCGAGGTCATGCCAAGATGGTCTTCTGTTGTTGGATAAAGTCCTCTATCAGGGAAGAAATAAGTTTATTGGGCTGTGTTTTCTTGTTATCTGGGGGATTGAAAAACACTAAGTGTTGGTCTCTGTTTTTCTCAGTTGAGTTAGGGGAATAACATGCATTGCCACAAAACAATTCCTTCAGTTCTGGAGTCCTTAAGCAGACTGTCTTCTTCATACCACCTTTCAGAGCTCTCCTTTCAAGGCTTCCTGTGTGATTTTCAAGGTTTATAGCTGTAGTTAGTGGAGAAATGCAGGGGGAAATGGGTCTGTTATAAGAAAAATTTTAGACTGTAATATTTCCCTGTCCCACAATCTGGAAGGGAGCCGAGACTAAATAATGATCCAGACCAATCCAGCTTGGCAAGTAGATAAGTGTGTTAAGACTTACATGTGGGACCCTCCTAGGAGGCAGCAGGACAGCGTTAGAGTCCACATCACCTCCCATCTCTAAGCTGCTTTTAAGCACTTTTACAGCTTTTTGCCTACCATGTGTGTATCATGGGACTCTCCCTTGGTATGTTCTCAGATACTCTCTAGGATGTTTGCATTCTCAGAAACACCTGCTCCTCAGCTGGTCCCCATGGCCTTGGCTCACTACCTGGCCTTCAGTGCTCAAGCAGTGGATATACACCTTTAAGTTATCTAGTGGAGGACTTGTCACACTATAGGGTCTACATCATCCTTTCCAAACTCAAAGTTTCTACTCACAGACTTTTTTGTTGACTAAGGATTCTTCTGACATCCTGAACTAATTTAAGATTGCCTGGAAAGTCTTCCAACAAATCAGTAATAAAATGTATTCCTTATATCCTATGTCATCTTGAACATAATGGAATACATGGCCCAAAAAAACTCACCAGTGTTAGCCCACCAGCGTTGTAGTACCACAAAACAAGAGAAACATGATAATATAAATAAAGAAACTGAGTGTGCTGCCTTCTATTGCATTATAACAACATCAGCAAATGACTGACACCCTCTCCCCTGATTTTCAGGCATTAAAATTAGGGTTCTGTGGGTTAATCTTATATCAATATGGAGGGCTCTTTCTTTTTGATGACATTACCATTTAAATTTGTAATCTTTGAGTAAGCAGATTGTCCTACATACTGCGGGTTAGGCCTCATCCAATCATTTGAAGGTTTAAATAAAACAAAAAAGCCAGCCTTCCTGAGCAAGAGAAATATCTCCATTAGATCGCTTTTGTACTTTATCTGCACCATTAACTATGTCAAATTTTCCTCAAAATTAAAACTGGAATTGCCCTCTCAGATCTCAGTCTTAATCTTCTCAGCCCACATTGCAGATTTGGACTTGCCAGTCTCCATAATCAAATGAGCCTGTGTGTGTACATATATATATACACACACATACATGTATATGTATATTATATACTATATTATCATACACAAACATACACACGTGTGTGCATGTGTGCATGTTATCATATAGTATATAATATGTATTATAAGTATTGAATTATACACTACATATATTAAGGTTAAATGAATTCATAAGGGAGAGCCCTTATTCTGGTAGGAATGGTATCTTTATAAGAAGAGGAAGGGACACCAGAAAGCTCTTTCTCCACACACAGAGAGGAAAGCTATATGAGAACACAGAAGGGAGCCTCCAATAAGCCAGGAAGAGACGAGTTACTGGAAACCAACCCTGCATAATAGGACCTTGATCTTGGACTTAAAGCATCCAGAATTGTAGAAAAATAATTGTATGCTGTTTAGTCCATCCAGTTTGTGGTACTTGTTATGAAAACTTGAGATAATTTATACAATATACCATTGGCTCTATTTCTCTAAAGAATCTTGGCTAATACAGATTTTGGTACTAAGAGTGGTTTTATAGGAATGACCTGGATAAATCTTATTTTTTGGTTCTGAAGTTTCTGTATTGGGCTCAATAATTTGATTAAATTCAGACACTATTAATTATTTCCAGTAGTAATAAGAGCATTGATAGTGCATGTCATGACATGGCAAAAAAGGTGCAGAATATTGCCATTGAATACCCCTAATGAAGCATTTTTAGAATCAAGAACCTGGACAACCATGCCTATAATACTTTGAAACATTTTTGTCAAAATAAAAATATATGAATATTGACTGGTTGTTTGTAATGTCCGTGGACAAAGTGGGGAAAGAAAAGAATGAGCTCAGAAAAAAAAATGTGTATGCCAAATTCCACGTTCATGACCTTAAAGCTTCTATGTCTGCCATGAAGATGCTTATCTCCAGTAACCACAAGGCCAAGATTGCTGAAAACCAAATGCAGAATCTCATCCTGTGAGTACCTGAATTACAACACAAATTAAATTACCAGACTAGTGTCATGTCAAATATCAAAATGACGACAGAAGAGAATGGGAACCTATATTCAGCATTCTTAAAGAAAATAATTTCTGACTAATAATTTTATATCCAGCCAAATTAAGCTTCATAAGTGAAGGAGAAATAAGATCCTTTTCAGGCAAGCAAATACTAATGAAATTTGTTACCACCAGACCTGCCTTACAAGAGTTCCTGAAGGGAGTGCTACATATGGAAATAAAAGACTGTTATCAGCCATTATAAAAACACATTTGAATACATAGACCAGTGACACTATAAAGCAACCACACAAACAAGTCTGCATAGTAGCCAACTAACAACATAACAGGATGAAGTCTGCACATATCAATATTAACCTTGAATGTAAGTGAGCTAAATGCCCCAATTAAAAGGCATAGAGTAACAAGTTAGACAAAGAAGCAAGACCCAATGGTATGCTGTCTTTGAGGGAAACATCTCACATGCAATGATACCTGTAGGCTCAAAGAAAAGGGATGAAGAAAAATCTACCAAGCAAACAAACAAACAAAAAGCCTGGGGTTGCTATTTAATTCCAGACAAAATAGACTTCAAACTAACAAAGATCAAAAAAGACAAAGAAGGACATTACGTAATGGCAAAGAACTCAATTAAACAAAAAGACCTAACTATCCTAAATATATATTCATGCATCACAGGAGCACCCAGGTTCATGAAGCAAATTCTTACAGACCTGTGAAGAAACTTAGATAACCACACAGTAATAGTGGGAGACTTCAACAACGAATTCAGAGTTATTAGACAGATCATTGAGGCAGAAAACTAACAAAGGTATTCAGGACCTGAACTCGACACTTGACCAAATGAACCTAATAGAGATCTACAGAACTCTCCACCCCCAAACACCAGAATACACATTCTTCTCATCTGCACATGGCACACACACTCTAAGACTGACTGCACAATTAGATATAAAATAATCCTCAGCAGATTTTTAAAAAATCATACCAACCACAGTCACAGACCAGAGAGAAAGAAAAATACAAATTAATACTAAGAAAATTGATCAAAACCATACAATTACTTGGAAATTAAACAACATGTTCCTGAATGACTTTTGGGTAAACAATGAAATTAAAGCAGAAATTATGAAATTCTTTGAAACTAATAAAGATACAACATACCAGAATCTCTGGAACACTAAAGTAGGGTTAAGAGAGAAACTTATACACTAAACACCCACATCAAAAAGTTACATCTGAAATTGACAACCTAACATCACAACTGGAGGAACTAGAGAAACAAGAACAAACCAACCCCAAAGCCAGCAGAAGACAAGAAATAACCAAAATCAGATCTGAACTGAAGGAAACTGAGATTTAAAAAAACCCATATAATAGATCAATAAATTCAGAAGTTGGTTATTCGAAAGAATTAATAAGATAGATTGACTACTAGCTAGAAGATTAAATAAAAAAGAGAAAAGGTTCAAATAAACAATCAGAAAAAAATGGGACATTACCACTGATGCTGCATAAATACAAAATACCCTAAGAGACAACTACAAACTTATGTACATAAAAGCTAGAAAACCTAGAAGAAGTAGATACATTCCTGGAAACATACAACCTCCCAAGACTGAACTGGGAAGAAAGTGAATCCCTGAACAGACCAATAATGTGTTCCAAAATTGAATCAGTAAGAAAATACCTACCCACCAAAAAAATCCCAGGACCAGATGGATTCACAGCAAAATTTTATTAGATGTGTAAAGAAGAGCTGGTACCATTCCTACTGAAATTATTTTTAAAAATTGAAGATAAAGGACTCTTCTCTAACTCATTCTGTGAGGCCAACATTATTATCATATCAAAACCTGGCAGAGATACAGCAAAGAAAGAAAACTTCAGGCCAATATTCCTGATGAACATAGATAGAAATATCTTCAACAAAATACTAATAAACAGAATTTAGCAGCACATCAAAAAGCTAATTCACCATGATCGAGTAGGCTTCATCCTTGGGATGCAAGGTTGGTTCAGCATACACAAATCAAAAAAAGTGATTCACCACATAAACAGAACCCAAACCAAAAACTACATGATCATCTCAGTAGATGCAGAAAAAAACTTTTGAAAGGATTCAACGCTCCTTAATGTTAAAAACTCTAAACAAACTAGGCATTGAAGAAACATACCACTAAATAATAAAACTCTTCTATGAAAAACTCACAGCCAACATCATCCTAAATGAGTGAAAGCTAGAGGCATTCCCCTAGAGAAACAGAACAAGACAGGGATACCCTCTCTTATCACTTCTATTCAACATGATACCGGAAGTCATAGTCACAGAAATCAGCCATGAGAAAGAAATAAAAGGCATCCAAATAGGAAGAGAGGAAGTCAAACTATAACTGTTTGCAGACAATATAATTATATACCTAGGAAACCCCATAGTCTCTGCTCCAAAATTTCTAGATCTGATAAACTTCAGCAAATCTCAGGATACAAGAATCAATGGACAAAAATCAGTAGCATTCCCCTACACCAACAACATCCAAACTGACAGCGAAATCAAGAATGCAATTCTGTTCACAACAGCCACAAAAAGAAAAAATAATACCTAGGAACGCAGCTAACAAACAATGCAAAAGTTCTCCACAATGAGAATTACAAAACACCGCTCAAAGTAATTAGAGATGACACAAACAAATAGAAAAACATTTCATGCTCATGGATAGGCAGAATCAATATTGTTAAAATGGCCATACTGCCCATGACAATTTACAGATTCAATGCTATTTCTATCAAACTGCCAATGACATTCTTCATAGAATTAGAAACAACTATTTTAAAATTCATATGAAAAAAAAAAAGGCCAAATAGCCAAGGTAATCCTAAGCAAAAAGAACAAAGCTGGAGACATCACATTCCCTGACTTCAAACTATACTATACAGTGACTAAAACACCATGGTACTGGTCCAAAAATAGACACACAGAAGAATGGAACAAAACAGAGATCTAGAAATAATGCCATACACCTTTAATCTTCTCATCTTCAATAAAATTGACCAAAACAAGCAATGAGGAAAAGACTCCCAATGCAAAAATGGTACTGGGATAACTAGCTAGCCATGTACAGAAGAGTAAAACTGGACCCATCCCTTACACCATATACAAAAATCAACTCAAAGTGGAATAAATACTTAAATGTAAAATCTAAACCTATTAAAAACCCTGAAGACAACCTAGGAAATACCATTCTGGACATGGCCTTGGCAAATATTTTATGATGAAGACACCAAAAGCAATTGTAACAAAAAGAAAAATTGACAAATGAGACCTAGTTAAACTAAAGAGCTTCTTCACGGGAAAAGGAAATTATAAACAGAGCAAACAGACAATCTACAGAATGGGAAAATAGTATTTGTGAACTATGCATCTGACAAAGGTCTAATATTCCGCATATATAAGAAACTTAAATACATGTACAAGCAAAAACAAAAATGCCCATTAATAAGTTGGTAAAGGACATGAACAGACACTTCTCAAAAGAAGACACACACAGCCAACGAGCATATGAAAAAAATGCTCAACATCAGTAATCATTAGAAGAATGCAAATCAAAACCACAATGAGATACCATCTCTCACCAGTCAGAATGGCTTTTATTAAAAAGTCAAATAAAAAAAGATGCTGTCAAAGTTGTGGAGAAAAGGGAACGCTTATATACTGCTAGTGGGAATGTAAATTACTTCAGCCACTGTGGAGAGCAGTTTGGCAATTTCAGAAAGAACTCAAGGCAGAATTACCATTCAATCTCACAATCCCATTATTGGGTATATACCCAAAGGAATATAAATTGTTCTACCATAAAGACACATTCACATGTATGTTCATCACAGAACTATTCACAATAGCAAAGACATGGAATCAGTCTAAATGTCCATCAGTGATAGACTGGATAAAGAAAACATAGTACCTATACACCATGGAATACTGTACAGCTATAAAAAATAGTATCGTGTCCTTTGCAGCAACATGGATGGAGCTAGAGGCCATTATCTTAAATTAACTAGCACAGGAACAGAAAACCGAATATCACGTTTTCATTCATTAGGGGGAGATAAACATTGAGTATGTATGGATACAAAGAAGGGAACAACAGACATCAGGACCTACTTGAGGGTGGAGGGTAGGAGTAGGATGAGGACAAAAAGCTACCTCTCAGGTACTATGTTTATTACCTGGTTGATAAAAGAATCTGTATGCCAAATTCCTGTGACACACAAGTTACCTATATAACAAACCTGCACATGTACCCCTGAACCTAAAATAAACTTTTTAAAAAGAAAACAAGAAGAAAATCAAAGTAATAGAGTACAAAACCGGATACTAGAGAAGGGAGTAATGTAGGCAAAAAGGGCCAAAAACTGGTTTAGCACAGGTAGAAAATGAATAGAAAAATGAGAGAAGTCAGTCCTTTCTTGTGAGTAATTACTTTAAGATAAATGGGTTAAACTATTTAATGAAGACCACAGAATGAATAATAGAAACCATCGTCTAATCATATGCTGTCTACATAACATTGAAAAGCTCAAATAGTTTAAAAGTGAAAGAATCAAAAACGATATTACATGCAAATAGTAATCAAAGGAAAGGTGGTTAGTATACTCACATCAGAAAATAACAGGCTTCACATCAAAGTTGTAACAAGAGACAAAGACAATGTATTGATAATAGGGCCAATCCAGTAAGAAGATATAACAATTATAAGCATATGCATATATTACAGAAGAACCCTCAAATATATGAAAATATATTAAATATACAATATGTTAAAAATGGACAGAATTTAAGAGAAAATGAACAATTCTACAGTAACAAATAAATACCTCAATTCCACATTTTCAATAATAAATAGACACCAGCCATCAGGCAGAACATCAATAAGTAATAGGGGACTGGTAGAACGCTATAAACAAACTAGACCTAACAAATATGTATGAAAAACTCCACCCACCCCCACAAAAAAAGCAGAATACTTTCTTTTCAAGTGCACATGGAACAATTTCCAGGAGACATTATATATTATTAGGTCACAAAACAATTCTCAATTAATTTGAAAATGATTAAAGGAAATCAAAGAATTTTCTCTGGCCAAGTGGAATAACATGAGAAATCAATATCAAAAGGAAAACTAGAACATTTGTAATAGATTTAAATAAAACAATACACTCAAACAGAGGGACAAAGAGAAATCATAACAATTTTTTTTTTGAGATGGAGTCTCACTCTGTCACCTAGGCTAGAGTGCAGTGGCACAATCTCGGCTCACTGCAACCTCTGCCTCCCTGGTTCAAGCGATTCTCCTGCCTCAGCCTCCCGAGTAGCTGAGATTACAGGTGCGTGCCACCATGCTGAGCTAATTTTTTGTATTTTTAGTAGAGATGGGGTTTCACCATGTTGGCCAGACTGGTCTTGAACTCCTAACCTCAAGTGATCCACCCACCTCAGCCTCCCAAAGTACTGGGATTACAGGAATAAGCCACCACATCCAGCCCATAATGAGAATTTAAAAATACTTCGATACAAATGATATTAAAAATCTAACCTACCAAAATTTAAGAAATACAGCAAAAAGAGGAATCACAGGCAAATTTATAACTGTTAATGTTTCCATCAAAAAGATTTATATTAACCTAACGCTCTACCTAAATGAATAAGTAAAAGAACAAAGTAAATGTAAACTCACATGAGGAAAATAATAAAATTAGAGCTGAGATCAGATAAACACAATATTCAAAGACAAAAAACCAAAGAATTTTTGAAGATTTTTAATGTCAACAAATTTTAGCCAGATAAAGAAGGGAGAGAAGAATTAAATTAATAAAATGACTAATAAAGGATGTTACATTACTACAGGCCTTATAGAAATAAGAAGGATAAAAAGAGAATACTATGAACAGCTGTATGCCAAAAAACTAGATTAAAATAGGCAAACAAAGAAAATACAAAAAAAAGACATTAAAAATAGGAAATATAAAGAGGTAAATCTGATGCAAGAAATCAAATCCATAAACAGGAAATGCTCAACTAAGAGAAGGCCAGGCCCAGATGGCTTCACTGAGTTCTACCAAACATTTATAAAAGAATCAACTACTCTTCTAAATCTCCTCTACAGAAAGAGGAGGAGAAAACACTTCCTGACTCATTTTATGAGGTTATGACTGCCTTGATATCAAGGCTATAAAAAGACACTAGAAAATAGAAAACATCATATCAACCTCCCTTATAAATATTAATGCAAAAATCATAAGTACAATCCTAGCACACTTAATTCAGGGGATAATTAAAATGTTATATATCATAAACACATGGGATTTATTCTAGGAATGGAAAGGTGTTTCAACATAAAAAATCAATTTAATATACAATATACCACATTAACAAAAAAAGACAATTGTAATTGATGCATGATAGTCATTTTACAAAATCTAATAGCCATTAATGAAAAAAACACTCAACAAATTAGAAATAGAAGGGAGTTCTAAAACCTGATACAGGTAATTTATGAGAACCACACAGCTAAGATCATATTCAATGGTTGAACACTAAACTCTTTCTTCTTAGTATCAGGAGAAAGGCAAAAATGCCCAATTTTGCCACTTCTACTGAACACCATACTGTTCATTTTAGCCAGAACAATTGGTCAAAAAAATTAATGAAAACATCAAATTGGAAAACAAAAAGTAATATTATCTATTTCCAGGCAGACTGATATAAAAAACCTTTAAGAAAATAATAAAATAACTATTAAAACTAATTTAAAATTCAGCAAATAATATCAGCACTATAACTGTATTTTATTTCTGTATACTAGCCAGAATCATTCTGAAAAATAAACACTATTACATTTACAATAGCATCAAAAAGAATAAAATAGGTATCATCAAAATTATGGAGTAGGCAAGCTCTTATTCCCACCACAAAACCATCACAAAATAAACAAAAAAATATCCAAGCCAAACTGGACGGAACTCTATAGAACAAATCAGCCTGGAGCAATGATGCAAAGGCTGAATAAAATAAAAGACAACTTAAAAATGATAGAAAACAGAGTGTATGTTTTAAATGCAATTGCCTTATTTTCTCTCTGCCTTATCTACAGTTGTCAAGACAGCAACACGTTTTTCCAGTGTGGCATTCTAGTACATGGTCACAGAAGGAGAAGAGAAGACCCTACTCACAAATTATGTGTTTGTATGTTCAAACTTGTCTCAGGGCTACTTGAAATATTGACACAAGGCACTCATTTCTGTTTTGCATAACCAAGAAATCGGAAGAGAAAAGTAGCGATCATTGCTCAAACATTTCTTAGGAGATTAAAAACAACTGCAGCAACATAGTAACCTGGGACAAAAGATTATGACTGAGACAAAATAGACAGTTGCTATGGTTTAAATGTTTGTGTCTTCTTTAAAATTCATATTTAGCTTAATCTCCAATGCAATAGTATTGAGAGGTTGGACTTTTAGGAGGTGATTAAGTCATGAGGGTTTCTCTTTTGTAAATGGGATTAATGCCAATGTAACAGAGGCTTCACATAGTATTTGGTCCTTTTGCCCATTTGCCTTCCACCATTTAAGAACACAGCAGTAAGATGCCATGGGAAGCAGAAATTAAGTTTTATACAACACTGAACCTACCAGTGCCTTGATCCTGAACTTCTCTGCCTCCAGAAAAATAAGAAATAAGTTTCCATTATTTACAAATTACCTAGTCTCAAGTATTTTTCTATAGCAGTATAAACAGACTAAGACAATACTTTAACATCTGAGATGAAAACTGTAAAGAGAGTAAAAAGTGACATCAGAAACATGAAAGACTAGGAAGCTCCAGAGTCTGGCCCCCATGGAAACATCAAATGTACAACTACACGCTGAGTAAAATAGCTTTATAGCCATTCTAAAATCTAGTTAGACAATGTCAAGAAAAAGAAATATTTTAAATAGTAGAAATTTTTGTGTCCTTTTAACTCATTCTTTCCCCAACCCCTTCCTACATGGTGTAAGAGTCAGAGGAAGTATGGCCCAAGTCCCAGTTCCTACCATTATGAAAGCTGGAATAGCATGTAGCTTGGTTGAAATGTTTGAGTTTGTGTGTGGCCTACCCACAAGGCTGGATTCTGTCTCCCCTGACTTAAAGTTTAGACAAAGAATGGTGGCATAGCATGGATGTCAGATTAGATTCCATGGAAGGAGAGAGAACTGCTCTGAAATGCAAAAACTGCAGAGGGATAGTAAGATCCTCAGACACCTAGGAAAAAGAAATTAGAGAGGAATATAATGGGAAATCTAAGACCCTGGGAAAAAGCTTGGGTGATACCCTTTAAAAAAATTAAGAGAGTTAAATGTAGATAAGAAATACTGAAGAAAAGAATAAAAACTACAACGCAGGCCCAGATAGTTCCAGGCCTAGAAAATACCTGAGAATTCCTTATGTCTTCACCCTAGGATAAACTCAAGGCCTAGAGTCCTGCTAACTAGTAAAGGTCTTCCTTACCAGTCTACAAATAATGGGAGATGTGGCTGCTTTGCTTCATACCAATTTTTTGACAAAAGATTACAAGGCATACAAAGAAAGAGAAAAATGTGATCCATTGAAAAGGAAAAATGAATATCCACAAACTAACCCTATAGAAACATAGACATTTGGTGACTAGATAAAGACTTTAAAATAACTGTCTTAAATATGCTGAACATCTAAAGGAAAACATGGACAAATAACTAAAAGATATTAGAAAAACAATATATTAAGAAAATGAGAATATTCATAAAGAGAGATTATAAAAATAACCAAAGAGAGATACCAGAGTTGAAAAATGCAATAAGTAAATAGAAAACTTGACTACAGATGTGCAACTGCAGACTTGAATAAACAGAAGAAAGAATCAGCAAACTGGAATATAGGTAAGTTGGAATTATTGAATCTGAGGAACAAAATTATTTTAGAAAGGAATGGTGAAAAAGATTGAAGAGAACTGAAGGGACTTTAGATATATCATCAAATGGGCCAATATATGCATTATGGGTATCCCAGCATAAGTAGAGAGATAGAAAGGGACAGAAAAATTTATTTAGAGAAATACTGAATGAAAACTTCCCAAATTTCAGGAAAGACAAAAATAAACAAATACAAGTTTCATATACATTAATTAGGATAAACCCTAAGATCCACACCAATACATTTAAATCAAGCTGTTAAAAAGCAAAATAAGGATAATATTGAAAATAACAAGAGAAAAGTGATTCATTACATGCAAAGAATCACAGAAAAGATTATTGGCAGATTTCTCGGTGGAAACATTGCAGGAAGAAGGTAGTGAGATGATCTATTTAAAGGTATAAAAGAAAACAACCATAAAAACAAATAAAAACAACAGAAAACTAAACAAAAGAAAGATAAACCCAGACTTCTATATCTGGTGAAATTGTTCTTCAAAAACGAGGGATAAATTAAGACATGTGCAGGCAAACAAAACCTGGAGGGCAGTTGTTTTTTACCCTTAGATCTGCCCTGCAAAAATGCTAAAAGGAGACCCTCAGGTTAAAATGGAAGACTGGTTTATAAAAAGTACCCTAAGGCATATGAAAATGTGAAGTTATCCAGTAAAGTTAAACACATAGACAAATATTCTTAAAACTATTATAGTAATTTTGGATTCTAACTATTTTTATTTCCTAAAATTTTTTTAAAATAGCGTCCGGCAGCCAAGATGGCTGAATAGGAACAGCTCCGGTCTACAGCTCCCAGCATGAGTGATGCAGAAGATGGGAGATTTCTGCATTTCCATCTGAGGTACTGGGTTCATCTCACTAGGGAGTGCCAGACAGTGGGCACAGGACAGTGGGTGCACCGCACCATGTGCAAGCCGAAGCAGGGTGAGGCATTGCCTCACTTAGGAAGTGCAAGGGGTCAGGGAGTTCCCTTTCCTAGTCAAACAAAGGGGTGACAGATGGCACCTGGAAAATCAGGTCACTCCCACCCTAATACTGCACTTTTCCGACAGGCTTAAAAATCTGCGCACCAGATTATATCCCGCACCTGGCTTGGAGGGTCCTATGCCAACAGAGTCTTGCTGATTGCTAGCACATCAGTCTGAGATCAAACTGCAAGGTGGCAGCGAGGCTGGGGGAGGGGCGCCAGCCACTGCCCAGGCTTGCTTAGGTAAACAAAGCAGCTGGGAAGCTCCAACTGGGTGAAGCCCAACACAGCTCAAGGAAGCCTGCCTGCCTCTGTAGGCTCCACCTCTGGGGGCAGGGCACAGACAAACAAAAAGACAGCAGTAACCTCTGCAGACTTAAATGTCCCTGTCTGACAGCTTTGAAGAGAGCAGTGGTTCTCCCAGCACGCAGCTGGAGATCTGAGAACGGGCAGACTGCCTCCTCAAGTGGGTCCCTGACCCCTGACCCCCGAGCAGCCTAACTGGGAGGCACCCCCCAATAGGGGCAGACTGACACCTCACACGGCCGGGTATTCCTCTGAGACAAAACTTCCAGAGGAACGATCAGACAGCAGCATTCGCGGTTCACAAAAACCCACTGTTCTGCAGCCAGCGCTGCTGATACCCAGGCAAAAAGGGTTTGGAGTGGACCTCTAGCAAACTCCAACAGACCTGCAGCTGAGGGTCCTGTCAGTTAGAAGGAAAACTAACAAACAGAAAGGACATCCACACCAAAAACCCATCTGTACATCACCATCATCAAAGACCAAAAGTAGATAAAACCACAAAGATGAGGAAAAAACAGAGCAGAAAAACTGGAAACTCTAAAAAGCAGAGCACCTCTCCTCCTCCAAAGGAATGCGGTTCCTCACCAGCAATGGAACAAAGCGGGACGGAGAATGACTTTGACGAGTTGAGAGAAGAAGGCTTCAGACGATCAAACTAGTCCGAGCTACAGGAGTAAATTCAAACCAAAGGCAAAGAAGTTAAAAACTTTGAAAAAAATTTAGATGAATGTATAACTAGAATAACCAATACAGAGAAGTGCTTAAAGGAGCTGATGGAGCTGAAAGCCAAGGCTCAAGAACTATGTGAAGAATGCAGAAGCCTCAGGAGCTGATGCGATCAACTGGAAGAAAGGGTATCAGTGATGGAAGATGAAATGAATGAAATGAAGCGGGAAGGGAAGTTTAGAGAAAAAAGAATAAAAAGAAACAAACAAAGCCTCCAAGAAATATGGGACTATGTGAAAAGACCAAATCTACATCTGATTGGTGTACCTGAAAGTGACGGGGAGAATGGAACCAAGTTGGAAAACACTCTGCAGGACATTATCCAGGAGAACTTCCCCAATCTAGCAAGGCAGGCCAACATCCAGATTCAGGAAATACAGAGAATGCCACAAAGATACTCCTCAAGAAAAGCAACTCCAAGACACATAATTGTCAGATTCACCAAAGTTGAAATGAAGGAAAATATGTTAAGGGCAGCCAGAGAAAGGTTGGGTTACCCACAAAGGGAAGCCCATCAGACTAACAGCGGATCTCTCGGCAGAAACTCTACAAGCCAGAAGAGAGTGGGGGCCAATATTCAACATTCTTAGAGAAAAGAATTTTCAACCCAGAATTTCATATCCAGCCAAACTAAGCTTCACAAGTGAAGGAGAAATAAAATACTTTACAGACAAGCAAATGCTGAGAGATTTTGTCACCACCAGGCCTGCCCCAAAAGAGCTCCTGAAGGAAGCACTAAACATGGAAAGGAACAACTGGTACCAGCCACTGCAAAATCATGCCAAATTGTAAAGACCATCGAGGCTAGGAAGAAACTGCATCAACTAACGAGCAAAATAACCAGCTAACATCATAATGACAGGATCAAATTCACACATAACAATATTAACTTTCAATGTAAATGGACTAAATGCTCCAATTAAAAGACACAGACTGGCAAATTGGATAAAGAGTCAAGACCCATCAGTGTGCTGTATTCAGGAAACCCATCACACTGCAGAGACACACATAGGCTCAAAATAAAAGGATGGAGGAAGATCTACCAAGCAAATGGAAAACAAAAAAAGGCAGGTGTTGCAATCCTAGTCCCTGATAAAACAGACTTTAAACCAACAAAGATCAAAAGAGACAAAGAAGGCCATTACATAATGGTAAAGGGATCAATTCAACAAGAAGAGCTAACTATCCTAAATATATATGCACCCAATACAGGAGCACCCGGATTCGTACAGCAAGTCCTGAGTGACCTACAAAGAGACTTAGACTCCCACACAATAATAATGGGAGACTTTAACACCCCACTGTCAACATTAGACAGATCAACGAGACAGAAAGTTAACAAGGATATCCAGGAATTGAACTCAGCTCTGCACCAAGCAGACCTAATAGACATCTACAGAACTCTCCACCCCAAATCAACAGAATATACATTTTTTTCAGCACCACACCACACCTATTCCAAAATTGACCACATACTTGGAAGTAAAGCTCTCCTCAGCAAATGTAAAAGATCAGAAATGATAACAAACTGTCTCTCAGACCACAGTGCAATCAAACTAGAACTCAGGATTAAGAAACTCACTCAAAACCGCTCAACTACATGAAAACTGAACAACCTGCTCCTGAATGACTACTGGGTACATAACGAAATGAAGGCAGAAATAAAGATGTTCTTTGAAACCAATGAGAACAAAGACACAACATACCAGAATCTCTGGGACACATTCAAAGCAGTGTGTAGAGGGAAATTTATAGCACTAAATGCTCACAAGAGAAAGCAGGAAATATCCAAAATTGATACCCTAACATCACAATGAAAAGAACTAGAAAAGCAAGAGCAAACACATTCAAAAGCTAGCAGAAGGCAAGAAATAACTAAATTCAGAGCAGAACTGAAGGAAATAGAGACACAAAAAACCCTTCAAAAAATTAATGAATCCAGTAGCTGGTTTTTTGAAAGGATCAACAAAATTGATAGACCACTAGCAAGGCTAATAAAGAAGAAAAGAGAGAAGAATCAAATAGATGCAATAAAAAATGATAAAGGGGATATCACCACCGATCCCACAGAAATACAAACTACCATCAGAGAATACTACAAACACCTCTATGCAAATAAACTAGAAAATCTAGAAGAAATGGATAAATTCCTGGACACATACACCCTCCCAAGACTAAACCAGGAAGAAGTTGAATCTCTGAATAGACCAATAACAGGCTCTGAAATTGTGGCAATAATCAATAGCTTACCAACCAAAAAGAGTCCAGGACCAGATGGATTCACAGCCGAATTCTACCAGAGGTACAAGGAGGAACTGGTACCATTCCTTCTGAAACTATTCAAATCGATAGAAAAAGAGGGAATCCTCCCTAACTCATTTTATGAGGCCAGCATCATCCTGATACCAAAGCCAGGCAGAGACACAACAAAAAAGAGAATTTTAGACCAATATCCTTGATGAACATTGATGCAAAAATCCTCAATAAAGTACTGGCAAACCGAATCCAGCAGCACATCAAAAAGCTTATCCACCATGATCAAGTGAGCTTCATCCCTGGGATGCAAAGCTGGTTCAACATATGCAAATCAATAAATGTAATCCAGCATATAAACAGAACCAAAGACAAAAACCACATGATTATCTCAATAGATGCAGAAAAGGCCTTTGACAAAATTCAACAACGCTTCATGCTAAAAACTCTCAATACATTAGGTATTGATGGGACATATCTCAAAATAATAAGAGCTATCTATGACAAACCCATAGCTAATATCATACTGAATGGGCAAAAACTGGAAACATTCCCTTTGAAAACTGGCACAAGACAGGGATGCCCTCTCTCACCACTCCTATTCAACATAGTGTTGGAAGTTCTGGTCAGGACAATTAGGCAGGAGAAGGAAATAAAGGGTATTCAATTAGGAAAAGAGGAAGTCAAATCATGTCCCTGTTTGCAGATGACATGATTGTATATCTAGAAAACCCCATTGTCTCAGCCCCAAATCTCCTTAAGCTGATAAGCAACTTCAGCAAAGTCTCAGGATACAAAATCAATGTACAAAAATCACAAGCATTCTTATACACCAATAACAGACAATCAGAGAGCCAAATCATGAGTGAACTCCCATTCACAATTGCTTCAAAGAGAATAAAATACCTAGGAATCCAACTTACAAGGGATGTGAAGGACCTCTTCAAGGAGAACTACAAACCACTGCTCAATGAAATAAAAGAGGATACAAAGAAATGGAAGAACATTCCATGCTCATGGGTAGGAAGAATCAATTTCGTGAAAATGGCCATACTGCCCAAGGTAATTTATAGATTCAATGCCATCCCCATCAAACTACCAATGCCTTTCTTCACAGAATTGGAAAAAACTACTTTAAAGTTCATATGGAACCAAAAAAGAGCCTACATCACCAAGTCAATCCTAAGCCAAAAGAACAAAGCTGGAGGCATCACGCTACCTGACTTCAAACTACACTACAAGGCTACAGTAACCAGAACAGCATGGTATTGGTACCAAAACAGAGATATAGATCAATGGAACAGAACAGAGCCCTCAGAAACAATGCCACATATCTACAACTATCTGATCTTTGACAAACCTGAGAAAAACAAGCAATGGGGAAAGGATTCCCTGTTTAATAAATGGTGCTGGGAAAACTGGCTAGCCATATGTAGAAAGCTGAAACTGGATCCCTTCCTTACACCTTATACAAAAATTAATTCAAGATGGATTAAAGACTTACATGTTAGACCTAAAACCATAAAAACCCTAGAAGAAAACCTAGGCATTACCATTCAGGACATAGGCATGGGCAAGGACTTCATGTCTAAAACACCAAAAACAATGGCAACAGAAGCCAAAATTGACAAATGGGATCTAATTAAACTAAAGAGCTTCTGCACAGCAAAAGAAACTACCATCAGAGTGAACAGACAACCTACAAAATGGGAGAAAATTTTTGCAACCTACTCATCTGACAAAGGGCTAATATCCAGAATCTACAATGAACTCAAACAAGTTTACAAGAAAAAAACAAACAACCCCATCAAAAAGTGGGCGAAGGACATGAACAGACACTTCTCAAAAGAAGACATTTATGCAGCCAAAAGACACATGAAAAAATGCTCATCATCACTGGCCATCAGAGAAATGCAAATCAAAACCACAATGAGATATCATCTCACACCAGTTAGAATGGCAATCATTAAAAAGTCAGGAAACAACACGTGCTGGAGAGGATGTGGAGAAATAGGAACACTTTTACACTGTTGGTGGGACTGTAAATTAGTTCAACCATTGTGGAAGTCAGTGTGGCGATTCCTCAGGGATCTAGAACTAGAAATACCATTTGACCCAGCCATCTCATTACTGGGTATATACCCAAAGGACTATAAATCATGCTGCTATAAAGACACATGCACACATATGTTTATTGCAGCACTATTCACAATAGCAAAGACTTGGAACCAACCCAAATGTCCAACAATGATAGACTGGATTAAGAAAATGTGGCACATATACACCATGGAATACTATGCAGCCATAAAAAATGATGAGTTCATGTCCTTTGTAGGACATGGATGAAATTGGAAATCATCATTCTCAGTAAACTATCGCAAGGACAAAAAACCAAACACCGCATGTTCTCACTCATAGGTGGGAATTGAATGATGAGAACACATGGACACAGGAAGGGGAACATCACACTCTGGGGACTGTTGTGGGGTGGGGGTAGGGGGGAGGGATAGCATTAGGAGATATACCTAATGCTAAATGACGAGTTAATGGGTGCAGCACACCAACATGGCACATGTATACATATGTAACTAATCTGCACATTGTGCACATGTACCCTAAAACTTAAAGTATAACAATAATAAAATAAAAATAAAATAAAATAAAATAATGAGAAATGATATCATAAATCTGTGTTAACAACTACAGAAAAATAAACATGTAATTTGTGATATTAATAGAGAAGGTGACACACTAGAATATTATAGTTTTGTACACAGTTTAAGTTGGTATACATTTAAGATAGATTTTCATAGTTTTAGGATGTTGTACGCAGTTTCTATGGTAATGACAAAGAAAATATCTATAGAATATACACAAAAGGAAATGATAAGAAAACAAAAATGTATCTGTGTACAGCAAATAAAATAAGACAAAAAATGAAAGCAGATATGGAATAAATGAGGAAAAAAATTGTAAGACATACAGCAAACAATAATACAATGTAAGTTTTCCTTCTATTAGCAGTTACTTTAAGTAAAAAGTAAACTCAAATAAATGGATCCAAATTGGAAAAATAAATTTTTTTTCAATTTATAGGAAATTGGATCAAACTATACAGTGTCTGCAAGAGACTCACTTTAGATCCAAAGACAAATATAGATTGAAAGTGAAAGAATGAAAAAATACATCTCATGCAAACAGTGCCCAAAAGACAGATGGGGTGGCTCTACTCACATCCAAACAAGAAGATTTCAGTCTAAAACTATTATACAAGACAGAAAGGATGTCCTATGACAAAAAGATTCTTTTATCAGGAAGATACAACAATTATAAACACAAATGCACTGAACATCAAACGTACAAAATACAAGAAGCCAACACTGACAGAATTAAAGGCAGAAATGAACAGCTCTACAATAATACTAGGAAATGTAAATATTCCACTTTCAATAATGAAGACTCCAAATGGTGAGGAGGTGGAAGGAGAATGAATGATGAGAAGTTACTTAATGGGTACCTTGTATGTTACCTGAGTGATGACTATCTAAAAGCCCTGACTTGACCACTATGTGATCTATGCATGTAATAAAATTGCACTTGTATCCCATAAATTTATGTAAGTGAAAAAAATGAGTAGCACAACTAGACAGAGAATCAACAAAAAAATAAAGAACTTGAACAACACTATAAGCCAATTGGAACTAACAGATGTAAAAACACAACACTCCACTCAGATGGAGCAAGACGGTTGAATAGAAGCCTACACGATACTTTCCCCCAACAGGAACACCAAATTTTTACAACTACACACAAAAAAGCAACATCACAAGACCAAAAAACAAATGAGCAATCACTGTATCTGGTTTTAACTTTATATTGCTGAAAGAAGCACTGAAAAGGGTAGGTAGGAGAAACAGTCTTGAATCACCAATGCCACACCTCACCAACTTGCTGGCAGTGGCCTTGTAGCACAGAGCAAAAGTCTGTGGCTTTAGGGGAGGGAGATTGCAGCAACTGGGGGACTTTACATTGAGCTCAGTGCTTCTCTGCCACAGCAGAGAGCAAAGCCATGTTGGGCTTAGCCAGTGTTCATGAATTAGGGCCAGTCCTAGCTAGAGGGATTAGCCTATCCCAGCAGTCAAAACTTGAGCTTCTTGGCAGGCCTTTCCACTGCCAGCCAAAGTGCTCAGCGTTCCTAGGAAAACTTGAAAGACTGTCTAGAACACAAGTATTGCAATTCCTAGGCAACTCCTAGTGCTGGGTTGGTCTTAGAGCCAGTGGACTAGGGTGGCACATGAACTAGGGAGACACTAGACAGGGTGGCTAAGGGAGGGCTGCTGCTATCTGTCCCCCAAACTCAGCCTGGATAGCTGGCAGTAACAGAACTGATTCCTTCCTTCTGGTTGAGTAGAGGAGAATGAGGAGTAAAGAAGATATCATCTTGCATCTTGGATACCAGCTCAGCCACAGTAGGTTAGGGCAGCAGGAAGAGTTGTAAGGCTCCCATTCCAGACCCTAGCTCTTGGATGACATTTCAGGAAATACCTTATGCCAAAAGGAAACCTGCTTCATGCCTTCAATAGAAGGACCTAGTCCTGGCAAGATTCATCACATATTGACTAAAGAACCCTTAAGCCCTGAATAACCAACAGCAATACCCAGGTAGTACACCATGGACCCTGGGTTTTGAGACATGCTGGCTTCAGATGTGACCCGGCACATTCCCAGCTGTTGTGGCTATGATGAAAGACTTTCTGTTTGAGAAAAGCTGAAGAAAAAGTAAAACGACCTCAGCTACAATGGGTTAGAGAACCAAGTGGGCTCGTGGGTCCCCACGTCCAGGCGTAGGCTCTTGGACAGCATTTATAGACCTGGCCCTGGGCCAGATGGGAGCCCATTGCCCTGAAGGGGGAGTCCTATGCCTGGCAGCATTCACAACAAGCTGACTCAAGAGCCCTTAAGCTTTAAGTGACACTGGCAGTGACCTAGCAGAAACCTCCATGGAGCAGTGGTGGTGGTGGTGGACACAAGGCTCTTTTTTCTATAGGCTCCTCTGCCTATAGAAAAAAGATCAAAGTGTGAGAAGGGCTTTGTCTTGTGGTTTGAGTGCCAGCTTAGCCACAGTAGAATTGAACATCGGGTAAATTTACAAGGTTTTAAACTCCAATCCCGGGCCCTCAGATAGCATCTCTGGATTCACCTGAACATGGGAAAACTCACTGCCCTGAAAAGAGGTACACAAACCTGGCTGGCTTCACAGCCTGAAAATTCTAGAGCACTAGGCCTTGAGTGAACATAGGTGGTAGCCGGACAGTGATTACAGCAGGCCTTGGGCAAGAGTCAGTGTTGTGCCAGTTTTCTGTCTGAATGAGTGCATCCCCAGTGGTGGTGGCCACAGGAGTGCTTATATCCACACAAGCCCAGTATTGTATGGAGAGAGAGAGACTCCATTTCTTTGGGAGGAAGTAAGGGAAAAGAACAAAACCTCCACCAGGTAATCCATAAAATTCTTTAAGATCTTATCCAAGACCATCAAAGCAGTACCTCTATGAATTTGAGACAACCAGAGCATTATTGGGCTTGGGGTCTAAGTCCCTATGAATACCTAGAATGCCTTCCCAAGGATAGGCAGAAAAAAGCCCAGACTGTGAGGACTACAATAATTGCCTAATTCTGCAATACCTAGAAACTGACAAACATCTACAAGCATTAAGACCATCCAGGAAAAGACGACCTCACCAAAGTAAGCAATGGACCAAAAAAAAAAATCTTGGAAAAACAGATATGTGACCATTCAGATGGAATATTCAAAGTAACTCTGTGGAGGAAACGCAAAAAAATTAAAGATAACACAGAGAAGAAATTCAGAGTTCTATTAGACAAATTCAATGAAGAAACTGAAATTATTAAATAGAATCAAGCAGAAATTCTAAGTTGAAAATGCAATTAATATACTGAAGAATGCATCAGTGTATCTAGGAGAATTTATCTAGCAGAAGAAAGAATTAGTCAGCTTGAAGACAGGCTATTTGAAAATACACAGTCAGAGGAGACAAAAGAAAAAGAATAAACAATGAAGCATGCCTACAAGATCTAGAAAATAGTCTTTAAGAGAAGCTCTCACAGTTATTGGCCTTAAAAAGGAAGTAGAGAAAGAGGTGGACTTGAAACTTTGTTCAAAGGGATAATAACAGAGAATTTTCCGAACCTAGAAAATATATTAATATTCATGGACAAGAAGGTTATAGAACACCAAAAAGATTTAACCCAAAGAAGACAAAATCAAGTCATTTAATAGTCAAACTCCCAAAAGTCAAAGATATAGAAAGGATTTAAAAAGCAGCAAGAGAAAGGAAACAAATGTCTGGCAGCAGACTTTTCAGTGGAAACTTTATAGGCCAGGAGAGAGTAGCATGACATATTTAGAGTGTTGAAAAAAAAAACACCACTTTTATCTAGAATAGTATATTTAGTGAAAATATTCAGCGTGGGACAGATCTTCCAGAGAGAAAACCTACTATGTACCCACAAAAATTAAAAATAAAACTTTTAAATAAAGAACAAAAAATACACCAGAATACATGTTTTCTATTGTACATAGAATATTATTCAAATAAGTTACATGTTGGACTACAGGAGTCATAATAAATTACATATTATTGAAATTATATAAAATATTTCTTTTGAACACAGTGGAAGGAATCTCAAAAATCGACAGCAGAATGAAAAATGGGAAACTCACAAACATGAAAATTACATAACACACTTAACTAACTGATTGTTCCTAGAAAAAATTACAAGGAAATTTACACAATTATTTTGATACAAATGAACATAAAAGCAAAACACAACAAAATATTTGAGGTGGATGCTGTGAAACCAATGCTAAAAAAGAAATTTATATCTGTAAATACTTACATTAGAAAGGAGAGACCTCAATCAACAGCATAACTTTATGCCTTAAGAAAATATTTTAAAAGAACTGAATCCAAGGCTAGTGTAAGAAAAAATAATAAAGACTAGAGCCCAGGGTAAACCAAATAGAGATTATAAAACTATAAAGAAATCAATAATACTAACGGTTGGTTGGTGGAAAAGATAAACAAAATTCGGCTGGGCGCAGTGGCTCAGGCCTGTAATCCCAGCACTTTGGGTGGCTGAGGCAGGCGGATCACCTGAGGTCGGTGATTCGAAACCAGCCTGACCAACATGGAGAAAACCCATCTCTACTAAAAATACAAAATTAGCCAGGAGTGGTGGCACATGCCTGAAATCCCAGCTACTGGGGAGGCTAATGCAGGAGAATCGCCTGAACCCGGGAGGTGGAGGTTGTGGTGAGCCAAGATCAGGCCATTGCACTCCAGCCTAGGCAACAAGAGTGAAACTTAAAAAAAAAAAAGATAAACAAAATTGACATACCTCTAGCTAAATAACCAAAACAAATAAATAAAAAAGAAAGAGGAATTACATAACTAAAAAAAAATAGAAATATTACTGCTGATTTTATAGAAATAAAAAAGACCATAAGAGAGTATTATGAACCCTTGAAAACCAGTTGGATGACCTCAATAAAATGGAACAATCCTAGAAACTTACTGCCTGCCAAGTGTCAATTATGGAGAAATAGAAAATCAGAATAAAGCTGTAACTAACTAGTAAGTAGATTGAATCACAATCAAATTTCTCAGACAAAGAAAAGCACAGGATCAGATAACTTTACTGCTAAATTCTACTAATCATTTAAAGAATTAACAACAATCTTCCTGAATGTTTCCAAAGAGTTGAGTAGAATGAAACAGTTCATTTTTCGAGGCTGGCATGACCCTGATACAAAACACTATGAGTAAAAAAAAAAAATACAGACCAAAGTCCCTTATGAAAATTGACTCATAAATTCTCAATAGCATGCTAGCAAACCCAAGAACAACTTATTAATAGGATTATACACTATGATTAAGTTAAGTTTGTTACTACAATGTAAAGTTGGCTCATCAATGAAATACACCACATTAACAGAATGAAGAAAAAAAGACTATACATGATTATCTCAATTGATGCAAAAAAGCATTTGACAACACTCAACACATTTTTATGTTAAAATTACTAATAATACTAGACAATGACAAAAACTACTTCAACATGAGAAAGGATGTTTATTTAAAAACTCACAGGTAACATCATACACAGTGGTAAAAAATAAAAGTCTTTTCTTTGAGATCAGGAACAAGGCAAGGATGCCTGCTTTCATGGTTGCTATTCAACATAGTACTGAAGTCATAGCCAGATAAATTAAGCATGAAAAATAAATGAAATCCATGCATATTGAAAAGGAAGTTTTAGAAGATACACAACCAACCATCAGGGAAACACGAATCATAAACAAAATGAGACATCATCTTATCTCACTTAGGATGGCTATAATTTAAAAAAATTACAAATGCTGGTATGGATGTGGATAAAGAGAAACATTTATACACTATTGGTGGAAATTTAAATTAGTGCAGCCATTAGGAAAAACAGTACAAAGTTTCCCAAAAAATTATCAATAGAACTACCAAATGATTCACCAAATACAATGCTGGCTATATATCCCCAAAACTGTAATCAGTATATTGAAGAGACATATCCACTTTCCATATCTAGCACTATTTACAATAGCTAAGACATGGAATCAACCTAAGTGTCTATCAATGGATAAATGAATTTACAAGTGTGGCACATATACACAATGAAACACTATCCAGTCATAAAAATGATGAGATTCTGTCCTTTGCGCAGAAACTGCAGAAGCTGCAGAAGCCACAAGCTGTTGAGGGCACTTACATGGTAACCACTATAGACGTCTGAAAGACAAATGTGGACTCAGTAAATGTGACCATTCCAGAGGGTCTTATACTTCTAAGGTTTCTGGACTTTCTCTCCAGAAACCTCCAGATTCTAAAATATACAATCCAAATAAATTTCCTGTGGGTCAGAATTGAAGATGAAATGAAGATGATTAATTACAGAAAACTATACCAGGAGCCTACTTCAAAAGCTTCTAAAGGGAATGACTTTTCCAGAACCTTATCCTATGTGAAGGAAGACAAATCTCCCATTCCAGATTCTCTCCCATTCTTCCATTATTATATGAATGAGTAAAGTTAGCCAAAAGGGGTAAGATGTACGTAAATAGTCCAGGGAGGCCAAAACCACAAAAGGGAGTAACAGCCAAAAATGAGCTTTTCCCCTGGAGATGCTTTTTCAAGGTCACAGCCCAGAAGAGGAAGCCTATTGAATCTCTAGGTTTCCATTGGAAGAACAGGCAGTGCTTACCTGCACTGCACAATCCATTCTAACTAGGATGATGACTATGGATTAAAGATGAAAGTGTGGCAATGCACAGACTCTATCTGAGGAGAATACAGAAACACTAAGACAATGACAGAGGGTGAGACAAAGGCAGTAGAGCAATGTGAAGCCTCTGACATCATGATTTTTAAGACCAACATCTTGTAAATGCCATCATAGATCTCAGCTTCTTTTATTATGGGGACTTTGCTGGTTTCCCAGCTGAGAAAGTGAAAATAACAACCTGCATGCACTTCCCAAGTCTCCACCTGTATCCTGTTTGCTTTAAATCTCTAGGAGAAGAAAGTCAGATAACTGGGCCTAGTGTCAGTGTAGGAGGCACTTCCTAAAAGCTACATATTAGGAAGAAGGGAAAATGTGTGTTATTGGAATAGTGGGTATGGAGTGGGCTTTCATCTGAATGTATCTGCACCTGCTGGTATTCTCAGATGCAACATTCAACTACAAGAGCCCAGTGAAGAAACACGGCACTCCCAAATCTCCTGTAAGTTTTTGTCTTCATTTTGGTTCCACTAATGAAGTGAATCTGGAGCTTCAGAGAAGGGGCTCCCTTCTGTGTCATTGAATCCTTGCTCTGGGTCTCCTTGCAGAGTTCAATAGGTTTAGTAAGGCTAATCAGTTGTTTCAAGAGATGGTGTCAGCAGCATATGGTGTCACTGAAGGAGTATGATAAACCAGGACACAGCCATTTCATGCTGGGCTAGAGAAGCTTGGGGGAAATGATTTGTAAGTCCCAGCAGGAACCTCTTTGCAAGGCAGGGTCTGGGCTGTTGGGGGCACAGACCAGGTGAGTTAGATATCAATATGTAAAGATGAGGACCTATGGATATTAATTGAAAATATATAAATACTTCAAAAAATTCCAATAAATTGAGTCCAAAATTAACCCCAAATTATTCAAAACACAAATTCCTTGACAAATATTTTGGGAGCAATGAGTTCATAAAGAATTTGAAACTACCGTTTCAGCTTCTGATTCTTATGGTTCCTGAGATGAGAAAATCATCTCTAATCACACATCACAGAGCAAATCTGTAAACAAGAGTGTTTCTATTGAAGATCCTGGGGGATCTGAACACCAGGCAGGTGCTGGAGACACTGTTTCAGGAGTGCCCAGCAGATCTCAGAGGGACCTGCTGGTCACTCACGTGGGACATCAGCAGTAACTTCCTCAGTCATCAGTCAGCTGTGCTGGTGACTGATGGATCCAGGACAGAACCAAGGCACCTGCTCAGTGTCATGGAGAGTGATGGTTCCAGAAATTATCCAGGTGGTCTCTGTGCTTATAAAATGTAGGTTCACAGTGAGGAGCGTGTCCTGAGGGGGATTGTTCTTCTGTGAAAGGACCTCTGTTCATGAATGTTCATAAATGGAGCAGGGCATGCATTTCCTCAAACAGGAATAGGGCTTGGACCATCAGCATCTCACTCTTGTAAATCTGATGTGTCATTTATCTTCCCTTTCTTATTATTAACCAGGCTTTGTGCTATGAAATGCTATCTCATGAATATGCAAATAACCTGAGATCCACTGAGGTAAATTTGGATGTCTGTGCCCTGAGAGCATCACCCAACAACCACATCCCTCCTCTATAGAAGCCCCTGAGAACACAGCTCCTCACCATGGACTGTACCTGGGGGATCCGCTTCTTGGTGGCAGCTGCCACAGGTAAGGGGCTCCCAAGTACCAGTGATGAGGAGGGGATTGAGTTCAGTCAAGGGGGCTTTTATCAACTCCTCCATTCTCCTCACAGGTGTCCATTCCCAGGTTCAGCTGTTGCAGCCTGGGGCTGAGGTGAAGAAGCCTGGGTCCTCAGTGAAGGTCTCCTGCCAGGCTTCCAGATACACCTTCACCAAATACTTTACACGGTGGGTGTGACAAAGCCCTGGACAAGGGCATAGTGGATGGGATGAATCAACCCTTACAATGATAACACACACTATGCACAGACGTTCTGGGGCAGAGTCACCATTACCAGTGACAGGTCCATGAGCACAGCCTACATGGAGCTGAGCAGCCTGAGATCTGAAGACATGGTCGTGTATTACTGTGTGAGAGACACAGTGCAAAAACCCACATCCTGAGAGTGTCAGAAACCCCAGGAAGGAGACACCTGTGCTGACACAGAGGAGATGACAAAGATTATTAGATTAAAGATTTGCTTAGAAAATGACATTAAGTCATTAAAGAAAAGGAACAATATTAATGTGTATTTGAGAAATTTTAATTATTTGAGAGATTTTTCATACAACATTTATTCTGTAAACAAATTTCAATGATTAGAGAATGAATCAAATTAATGAAACTAATATAGAACTTCCTCTGAAGGTATCTCTGTAAACATTAATTTCTTAATCAGTGCTGTAAGTATTTTGGAATACAGACACAAAATCACATTTTAAGTCTGCATTTATATCTATTAAAAATGCCAAAAAAATTTCCTTTTGTGCGTGTAGCATTTTGAATTCCCACCATCAATGCACGATAGTTCTTGGTTTTCCACATTCATATTGCCATGTATCCTTATGAGAGTTGTGTGTTTTAACCAATCTAGTAGGTGAATAATGGGATCTAATTTTTATTTAAATGCACATGTCCCTCAAAAAGTTCATATTTAACAATTTTCCAATAACTTTTGTTGAGATGCCTCTCCTGATATTTGGTTCATTTTAACTGCATTGCTTTGTTTTGATTCATTGTAAGTTTACTTGCATATTGTTTATAAAAGTCACTTAACAAATTAAAAGAATTCATTTAACAAATATGTGACTTGGAAGTATTTTTTCCAAGTCTGTGGCTGTCTTTACTCCCTTATCAGTGTGTATTGCAGAAACATACGTGTGTGTGTGCATGTGTCTGTGTGTGTATGTGTGTGTTTGTACAAATTTAGATTCAAAAACATGTAAAATTGTATTCATTCATAGATGATGTTTTTGGCATTATATCTGAAGTCTCATTATAGAATACCAAATAGTGGTTATTTTTTCCATGTGTCTAAGCTCAGGCCACAATCAACTCATGAGTGTTTAAACTTCACCTACTTGATTGGAGGACTATTCACCTCAGATATTTGGAATACTTCTGTAAGGAGATGTGTTCATCTTCCCAATATTTATTTTCATAATCATCTATTAATATGTGTATTGGTTTATGAATATATATTTCATACTCTGAAGAAGATCCATGCTATATTACTCATTTTATCGTTCAAATCACCACAGCTTTATTAGGTCCTGGGAGCTCATTTAGTTTGGATCCTGTATCCTTACAGTGCACCTCATCCTTTTGTTTTTGAACACTTCCCTGTTTCCTTGTATTACAACAAATTCTAAGTTCATTTTCTGTATTACCTCTTT